>NC_000010.11:38573338-38906036 GCF_000001405.40 Homo sapiens
AATGGAATGGAATGGAATGCAATTGAATGGAATGGAATGGACTTGAATGAAATGGAATGAAGTGGAATGATCTCAAATCGCATGCAATGGAATGGAATAGACTCGAAAGGAATGGAATGGAATGAAATGGACCAGAATGGAATGGAAAGGACTGGAATGGAATGGAATGGAATGGAATGGAATGGAAAGGAATGGAATGGAAAGGAATGGAATGGAATGGAATGGAAAGGAATGGAATGGAAAGATGTGGAATGGAATGGACTTGAATGGAATAGAATGGAATGGAATGGAATCAAAAGGAATTGAAAGGAACGGACACGAATGGAATGGAATGGACACAAACGGAATGGAATGGAATGGAATGTACTCGAATGGAATACAATGGAATTCAATGGAATGGACTCTAATGGAATTGAATGGAATGGACTCTAATGGAATAGAGTGGAATGCACTTGAATGGAACGGAATGGAATGGAATTGAATGTACTCGAAAAGCATGTAATGGAATGCAATGGAATGGAATCAAATGGAACGGAATGGAAGGGACTCGAATGGAATGGAATGCAATGGAATGGACTCAAATGGAATGGAATGGAATGGACTCGAATGGAATGGAATGCAATGGAATGGACTCAAATGCAGTGGAATGGAATTGACTCGAATGAAATTGAATGGAATGGACACAAATGAAATGGAATGAATTCAATGGACTCAAATAGAATGGAATGCAGTGGCATGTGCACGAATGGAATGGAATTGGATGGAATGAATTCGAACGGAATTAAAAGGAATTGACTCGAATGAAATGGGTGGGAATGGAGTGGATTCGAATGGAAAGGAATGCAATGGACACAAATGGAAGTGAATTGAATGGATTCAAATGGAAGAGAATGCAATGGTATGGGCTGGAAGGGAATGCAATGGAATGGAATGGAAGGGAATGGACTCGAATGGAATGGAATGGCATGGACTGGAATGGAATGCAAGGAATGGAATGCAAGGAATGGAATGGAATGGGATGGAATGGCCTTGAATGTCATGGAATGGACTCGAATGGAATGGAATGTAATGGACTGGAATGGAAAGCAATGGAATGGAATGGAATGGGATAGAATGGCCTTGAATGTCATGGAATGGACTCGAATGGAATGGAATGTAATGGACTGGAATGGAAAGCAATGGAATGGAATGGAATGGGATGGAACGGACTAGAATGGAAAGGAATGGAAGGGACTCAAATGGAATAGAATGGAAGGGAATGGACTGGAATGGAATGCAATGGAATGGAATCGAATGGAACGGAATGGGCTCAAAAGGAATGGAAAGGAATTGAATGGAATGGAGTGGAATGGAATGGACTTGAATGGAATGGCCTTGAATGCAAAGGAATGGACTCGAATGGAATGGAATGTAATGGAATGAAATGGACCCGAATGGAATGGAAAGGACTTGAAAGGAGTGGAATGAAGCAGAATGCGATGGACTTGAATGGAATAGAAAGGAAAGGAATGGAATGGAAGGGACTCGAAGGGAATTGAATGGAATGGGCTTGAATGGAATGGAATGGTCTCGAATGGAATGGAATGGAATTTAATGGAATGGACTCTAATGGAATGGAATGCAATGGAATGGACTGAAATGGAATGGAATGGAATGGAATTGAATGGGAAGAACTGGAATGGAATGGAATGAAGCAGAATGGAATGGACTTGAATGGAATAGAATGGAATGGATTAGAATGGAAGGGACTAGAAAGGAATGGAATTGAATGGACTCGAATGGAATGGAATGGACTCGAATGGAATGGAATGGAATTTAATGGAATGGACACTAATGGAATGGAATCTAATGGAATTGAATGAAATGGACTCGAATGGAGTACAATGGAATTGGCTCGAATGTAATGGAATGCAATGGAAAGGACAGAAATGGAATGGAATGGAATGGACTCAAACGGAATAGAGTGGAATGGACTCGAATGGAATGGTGTGGAATGGAATGGACTCGAATGGAATGGAGTGGAATAGACTCGAATGGAATGGAATTGAGTGGACTCGGTTGGAATGTAATGTAATGTAATGGAATGGTCTCAAATGAAATGCAATGGAGTGGAATGGACTTGAATGGAATGGAATGGACGCGAATGGAGTTGAATGGAATGGAATGGACTCGAATGGAATCTAATTGAATGGAATGGAATGGAATGTATTCGAATGGAATACAGCGGAATTGAATGGAATGGAATCTAATGGAATGGAATGGAGTGGACTCAAATGGAATAAAAAGGAATGGACTCGAATGGAATGTATTGCAATGGAAATGACTCGAATGGAAGGGAATGGAATGGATTCGAATAGAATGTAATGGAATTCAATGGACTCGAAATGATTGGAATGGAATGTGATGGAATTGACTCAAATGGAATTGAATGGAATTGACTCGAATGGAATTGAATGGATTGGAGCCTAATGCAATGGAATGGAATCGAATAGAATTCAATGGAATGGAATGGACAGGTTCGGAATGGAATGGAATGGAATTGAATGGACTCGAGTGGAATGGGTTGGGAAGGAATGGTCTCGAATGGAATGGAATGGAAATGACTCAAAAGGAATAGCATGGAATGGAATGGACTCGAATGCAGTGGAATGGAATGGAATCAAATGGAATGGAATGGAATCGAATGGAATGGTATGGAATGGAATGTACTCGAATTGAATGGAATGTAGAGGAAGAGAATGGAGTCGAATGGAATGGAATGTAATGGAATGAAACGGAATCGAATGGAATGGAAACGAAAGGAATGGTATGGAATGGAATGGAATGGAATTTAAATGGAATGGACTCAAACGGATTGCAGTTGAACTGAATTGACTTGAAAGGAATGGACAGGAATGGAATGGAATGGAATAGACTCGAATGGAATGGAATGCTGTGGACTCGAATGGAATGGAATTGACTCAAATGGAATGGAATCGACTCGAACGGAATGAAATGGGTAGGAATTTACTCGAATGAAATGGAATGGAATGGAATGGAATGGACTCAAATGGAATGGAATGGAATGGAATGGAATGGACTCAAATGGAATGGAAAGTAGTGGAATGGGCTCGAATGGAATGGAATGGAATAGTACAGATGCGAACGGAATGGAATGGAATGTATTCCAATGAAATTGGTTAGAAAGGAATGGACTCGAATGGCATGGAATGGAAAGGACTCAAATGGTATCGAATGGAATGGAATTGTCTGGAACATAAAGAAATGGCATGAACTCGAATGGAATGGAATGGACTCGAATGGAATGGAATGGAATGGATTGGACTCAAATGGAATAGAACGGAATGGAATGGAATGTACTGGAATGGAATGGAATCAAATGGAATGGAGTAGAATTGTATGGACTCGAATGAAATGGACACGAATGCAATGGAATGGACTCGAATGGAATGGAAAGGAATGGACCCGAATGGAATGGAATGGAATGGAATGGACTAGAATGGAATGGACTCGAGTGGCATGGAGTGGAATGGAATCAAATGAAATGTAATGGAATTGAATGGACTTGAATTGAACGGAATGAAATGTTATGGAATGGACTAGAATGGAATGGAATGAGTGGAATGAAATGGAGTCGAATGGAATTGAATGGAATGGAATGCATTCGAATGAAATGGAATGGAATGGACACGAATGGAATGTAATGGAATGGAATCGAATAGACTCAAAAGGAATGGAATGGTATGGTATTGAATGGAATGGAATGGAATGGACTAGGATGGAATGGAATGGATTCGAAAGGAATGGAATGGAATTGAAATGAAGTGTCTGGAATGGAATGGAATGGAATGGACACGAATGTAAAGGAACGGAAAGAAATGGACTCGAATGGAATGGAATGGAATGGACCTGAAAGGATTGGAATGGAATGGAAAGGAGTCGAATGGAATTGAATATAATGGACTGGAGTGGAATGGAATGGAATCTAATGGAATGGACTCGAATGGAATGGACCCGACTGGAATGGAATGTACTGGAATGGAATGGAATGATGTGGAATGGAATGGAATTGAATGGAATAGAATGCAATGGACTTGAAAGGAATGGAATGGAATGGACTTGAATGGACACGAATTGAATGGAAGGGAATAGAATGGACTCAAATGGAATACAGTGGAATTTAATGGAATGGAATGGACTCTAATGGAATGGAATCGAATGGGCTATAATGGAATGGAATGGAATGGAATGGACACGAATGGAATAGAATGGAATGGTCACCAATGGAATGGAATGCAATGGAAAGGACTCGAATGGAATTTAATGGAATTGAATGGTCTCTAAAGGAATGGAATGGAATGCAATGGAATGGACTCGAAAGGAATGGAATGGAATTGATTCTAACAGAATTGAATGGAATGGAACCGAAAGGAATGGATTGGAATGGAATGGACTCGAATGGAATGGAATGGATTGGAATGCACTCGAATGGAATGTAATGTAATGGAGTGCAATCGAATGGACTCGAATGGAACAGAATGGAAAGGACTCAAATCGAATAGAATGGAATGGAATGGACTCGAATGGAATGGAATGGAACTGACACGAATGGAATGTAATCGAATGGAATGGAAATGAATGGAATGGAAAGGAATGAAATGGAATGGTAAGCTATGGAAAGGAATGGACTTGAATGGAATAGAATGGAATGGAATCGAATCGAATCAAATGGATTGGAAAGGATACGAATGCAATGGAATGCAATGGAATGGAACGGAATGGAAAGGATTGGAATGGTATGTAATGCAATGGAATGGAATGGACATGAATGTAATAGAATGGAATGGACTCGAATGAAATGGAATGGAATGTACTCCAAAGGAATGGAAAGGATTGGACTATAATGGAATGGAATTGAATGGACTCAAATGTAATGGAATGATATGGAATGGAAAGGTTTAGAATGGAATGCAATGTAATGGACTCTAATGGAATGGAATGGAATGCAATTTAATGTACATGAATGGAATGGAATTGACGTGAATGGAATGGAATTGTCTCAAATGGAATGGACATGAATGGAATGGAATGAAAATGAAAGAAATGGACTCAAATGGAATTGAAAGTAATGGAATGAAATGGACTTGAAAGGAATGGAATGGAATGAATTGGAATGGAAGGGAATGGAATGGAATGGGATGGAAAGGAATGTAATATAGTGGAATGGAATGGAACAGAATGGAATGGTATGGATGGCAATTTAATGGAAAGGAGTAGAATGGAATGGAATGAAATGGACTTGAAAGGAATGGAATGGATTGGAATGGCCTCGAATGGAATGGAATAGAGTGGCCTCGAATGGAATGGACTCGAATGGAGTGTAATGGAATGGAATCACTCGAGTGGAATTGAATGACATTGGATGGAATGCACTTGAATGGCATGGAATGGAATTGAATCGAATGTAACAGAAAGTAATGGACATGAATTTAATGGATTGGAATGGAATGCAATGGACTCGAATGTAATGGAATGGAACTGAATGGATTCGAATTGAATGGAATGGAATGGAATTGAATGGAATGAAATCGAATGGAAACGAATGAAATGGACTCCAATGGAATGGAATGGACTGGAATGGAATGGAATGGAATGGAAGGGAATGGAATGGAATGGAATGGAAAGGACTGGAATGGAGTGGAATGGAATGGAACGGACTCAAATAGAATGGAATGTAATGGAATTGACTCGAATGTAATGTAATGGAATGGAATAGCTTGGAATGGAATGGAAAGGAAATAAATGGAATAGAATTGAAGGGAATGGAATGGAATGGACTGGACTGGAATGGAATGGAATGGATTGAAGGAATGGAATGGAATTGAATGGAATGGACTCGAATGGAATGGAGTGGAATGGACTCTAATGGAATGGAATGGTCTCGAATAGAATGGAATGGAATGGAAATAACTCGAATGGAATGGAATGTACTAGAATGGAGTGGAATGGAATAGAATGCACTTGAATGGAATGCAATGGAATGGACCCGAATTGGATGGAATGGAATGAAAGAAATGGACTCGAATGGAATGGAATTGAATGGAATGTACCAGAATGGAGTGGAATGGAATGGAATGGACTCGAATGGCATGAAATGTAATGGACCCGAATGGAATGGAATGGAATGGAATGGAATGGAATGGAATGGAATGGATTAGAATGGAATGGAATGGAATGGAATGGAATGGACTCGAACGAAATTGAATGGACTCGAATAGAATGGAATGGAATGGACTAGAATGGTATAAAATGGAATAGAATGGAATGGACTGGAATGGAATGGAATGGACTCGAATGGTACAAAATGGAAAAGAATGGAATGGACTCGAATCGAATGGACTGGAATGGATTTGAGTCAAAAGGAATGTAATGGTATGGAAAGGACTCGAACGGAATGGACTCCAATCGAATGGAATGGTCACAAATGGAACGGAATGGAATGGAATGCACTCGAATGGAATACAATGGAATTTAATGTAATGGCCTCTAATGGAATGGAATGGAATGGACTTCAATGTAATAGAATGGAATAGACTCAGATGGAATGGAATGCAACGGAATGGAATGGAATCCATTGGAATTGAATGGACTCGAAGGGAATGGAATGGAATGGAATGGACTAGAATAGAATGGAATGGAATGGACTCGAATGGAATGGAATGGACTAGAATAGAATGGAATGGAATGGACTCGAATGGAATGGAATGCAGTGGAATGGACTCGAATGGAATGGAATGGTATTGACTCGAAAGGATTTGAATGGAGTGAACCCGAGTGGTATGGATTGGAATGGAATGGACTCAAATTGAATGGAATGGAATGGTTTGGGCTCGAATGGAATGGAATGGATTCAAATGGAATGGAATGGAATGGACTCAAATGGAATAGCATGGAATGGAATGGCCTCGAATGCAATGGAATGGACTTAAATGGAATAGCATGGAATGGAATGGACTCGAATGCATTGGAATGGAATGGACTCCAATGGAATGGAATGGACTCGAACGGAATGGAGTGGAATGGACTCTAATGGAATGGAACGGAATTGAATTGACTCGAATTTAATGGAATGGAATGGAATGGAATGAACTCGAAAGGAATGGAAAGTAATGGAATGAAATGGACTCGATGGAATGGAATGGAATGGAATGGATTCAGATGGAATGGAAGGGAATGGAACGGAATGGAATGGAATGGAAGGTTATGGAATCGAATGGAATGCATTTGAATTGAATGGACCCGAGAAGAATGGAAAGGAATGGAATGGAATGGAATGGAATGGAATGGAATGGAATGGAACTTAATGGAATGAAGTGGACTCGAATGAAATGGAATGGATGCAATGGACTTGAATGAACTGGAATGGACTCGAATGGAATGGAATGGAATGGAATAGATTGGAGTGGAATGGAATGGAATGCAATGGAAAAGACTCGAATGAAATGGAATGCAGAGGAATGAACTCGAATGGCATGCAATGTAATGGAATAGACACGAATCAAATGGAATGGAGTGGACTTGAATGGAATGGAATGGAATGGATCTGAAATTAATGGAACGGAATGGAATGGAATGAAATGGAATGGAATGGAATGGAGAGGAATTGAATGGAGTGGAATGGAATGGAATGGAATGGAATGGAATTGAATGGACTCGAATGGAGTGGAATGGAATGGAATGGACTCGAATGGAGTGGAATGGAATGGAATGGACTCAAATAGAATGAAATGGAATGGAACCGATTGGAATGGAATGCAATGGATTGGAATGGACTGGAATGGAATGGAAAAGTACGGAATGGAATGGACTTGAATGAAATAGAATGGAATGGAATGGAATGGACGGGAATGGACTCGAGTGGAAATGAATGGAATTGAATGGAAGGGACTCAAACGAAATGGATTGGAATGGACTCGAATGTAATGGAATGGACTCGAATAGATTGGATTGGAATGGAATGGTCTCTAATGGAATGGAATGGAATGGACTCAAGTGGAATGGAATGCAATGGACTGGAATGGAATGGAATGGAATGGAATGGAATGGAATGGAATGGAATGGATTGTTATAGAATGGAATGGAATGGACTGTTATAGAATGGAATGGAATGGAAAGGAATTGACCAGAATGGAATGGACTAGAATGGAATGGAAAGGATTCGAGTGGAAAGGAATAGAGTAGAAGGCACTCGAATGGAATGGAGTGGAATGGATTTGAATGGAATGGAATGGAATTGAATGGATTCGAGTCGAACAGAATGTAATGGTATGGAATGGACTCGAGTGGAATGGACTCGAATGGAATGGAATGGACACAAATGGAAGGGAATGGAATGGAATGGACTCGAATGGAATACAACGGAATTTAATAGAATGGACTCTAATGGAATTGAAAGGAATGGACTCGAATGGAATAGAATGGAATAGACTTGAATGGAATGGAATGCAATGGAATGGACTCCAATGGAACGGAATGGAATGGAATGCACTCGAATCGAATTGAATGGACTCAAAACGAATGGAATGGAATGGATTCGAATGGAATGCAGTGCAATGGAATTGACTCGAGTGGAATTGAATGGATTGGACCCGAATGGAATGGATTGGAATGGAATAGACTCGAATTGAATGGAATGGAATGGATTGTGCTAAAATAGAATGGAATGGAATGGACTCAAATGGAATAGCATGTAATGGAATGGACTCGAATGCAATGGAATGGAATGGGCTCGAATGGAATGGAATGGACTCAAAAGCAATGTAGTGGAATGGAATCTATTGGAATGGAATGGTATTGAATGGACACGAATGGAATGGAATGTAACGGAACGGAATGAACTCGAATGATATGGAATGTAGTGGAATGAAATGGACTCGAATGGAATGGAATGGAATGGAATAGACTCGAATGGAATCATCATCGAATGGAATCGAATGTAATCATTGAATGGACTCTAATGGAAAAATCATTGAATGAAATCGAATAGAATCATCAAACGGAAATGAATGGAATCATCATCAAATGGAATCGAATGGAATTATCAAATGGAATCTAATGGAATCATCATTGAATAGAATCTAATGGAATCATCAAATGGAATCGAATGGAATCATCATTGAATGGAATCGATTGGGATCATAGAATGGTATCGAATGGAATCATCATCAAATAAAATCAAATGGAATCTTCGAATGGACTCGAATGGAATCATCATTGAATGGAATAGAATGGAATGATCATCGAATACAATCGATTGGAATCATCGAATGGAATCATCATCAAAAGGAATCGAAGTGAATCATCAAATGGAATCAAAAGGAATCATCGAATGGAATCGAATGGAATCATCATCGAATGGAATCCAATAGAATCATCATCAAATGGAATCGAATGGAATCATCAATTAATGGAATCAAATGGAATCATCGAAAGGAAACTAAAGGAATCATCATCGAATGGATTCGAATGGAATCGTCATCGAATGTAACTGAATGGAGTCATCAAATGGAATCGAATGGAATCATCATCACATGGTATCGAAGTGAAACATTGAATGGAATCGAATGGAATCGTCAAATGGAAACGAATGGAATCATCATCAATTTGACTCTAATGGAATCATCATCAAATGGAATCATATGGTATCATCGAATGGAATTGAATGGAATCATCAAATGGGCTCGAAATGAATCATCGAATGGAATCGAATAAAATCATCGAAAGTAATCAAATCTAATTATCATCTAATGGAATCGAATGGAATCATCATCGAATGGAATCGAATTGAATAATAGAATGGAATCAAATGAAATCATCAAATGGACTCGAATGGAATCATCATCGAATGGAATCAAATGGAATCATAGAATGGAATTGGAAGGAGTCATCACCACATGGAATCGAACGGAGTCACCATCGAACGGAAACGAATGGAATCATCATCGAGTGGACTCATCGAATGAACTCAAATGGAATAATCATCAAATGGAGATGAATGGAATCATCATCAAATGGCATCGAATGGAATGATCATCGAATGGAATTGAACAGAATCATCATCGAGTGGAATCAAATGGAATCATTGAATGGACTTGAATGGAATCATCAAATGGAATCGAATGGAATCATGGAATGGACTCAAATGATATCATCATCTAATGGAAACTAATGGAATCTTTGAATGGACTCTAATGGAATGATTGAATGCATTCGAATGGAATCATTAAATGGACTTGAGTGGAATCATCATCGTATGGAATTGAATGGAATCATCATTGAAATGAATTGAAAGGAATAATCATGGAATGGAATTGAATGGAATAATCATTGAAAGGAATCATCATCTAATGGAATTGAATGGAGTCATCATCATTGAATGGAATTGAATGACATCATCAACAAATGCAATCGAAAGGAGTCATCATCAAATGGAATGGAAAGGATTCATCAAGGAATGGAATTGAATGGAACAATCATCGAACAGAAACGAATGGAATTATGGAATGCACTCGAATGGAATCATCATTGAATGGAATCGAATGGTATCATTGAGTGGACTTGAAAGAAACCATCATTGAATGGCATCAAATGGAATCATTGAATTGACTTGAATGGAATCATCATCGAATGGAATCAAAAGGAATCATCGAATGGACTCGACTGGAATCATCATCAAATGGAATGGAATGGAATCTTCGAATGGAATCATCATTGAATGGAATTGAATGGAATCATCGAATGGAATAGAATGGAATAATCATCAAATGGAATCGAATGGAATCATCGAATGGACTCGAATGGAATCATCATCAAATGGAATTGAATGGAATCATCGAATGGCATCGAATGGAACCATCGTCTAATGGAATGGAATGGAATCATTGAATGGACTCGAATGGAAATATCATCGAAATTGAATCGAATGGAATACTCATGGAATTGAATCGAATGGTCTCATCATCAAATGGAATCGAATGGAATCATCAAATGGAATCGAATGGAAACATCAAATGGACTCGAATGGAATCATCATAGAATGGAATTGAATGGAATCATCGAATGGAATCATCATCGAATGGATTCGAATGGAATCATTGAATAGACTCGAATGCAGTCATCATCGAATGGAATCGAATAGAATCATCGAATGGACTCGAATGGAATCATCATCAAATGGAATCAAATAGAATCATCGAATGGAATAGAATGAAATCATCATTGAATGAAATCGAATGAAATCATCAAATGGCATTGGATGGAATCACCATCGAATGGAATCAAATGGAATCATCAAATGGCCTTGAATGGAATCATCATCGATTGGAATCAAATGAAATCATTGAATGGAATTGAATGGAATGATCATCGAATGGAATCAAAAGGAATCAGCGAATGGAATCGAATGGAATCATCGAATGGAATCCAGTGGAATCATCGAATGGACACGAATGGAATCAAAATCGAATGACATTGAATGGAATCTTCGAAAGGACTCGAAAGGAATAATCATTGAATGGAATCGAATGGAATCATCGTATGGACTCGAATAAAAACATCATCGAATGAAATCGAATGGAAAAATCAAAAGGAATCAAATGAAATCATCATCGAATGGAATTATCTCATGAACTGGAATGGAATCTTCATTGAAAGGAATCTAATTGTGTCATAGAATGGACACGAATGGAATCCTCACGGAATGGAACCGAATGGAATCATCGAAAGGACTCGAATGGAATCATCATCACATGGAATCGAATGGAATCATCGAATGGAATGCAATGCAATCATCATCGAATGGAAATGAATGGAATCATCGAATGGAATTGAATAGAGTCACCATTGAATGAAATCCCATGGAATCATCAAATGGATTCAAAAAGAATCATCATCCAAAGGAATCAAATGGAATCAACAAATGGAATCGAATGGAATCATCATCTAATGGAATCGAATGGAATTATCGAATGGAAGTGAATGGAATCATCATCGAATTGAATAGAATGGAATCATCATCTAAAGGAATCGAAGTGAATCATCGAATGGAATAGAAAGAAATCATCGAATGGACTCGAATGGAATCATCAAATGGAATCAAATAGAATCATCAAATGGAATCGAATGAACCATCATCGAATGGAATGGAATGGAAATGTCGAATGGACTCGAATGAAATCATCATCAAATAGAATCAAATGGAATCAGCGAATGGAATCGAATGCAATCATAATAGAATGGAATCGAATGGAATCATCAAATGGAATCATATGGAATCATCATCGAATGGAATCAAATGGAATCATCAAATGGCATCAAATAGAATCATCATTGAATCGAATTGAAAGGAGTCATCTAATGGATGCGAATGGAATCATCATCGAATGGAAATGAATGGAATAATCAAATGGACACGAATGGAATTTTCATTTAAT
The DNA here is from genome assembly GCF_000001405.40 of Homo sapiens. Taxonomy (NCBI): domain Eukaryota; kingdom Metazoa; phylum Chordata; class Mammalia; order Primates; family Hominidae; genus Homo; species Homo sapiens. Next base: position 38,585,830 of record NC_000010.11, read on the forward strand.
GGAATTGAATGGAATCATCATCAAACGGAATTGATTTGAATCCTCATCGGATGGAATCTAATGGAATCATCAAATGGAATAGAAAGGAATCATCATCTAATGGAATTGAATAGAATCATCAAATGAAAACGAATGGAATCATCATTGAATGGAATCAAATGGAATCATAATCAAATGGAATCTAATGGAATCATCAACGAATGGAATCCAATGGAATCATCATCAAAAGGAACGGAATGGAATCATCGAATGGAAACGAATGGAATCATCGAATGGATTCGAATAGAATCACCATCGAATGGAAAAGAAAGGAATCATCGAATGGACTCGAATGTAATCATCATGGAATAGAATCGAATGGAATCATCGAATAGACACAAATGGAATCATCATTGAATGGAATCAAATGGAATCATCGAATGGACTCAAATGGAATCATCATTGAATGGAATCAAATGGAACCATCGAATGACATTGAATAGAATAATGAATGAATGGAATCTAAAGGAATAATCAAATGGACTCGAATGGAATCATCGAATGGACTCGAGTGGAATCATCATTGAATGGACTCGAGTGGAATCATCATTGAATGGAATCGAATGGAATCATCAAATGGACTCGAATGGAATCATCATCAAATGGAATCTAATGGAATCATCGAAGAGACTGGAATGGAATCATAATCAAATGGAATCGAATGGAATCATCGAATGACATCGAATGGAATCATCATTGAATGGAATGGAATGGAGTCATCAAATGGAATCAAATGGAATCATCATTGAATGGAATCGAATGGACTCATTGAATGGAATCAAATGGAATCATCATCGAATGGAATCAAATTGAATCATCGATTGGAATAGAATGCAATCATCTCAAACAGAATCAAATAGAATCATCCAATGGAATCGAATGGAATCATCATCGAATAGAATCAAATGGAACCATAGAATGGTATCGAATGGGATCATCATCAAATGGAACCGAATGGAATCATCATGGAATGGAATCAAAAGCAAAAATCGAATGGATTTGTAAAGAATCATCAAATGGACATGAATGGAATCATCATCCAATGGAATGGAATGGAATTAATGAATGGAATCATATGGAATCATCATTGAATGGAATCGAATGGAATCATCTAACAGACAGTAATGGAATCCTCATCGAATGGAATCGAATGGAATAATCGAATGGAAACGAATGGAATCCCCATCGAATGGAAGCAAATGGAATCATCAAACGGACCCGAATGCAATCATCATCAAATGGAATCGAACGGAATCTTCATTGAATGGACTTGAATGGAATTATCAAATGGACTCGAATGGAATCATCGAATGGAATTGAATGGAATCATCACAGAATGAATTGAATGGAATCATTGAATGGTCTCGAAAGGAATAATTATCAAATGGAATCGAATGTAATCACCGAATAAAATCGAATGGAATAATCATTGAATGGACTCGAATGGAATCATCATCAAATGGAATCGAACGGAATTATCGAATGGAATCGAATAGAATCATCGAATGGACTCAAATGCAATCAATGAATGGACTCGAATGCAATCATCAAATGGAATGTAATGGAATAATCAATGAACTCGAATGGAATCATCATTGAATGGGAACGAATGGAATCATTGAATGGAATCGAATGGAAACATCATTGAATGCAATCAAAAAGAATCATCAGCAAATGGAATCGAATGGAATCATCATCGAATGGAATACAAGGGAATCATCATCGAATGCAACCAAATGGAATCATCATCGAATGGACCGAAAGGAGTCATCATCGAATGGAATCGCATGGAAACATCATCAAATGGAATTGAATGGAATCATCATCAAAATGGAATCTAATGGAATCATTGAATGGAATTGAACAGAATCATTATCAAATGAATTCAATGGAATTATTGAATGGTCTCGAATGGAATCATCATCAAATGGAATCGAATGGAATCATCGAATAGAATCGAATGGAATAATCATCAAATGGACTCGAATGGAATCAACATCAAATGGAATTGAACGGAATTATCGAATGGAATCAAATAGAATCATCGAATGGACTCGAATGGAATCATCAAATGGAAAGGAATGGAATAATAAATGGACTCGAATGGAATCATCATCGAATGGAATTGAAAGGAATCATGGAATGGACTCGAATGGAATCATCATCAAATGGAATCAAATGGAATCATCCAATGGACTCGAAAGTAATCGTCATCAAATGGAATCAAATGGAATCATCGAATGGACTCAAATGGAATCTTCATCGAATGGAATCATTGAATGGACTCGAATGGAATCATGGAATGGACTCGAATGGAATCATTGAATGGACTCGAATGGAATCATGGAATGGACTCGAATGGAATCATCATCAAATGGTATCGAATGGAAACATTGAATTTACTCGAATGGAATCATCAAATGGAATTGAAAGGAATCATCATCAGATGGAAACGAATGGAATAATCATCGAATGGAATCAAATGGAATCATTGAATGGAATCAGATGGAATCATCATCGAATGGAATCGAATAGAATTATCAAATGAAATCGAATGTGATCATCATCAAATGGACGTGAATGGAATCATCAACGAATGGACTCGAATGGAATCATCATCCAATGGAATCGAATGGAATCAACATCAAATGGAATCGAATGGAAACACCATTGAATTGAATGGAATGGAATCATCATGGAATTGAAATGGATGAACTCATCATCGAATGGATTTGAATGGAATCATCGAATGGAATTGATTGGAATAATCATCAAATGGAATCGAATGGTATCATTGAATGGAATCAAATGGAATAATCATCAGATGGAAACGAATGGAATCATCATAGAATGGAATTGAATGGATTCATGGAATGGAATCATCATCGAATGGAATCGAATGGAATCATCAAAATAAATGGAATGGAATCATCATCGAATGGACTCGAATGGAATCATCATCCAATGGAATCGAATGGAATCAACATCAAATGGAATCAAATGGAAACAACATCGAATTGAATTGAATGGAATCATCATGGAATTGAAGCGAATGGACTCATCATCGAATGGATTCGAAAGGAATCATCAAATGGAATCGATTGGAATTATCGAATGGAATCGAAAGGAATCATCGAATGGAATCGATTGGAATCATCATCGAATGGAATCGAATGGAATCGTCGAATGGTCTTGAATGCAATGATTGAATGGAATCGAATGCAATCATTGAATGGACTGGAAAGGAATCATCATTGAATGGAATGGAATGGTATCATTGAATGGAATCGAATGGAATCATTGAATGGCATCAAATGGAATCATCATCCAATGGAATCAAATGGAATCATCTAACGGACTCATGTGGAATCATCATCAAAAGGAGTCGAGTGCAATCATCGAATGGACATGAATGGAATCATCATCGAATGGAATCAAATGGAATCACCATCACATGGAATAGGATGGAATCATCATCAAATGGTGTCAAAAGGAAACATAGAATGGAATCAAAAGGAAAAAATAGAATGGAATCGAATGGAATCATCATTGCATGGAATTGAATGGAATCATCGAATGGAATCATCATTGAATGAAATCAAAAAGTATCATCTAATGTAATTGAATGCAATCATCATCGAATGGAATCAAATGTAATAATCATCTATTGGAATCCCAAGGAATCATCATCGAATGTATTCGACTGAAATCAACTTCCAATGGAATTGAATGGAATGATCAAATGGAATCGAATGGAATCATCATGGAATGGAATAGAATGGAATCATTGAATGGAATCGAATGAATCCTCATCGAATGGAATCGAATGGAATCCTCCAATTTAATCGAATGGAATCATCAAATGGAATCGAATGAATCATCATCGAATGCAATAGACATGAATCATCGAATGGAATCCAATGGAATCATTATGGAATGGAATCGAATGGAATAATCTAATGGAATCATCATCAAATGGAATCAAAAAGAATCATCAAATGGAATTAATGCAATCATCATCGAATGAAATTGATTGGAATCATCAAAAGGAATCGAGTAGATTCAACATCGCATTTAATCAGATGGAATAATAAAATGGAATCAAATGGAATCATCACATGGAATCGAATGGAATCATCATCGAATGGAATCGAATGGAATCATCAATGAATGGAATCGAATGGAATCATGGAATGGAATCAATTGGAATCATCATCACATGGAATCAAATGGAATCATCAAATGGAATTGAATGGAATAATCATCAAATGGAATCGAATGGAATCATTGAATGGAATCGAATGGAGTCATCGAATGAATCGAATGGAATCGTCATCGAATGGAATCTAATGGAATCATCGAATGGAATTGAATGGAATCATCATTGAATGGAATTGAATGGAATCGTCATCGAATGGAATCGAATGGAGTCATTGAAAGGAATCGAATGGAACATTCATCAAATGGAATTGAATGAAAACCTCAAATGGAATGGAAAGCAATCATTGAATGGAATCGAATGGACTCATCATCAAATGGAATCAAATGGAATCATAGAACGGAATCGAATGGAATCATCATCGAATGGAATCAACTGGAATCATCATTGAATGGAATCAAAAGGAAACATTGAATGGAATCGAATGGAATCATCAAATGAAATTGAATGGAATCATCATCGAATGGAGTCAAATGGAATCATCGAATGGAATCAAATGGAATCATCCAATGGAATCGAATGGAAAAATCATTGAATGGAAACATCTAATGGAATCGGGTGGAATCATCAAATGGAATCGAATGGTGTCATCCTAGAATGGAATCATCCAATGAAAACAAACGGAATCAGAAAATGGAATCAAATGGAATCATCAAATGGAATCGAATGGAATAATCATCCAATGGAATTGAATGGAGTAATCTGATGGAATCAAATGGAATCATCATAAAATGGAATTGAATGCAATCATGGAATGGAATCGAATGGAATCATTATCGCGTGGAATCGAATGGAATCATCATCACATGGAATCGAATGGAATCATCATGAAATGGTATCGAAAGGAAACGTCGAATGGAATTGAATGGAATAAATTGAATGGAATCGAATGGAATCATCATCGAATGGAATTGAATTGAATCATTGAATAGAATCATCAATGAATGAAATTGAAAAAGATCATCGAATGAAGACAATTGCAATCATCATCGAATTTAATCAAAAGGAATCATCATCGAATGAAATTGAATGGAACCATTGAAAGGAATCGAATGGAATAGTCATTGAATGGAATCGAATGGAATCATCGAACGGAATCAAATGGAACAATCCAATGGAATCGAACAGAATCATCGAATGGAATCAAATGGAATCATTGAGTGGAATGGAATGGAATCATTGAATGGAATCATCATCCAATGGAATCTAATGCAATCAACATCGAATGGAATCGAATGGAATCATTGAAAGGAATTGAATAATCATTCAACGGAATTGAATGGAATCCTCGAATGGAATTGAACGGAATTATAGAATGGAATCGAACAGGATCATTGAATGGAATCGAATGGAATCATCATCGAATGGAATCGAGTGGAATCATCCAATGGAATTGAATGAAATCATAATCAAATGGAATCGAATGGAATCATCATCAAATGGAATCGTGTGGAATCATCGAATGGAATTGAATGGAATCATCATCGAATGGAATTGAGTGGAATCATCGAATAGAATCAATTGGAATCATCAAAAGGAATCAAATGGAATCATCATCAAATGGAACCAAATGGAATCAACAAATGGAATTGAATGGAATCATCATCGAATGGATTCGAATGGAATCAACAAGTGGAATCGAATTTAACAATTATCAAATGGAATCATCGAATGGAATCGTATGGAATCATCGAATGGTATCGAATGGTGTCTTCATCGAATGGAATCATCCGATGGAATCAAATGGAATCATCGAATGGAACTGAATGGAATCACTGAATGGATTCGAATGGAATAATCATCAAATGGAATCAAATGGAGTCATCCAATGGAATTGAATTCAGTCATCATCACATGCAATTGAATGGAATTATCAAATGGACTTGAATGGAATCATCATCACATGGAATTGTATGGAATCATCATCACATGGAATCGAATGGAATCATCATTGAATGTTATCAAAAGGAATCATAGAATGGAATTGAAAGGAATAACTCGAATGGAATAGAATGGAATCATATTCGAATGGAATCATATTCGAATGGAATTGAATGGAGTCATCGAATGGAATCATCATTGAATGAAATCAAAAAGAATCATTGAATTGAATTGAATGCAATCATCATAGAATGGAATCGAATGGAATCATCATCAAGAGGAATCGAATGGAAACTTCAAAAGGAATCGAATGGAATAATCATCAAATGAGATCGAATGAAATCCTAGAATGGAATCGAAAGGAATCATCGCACGGAATCGAATGGAATCATCATTGCATGGAATCAAATGGAATAATTGAATGGAATCAAATGGAATCACCATCACATGGAATCGAATGAAATCCTAGAATGGAATAGAAAGGAATCATCGCACGGAATCGAATGGAATCATCATTGCATGGAATCAAATGGAATAATTGAATGGAATCGAATGGAATCATCATCACATGGAATCAAATGGAATCATCATCGAGTGGTATTGAAATGAACCATCGAATGGAATCGAATGGAATAAATCAAATGGAACCAAATGGAATCATCATCGAATGGAATCAAATGGAATCATCAAATGGAATCATCATTGAATGAAATCGAAAAAAATCATCGAATGGAATCGAATGGAATCATCATTGCATGGAATCAAATGGAATCATTGAAAGGAATCTAATTGAAAAAACATCCAATGGAATCGAATGAAATCCTCGAATGGAATCATTGAAAGGAATCAAATGGAATCATCTTCGAATGGAATCAAATAGATTCATGCAATGGAATCAAATGGAAACATCATCACATGGAAGCAAATGGAATCACCATATGGAATAGAATGGAATAATCATTGAATGCAATTATCAAATGGAATAAAATGGAATCACCGAATGGAATCAAATGGTGTCATCATCAAATGGAATCATCCCATGGAATTGAATGGAATCATCAAATGGAATCGAATGGAATCATAGACTGCAATCAAATGAAATCATCGAATGGAATTGAATGGAATCATCATCGAATGGAATTTAATGGAGTCATCCAATGGAATCGAATGGAATCATCATCACATGGAATTGAATGAAATCAACTTCCAATGGAATCGAATGAAATCATCGAATGGAATCAAATGGAATCATCATGGAATGGAATCGAAAGGATTTATTGAATGGAATCGAATGAAATCATCATCGAATGGAATCAAATGGAATCATTGAGTGGAATTGATTGGAATCCTCATCGAATGGAATTGAACGGAATCCTCCAATTTAATCAAATAGATTAATAGAATGGAATCAAATGAATCATCATTGAATGCAATCGACAGGAATCATCGAATGGAATCCACAGGAATCATCATCGAATGGAATTGAATGGAATCATCATCGCATGGAATCAAAAAGAATCATCAAATGGAATTAATGCAATTATCATCGAATGCAATTGAATGGAATCATCGAATGGAATCGAGTAGAATCAACATCACATGGAATCGAATGGAATAAATGAATGGAATCAAATGGAATCATCATCACATGGAATCGAATGGAATCATCATCGAATGGTATTGAAAGGAATCATCGAATGGAATCGAATGGAATAAATCGAATGGAATAGAATGGAATCATCATCGAATGTAATCAAATGGAATCATCGACTGGAATCATCATCGAATGATATCGAAAAAACCATCAAATGGAATCGAATGCAATCATCATCGAATGGAATTGAATGGAATCATCATCGAATGGAATCAAATGGAATCATCAAAAAGAATCGAATGGAATAAACATCAAATGCAATGGAATGAAATCCTCAAATGGAATCGAATGGAGTCATCGAATGGAATCGAATGGAATCATCATCAAATGGAATCAAATGGAATCATTGAATGAAATCGAATGGAATCATCATCAGATGGAATCAAATGGAAGGATCGAATGGAATCGCATGGAATCGTCATTGAATGGAAGTGAATGGAATCATCGAATGGAATCGAATGGAATCATAGAATGGAATCGATTGGAATCATAATCGAATGGAATCGACTGGAATCATCATTGAATGGAATCAAATGGAATCATCATTGAATGGCATCAAATGCAATCATGAAATGGTATCACATGGAATCATATTCGCATGGAATCAAATGGAATCATCATCACATGGAATCTAATGGAATCATCATCGAATGTTATCAAAATGAAACATCAAATGGAATCGAATGGAATAAATCAAATGGAAGTGAATGGAATCATCACGGAATGGAATCGAATGGAATCATTGAATGGAATCATCATCGAATGAAATCGAAAAGAAACATCGAATGGAATCAAATGCAATCATAATCGAATGGAATCGAATGGAATCATCATCGAATGGAATTGAACGGAATCATTGAAAGGAATCGATTGGAGTAATCATCGAATGGAATCGAATGAAATCCTAGAATGGAATCGAATGGAATCATCAAAGGGAATCGAATGGAATCATCATAGAAAGGAATCGAAAGGAATCATGGAATGGAATTGAATGGCATCATAATTGCATGGAATCAAATGGAATCATCGAATGGAATCAAATGGAATCATCGAATGGAATCGAGTGGAATCACTGAATGGAATTGAATGGAATCATCATCGAATGGAATCGAATGGAATCATGGAATGGAATCAAATGGAATCAAATGGAATCGAATGGAATCATAAAATGGAATCAAATGGAATCATAATTGAATGGAATAGACTGGAATCATCATCGAATGGAATCGAATGGAATCATCAAATGGAATCGAATGGAATCATCTAATGGAATCGAATGGAGTCATCAAATGGAATCAAAAGGAGTCATCCGATGGAATCCAATGGAATCATCATCGAATGGAATCGAATGCAATCATGAAATGGTATCAAATGGAATCATCTTCTTATGGAATCGAATGGAATCATCATCACATGGAATCTAATGGAATCATCATCGAATGGTATCAAAACAAAACATCGAATGGAATTGAGTGGAATAAATCAAATGGAACCGAATGGAATCATCATCGCATTGAATCAAATGGAATCATCGAATGGAATCAAATGGAAACATAATCGAATGGAATCGAGTGGAAACATCGAATGGGCTCTAAGGGAATCATCATAGAATGGAATCGAATGGAATCATCATCGAATGGAATCGAATGGAATCATTGAATGGAATCTAATGGAATCATCATCGAATGGAATGGAATAGAATCATCATCGAATGGACACGAATGGAATCATCATTGAATGGAATAGAATGGAAATATCATCGAATGTACTGGAATGGAATCATCATCAAATGGACTCGAAAGGAATAATCACCAAATGTAATCAAATGGAATCATCATTGAAAGGAATCAAATGGAATCATCATCAAATGGAATCTAATGGAATCATCATTGAATGGAATCGAATTGAATCATCATCGAATGGAAACGAAAAGGAAAATCATTGAATGGAATCGAATAGAATCATCGAATGGACTCGAATGGAATCATCATCAAATGGAATCGAATGGAATCATCGAATGGACTCAAATGGAATCATCATCTAATGGAATTGAGTGGAATCATTGAATGGACTCGAGTGTCTGTTCTGATAGGTCTGGGGATATCTAAAGGACTCATGAAAGGCTTTTTTTCTGTGTTGCTAGAATACAGAACAGATAAGGAATGGACATTTGTAAGAAAATGCAAGGAGACCTAACAAACCACAGATGCTTAGGGCAAAAATTAGAGTTTACACATATAGTAGATCACCTTCAGCACAGCAAGAAAAGTTGGAGAAGAGTATTTCAAAAACTAAGACATACAAAATCATTCACATACATGGGAGAGTCTAGAAAGTCACTTGTATTCATAGGTTAAGCCACATGCTGACAAATGTCATAAACAGACCCTACACTTTTACCTTGGCCAATCCCTCCCCTCCGTGCAAGCTCTGTGCATAAGTGAACTTGAACTTTACTCAGTGAAAGAGTGAACACACACTTTGTGCAGCTTTAAAGAACCCAGCACAAAGCCAGTCTGCATGGCCTAGAGACATATTTTGCTGGACAACGATTCCTTGTTTTTCTTTTTGTTTATCTTGTATTTGCCTGTTTGATTGGTTCCTGACATACAAGAAAATCACTGTCAAAACATTAGCTTAACATTTGTTATGGAAACAAAAAGACTTTGGTGACCACACCTTATAAAGCAAACAGTTTTGTAAATCACTTTGGAAAATTTCACTAAAAAAAAATCCTTAACAATATAATAAGTAAAGAAAATTTAAAACCACAAAACATTACTGTGTTTGTAGGGGGGGCCTGATTTACAGAGTAACCACATAGTAATTATAATTATTATAATGTACAGTTTTCAAAAAAAGTTACAAGGCATACAAAGAATGGGAAAGTATGGCTCATTGAAAGGAACAAAACAAATTGACAGAGAATATCTCTAAGGGAATCCAGACATCAAACTTACTAGACAAAGACTTTAAAACAACTCTCTTCATTATACTCAAATGTCAAAAGGAAAACATAAACAAAGAAATCAAGGAATCAGAACAAATATTAAAAAGTAGGAATATCAACAGAGATAGCAGAAATTCTGGAGTGGAAAACTACAACGATAAAAATTTAAAAATCACCAGAGGGATTTAAGAGTATATTTGCACACACAGAAGAAGTCATGAGCTTGAAGATAAGAAAATGGAAAACATTGACTCAGAAACAGATAAAAAATGAGCAGAGACTAAGGAATCTGTGGGACATCATCAAATAGACCAACATTCATATTCTAGAAGGATAAATTATGTTGTTGAAAACTTTAGCATTCCTTCTTTTCACCTTTCTTTCTTCCTCCCTCCCTTTCCTCCTCCTTTTTACTTTTCTTCCTCTTCCTTTCTCTTCTTCTGTCTCTCCTTCATTATCCCTTTCACTCTTTTTCTCTTTCTCCCTTTCTCTTTTTTCTTTTCTTTCAATTATCTCAATTACTAAGAGATGTTTAAATACCCTTGCCATGTGAGTTGATATGGTTATTTCTCCCTTTAGTTCTCTTTTGAGATTTATAGTCACTCTAAGTAAAGAGATAACCCAAACATAAGCCTCACAAACAGGCTTCCATACCATTCTTAATTTGGTCCTGTAATTCTTCATTGCTGTATTAACTTTCTGATGCTTTTAAGGATGTTTTATAACAAATTGTTTAGTTTTTTCCACTGGAATGTTTATACTGAATTATCTAATTCATATTGTAAGTATATAGGGAGTTTAATATAAAATTATTAAACTGATATTTGTGAAAGAATATTTTTCATAAATTTGAAAGTGAGAAGTTTTAAGCTTGTCATTCCCAAGTAACCCTCTTAATGAGAGGCATCAGCATGCTTCAGTGACAGCTGTCATCTTCCAGTGCTGAGAGTCATCTTTGAGTTCTCCATTTCACTCCCTACACTCCAATTTAGCTGCAGTTCTCTTGGCCAGTCCTATGAAATACATCCATGACCTAACGACTTCTCACCACTACTACCACTCATACTGACAGCATTCTCACCTAAGTCACTACCTTTTTTCTCTGGATTACAGTAGCCTCCCAATTTATTTGCTCACATAACCTATTTATTCTACACAGTGCACCAGATACACCCCTTTGAAATGCAAACACAATCATGTTATTCTCTGGTGAAATTATCTCATATATTCCTATCGCATTTAAAATTAATTCAGAATAATCCCATGATTATCAAAACCCTACATGCTCTTCCACAACATGGTTTACTTCCAAGATATCTCTTCAACTTTTTTTTCACTGTACTGAATTTGTGACTAATAGTCATATTTTTGTTTTTGTTTTTGCTCAAAAGAATTTCAGAACGAATGACTTTGGGATCAGAAAGCCACCATTCTAATTGATGGTTCCACGACTACACGGGCTCACACTCCTAAGAGCAAAAGTAAATCATCACAAAGGTGCTTTCTGATAGTTCTAGAGAATGGAGAATTACTGTAACATCTTTCTGATTTTAGGAGAGGTAGCAGTTCCCTTTTTAGTCTAAACGCTATTTTTTTTAAAGCTCAGCCAAGAGAATCCATTATAATTTTCAAATGTGTGTAACTTAAATTCTCATATGAAATACCACTATGCTTAAATTAGTCAAAACATTTTCCCCATCTACAACTCTATCTTGTCATTGCAATCATTTTCACAAAACTGACTGCAGCTCACAGACCCTAAAAGGAGAAAATCCAGGGCAGGTTATCTGATCTAGTTAGTTTCGAAGACAGGATCCAGAGATTATTTAATATGTAATAGGTCACCTGAAATGTTTACTGAAAACAGCTTGGATCAGCCCAGTTTTCTACCACTGAACTATGCATTTGCTTTAAAAAACACAACTCTGGGGAATATTGGCTGCTTCCAACTGTGTTGAAGGTGTTAAAGAAAAGAGCATAAAATTAAAAATGATCATCTGAGGCCTTTATAGTCTCTGCTCAAGAGACTAGAGTCTTCCATTCTTAACAAAACACCCAAATATCTTCATAATTGGGCAAAATTTAAATATCAGAGATAATTTTATCTTGAAGATTGTTAAATTATAATGGTGAGTCACTACCTTGCCACGTCTCTAAGTCAAAAATTAGGTCTTTGTTTAGGAATCAATGGTACTCTGCAACTTGGAAATAGGAAGATTTTAGAGGACTCAAACACTGACTTTCTTGTGTGCAAAAAAAAGACAAGTCTTTCCTTGCAAGGATACCTCTAATGCTCATACACCACCTCCCCTAACGTTAATATAGCTTCCAGGTCACTAACCAGTGTCAGAGAGCAGCCCATGCAACTAGAAATTCAAAAGATGTCGAACACAGGGTCAAGCCTAGAATAAGAAGTCTTAGCTAATTAAGTATGCTTTTTTCCCCAAATTCATATTAACAAAAACTTGGATGTCAGAGAATGCATTCTAAGTTCACTCAATGTAGGAGGGAGAAACATAATTTTAAATTAAGAGCTGAAGCATTCTTGTCCTATCAGAAAGCAAGGAAAACAAAATATCACACCACAGGAGGGATTTCACAAATTAGTGTCAACATCAAAACCTTAAAATAGTCAAGGAGAATGCAGATTCACAATGAACTCTTGTACTTGTTTTGTTCAGAGAAGAGATGGTTCTGAGAGAATGACAGTGAACTAACCCCAGCTGGTTTAGTTGGTGCTTTCAACTGCTGCTTCTGATAAACTCCTTTAGCTAGAATAAATTGACGAGGATTTTGGCATGTGGTATTAGAGATGGTTATTAATTTTTTTCCTCTTATTTGCATTGTTCAATATAGTAAATACTAGCTGTATATGGCTACTTCAATTCAGATTAATTACAATGAAATATACTTAAATATTGAATTTTTTAGTCACTGTTGGTTCATTATTGAATATCTTCAGCTAAGATTTCCCATCTAAATACACTAAGAGGTGGCTTAGTTAACTGGTCGTCCACAAATATTAAAGCTGTTGTTAACTCCTGATATATTCTCTGCAAAGAGAATATTCATGAGCCTCCTCCTGAAATCAGCAGCCTAGAGATAGTTTTATAAATTTGATACAAGTTAGAAATCTATACTCTTTAAGTTTTTGAAATATTAGCTTCCCAGGGAAGAAAATCAAATTCATAAGATATGTTAGGACAATTTAACTCAAGATGTTCAAAACTGAAATGACATATTCTACAATATGTGATAAAACCACCCCCTAACAACTTAAAGCAAAATAGGGATTGACCTTAAAGACCTGCCTTTTCCTCATCCTCCAGCCAATCAGTTTTCAAATCTTGCATTTTATTTTGAAAGGTCCTTATCCCCCTGGTCTCTTGTTTCTAGACTTGGCACATATTTAAGTTTGTTACCGCTATCTACTGACTTTTCTCTCTTCAAACAGTATCTATGCCTGCCAAATGTGAACACACAAAAAACAAATCAGAATGTGCCATTCTGATTTAAACTGCTTATTAGTTAATACCCTCAAGATAACATCTGGGTTCTTAGCTGCAATGAGTCAAGCCTACTTACATCTTTTTTTGTGTTTGGCTGCACATTTCCTATCACATCACACTCCAGCAATGCCAAGCTGTGCCAGCCTTCTACCCCATCTCCACTATTTTGTCCTCCGCCGCCGCAGCTTTTTGCCTGCCCCGGCTTTTTGCCCCCTCGCCGCCGCGGCTTTTTACCTGCCGCGGCTTTTCGCCCCCCGCCGCCGCGGCATTTTGCCCCTGCCGCCGCAGGTTTTTGCCCCCCCCGCCGCCGTGGCTTTTTCCCCCCACCCCGCCTCGGCTTTTTGCCCGCCCTGGGTTTTTGCCCCCCTGCCGCCGCAGCTTTTTGCCCCACAGCCGCCGCGGCATTTTCCCCGCCGTGGCTTTTTCCCCCCTGCCTCCGTGGCTTTTTACCCGCTGCGGCTTTTTGCCCCCACCCTGCCTTGGCTTTTTGTCCGCCACGGCTTTTTGCTCCCCGTCGCCGCGGCTTTTTCCTCACCCGGCTTTTTAGCCCCCGCCACGGTGTCTTTTTGCCCCCACCCCGCCTCGGCTTTGTGCCCCCCTCCCGGCCGCGGCTTTTTGCCCGCCGTGGCTTTTTGCCCCCCGCCGACGCGGCTTTTTGTCCTCCGTTGACGCGGCTTTTTGCCCCCCGCCGCGGCTTTTTGCCCCCTGCCGCCGCGACTTTTTACCCGTCGCGGCTTTTGCCCCTGCCTGCTGCGGCATTTTGTCCCCCGCCCCCGCAGCTTTTTGCCCCCCGCCGCCGCGGCTTTTTGCAGCCCCCCGGTGCTGCCATGGCTTTTTGTCCGCCGCGGCTTTTTGCCCCTCCGCCGCCGTGGCTTTTTGTCGCCGCTGCTTTTTGCCCGCTCCAGCTTTTTGCACAACCGCCGCCGTGGCTTTTTGGCCGACCCGGGTTTTTGCCCCCCCGCCGCCGTGGCTTTTTCCCTGCCGTGGCTTTTTACCCCCTGCCCCCGCGGCTTTTTACTCTCCGTGGCTTTTTGCCCCCACCCCGCCTCGGCTTTTTGCCCCCCCGCCTACGCGGCTTTTTGCTGCCGTGGCTTTTTGCCCGCCGTGGCTTTTTGCCCCCGCCACCTTTGCAACCTTAATTTCACTTGAAATCTAATTTCCCACTGCCAAGCCACCTAACATATTTATATGTTAGACTCTGGGAATTAGGACATGAACGTTTTTGGGGGGCCATTATTTTGTCTACAGCAGACAGAATCTACACTGCCTGGGAGGCGCAGAGTATCTTGGGGGAGGCAGGGCCGGCCCTTCCCTCCGTGGACACCCAGGTTTCCCACAGGCCCTACATGTCTGTGGGATCCCTGCGTGACCAGGTGATCTACCCGGACTCAGTGGAGGACATGCGAAGGAAGGGCTACTCGGAGCAGGACCTGGAAGCCATCCTGGATATCGTGCACCCACACCACATCCTGCAGTGGGAGGGAGGTAGGAGGCCTGGGGCTGGCAGCCGCCCTTTGTCCCACCCTGGCCTCTCCCTTGGCCTCCAGGGAGGGAAGATTATCTCAACATCCAGGAGTCTAAAGTGCCAGGTGCCACAGGGGCAGGGCAGAGGGTGCTACCTCTGAGGCCCGCCTACCAGGGAGGACCAACACCACACAGATGGTCCCAGGTGGCATGGGTGCTCTAGGGAAGGGGGCACCTAGCAGGGATGCGCACCTCATTGGGGGACCCAGGATACCCTCTCCCAGAAAAAAGGGGTCTGAGCTGAGCCCTGCAGAATGCTAAGTGGTTACCCCATCCAGGAGCCAGGGGCAGCAGGGCAGAGTGTGGCCCGAAGGCTTGGTGGTGTGAGAGGCTGGCTCACAGAGGGCCCTCCGGACCAGGCGGGAGCCTAGGCATTCCCTGAGCAGGATCAGACGCTCTTCGAAGGACCATGGGGCGGTGGGCAGGGGCAGCCTGGGAGGGGCAGGCACATGTGTGCAGTGATAGCTACTGTCAGGAGGTCTGTGCAGATGCTTGGAGGGGGCTGGGGTCAGCAGAGTCGGGTGGATTCAGAGATGAGTTCACTGAAAAGGAGGCCAGACTGAGCTGTTTTCTTGTCCTGGGCTTATCAAGGAATACTGCTTGTCCACAGTGTCTGTCGGGCCGGGAGAGCGGAGGAGGAGAGGGGGGTGCAGCTACAGGGACACAGTAGATGGAAAGTTCAGTTCTGTCTTTGAATTCTGAGCCTCTGGGTTCTGCTTCCAGCCCCCACTGCTGGGTGCGAGATGGCCCTGGGCAAGGACCTCGCCTTGCTGGAGCTCCCCTTCATGGTTCAAGGGCACAGGCACCAAGCCCTCCCTCGGTGGCAACATGAGAAAAAGTGGCTCCTGCAGGAAATGACCAGGGTGTTGTCACCTGCCTGTGGAGGAAGCGGGAACACAGGTGGCGATGGTGGTGGAGCAGCCCCTGGCCAGGCCCTGCCTCTTGCTCCTGCTGCCCTTGGCCTGGGAGCATATGGCCTCTCCCACCTCTGTGGCAGCCTGAATGCCCAGGGCCTGTGGCCGGCCAGCATGAGCCGTTAGGATGGAGTTGAGCTGCAAGGAACAGAACCAGCCTCCCCACAGTAGTGGCTAAGATCATCTGTGAGTTTATCCTACTGAGCTGTTAGGTCCCAAGAGAGCCAGGCCACGGTTGCCAGGGCAGGCCCTGCTCTGTGAAGACCCCAAGGCTCTAGGATTTTCGACCATGTCGCTCTGCTGTGTGTGGCCTCCATTCCCAAAGTCACCTCATGATCCAGGAGGGCTGCTGCAGCCCTCACATCATGTCCCAGGCTGTAGGATGGAGGAAGTAGAAGGGAAGGGGCAAAAGGTATGTGCCTTCTGTCTTTTAAGGAAGGTTCCAGAAACCGCCATATTGAATACTTACAGTTATATCTTATTGACCACAACTTAGTCTCATGCTCACACCTCACCACAAGGCCACCTGGGAAGCGTAATCTCTACTCTGGGTGGCCATATACCATGTCGCCACTTCTAGCCCTGGGCCGCTGGGGAAGGCAGCATGGGCGAGAAGACAGGAGGGGCCACTTCTGCCACAGTCCCCCGGCTAATGGAGCAGCCGGCTCACCTGCTTGTTCAAGCAGCCCACTCGAGCCTTGCCAAAGTGCTGGCACGGGGCAGTGACAGGAGGCCCAACCCCTGTGGGTGACAAGCCCCCGGTCTGGGGAGAGCACTCAGGCCGCTCTGGAGCTCTGTGCCAAGGAACTGTATGGTTGTCCTGGGGCTGCCATAAACCACAGGGGTGGATCATCTCCTAGCTCCAGCAGTCCGAGATCCTGGTACCAGCAGGGTGGGTTCCTTCCGGGTGCCATGACAGAAGGATGTGTTCCAGGCCTCTGTCCTCGGCTCGCAGATGGTCCACTTCTCCCTGTATATCTTCACCTCGTGTTCCCCTGTGCACGTCCTCTGCTCGCACACCCCCTTTTTATGAGGACACAGTCATATTGAATTAGGGTCCACTCTGATGACCTCATCTTAGTGTGATCACCTCTGCAAAGGACCTATCTCCAAATAAGGTCACACTAAAGTGTTGGGGCTTGGACTCCACCATATCTCTTCTGGGGGAAGGCATGATTCCAGTCCCCACTCCTCCATGATTAATGCCTGTCAGACAGATAAGGACGCAGAGGCACAGGGGCCCTGTCGTCACAGCTAGCCCATTCCCGCAGCTCCCCAGCTCCCCGGCTGGCCCCCAGGTCTGGGTACTGGTGGAACTGAGCCAAGACCATTGCCCCTTCCTAGGTTGGGAGGCTATGTGTGACTGGAAGGACATCCTGCCAGGTGGTGAGAAGCAGAGAATCGGCATGGCCCGCATGTTCTACCACAGGTGAGCACTCCAGGCTGGCAGCCTCCCTGGGGTCCCCTGGAAGGAGAAGTAGCAGCTGTGGGGAGGCCTGGGCTCAGTGGAGCCTGAGCCGGGCTGGGGTGTTGGGCCCTGGAGGGTGCACAGACTCTTCTCTCGGACCGGACCCACAGGCCCAAGTACGCCCTCCTGGATGAAGGCACCAGTGCCGTGAGCATCGACGTGGAAGGCAAGATCTTCCAGGTGGCCAAGGACGCAGGCATTGCCCTGCTCTCCATCACCCTCCAGCCCTCCCTGTGGTAGGTGCCCTGTCTCCCTGCCTGGGGTCAGTGGGAGTGGCTGCCTGAGGGGAGGAGGTGGCCTGTTGGGCCAGGCGGCAGCAGCAGGCGGCTGTCATCATCAGCCCTCGTGCCGTGCCCCTGACCCTGTCCCTCTCCTGGCCAGGGAGTACCACACACACTTGCTACAGTTCGATGGGGAGGGTGGCTGGAAGTTCGAGAAGCTGGACTCAGCTGCCCACCTGAGCCTGACAGAGGAGAAGCAGCGGCTGGAGCAGCAGCTGGCGGGCATTCCCAAGATGCAGCGGCACCTCCAGGAGCTCTGCCAAATCCTGGGCGAGGCCGTGGCCCCAGCGCACGTGCCGGCACCTAGCCTGCAAGGCCCTGGTGGACTCCAGGGTGCCTCCACCTGACCCCACCCTCTCCAGCCCCTTCCCCGCCCCCAAGCTCGAATCACATGAAGGAGACAGCAGCACCCACCTGCGCACGCACCCCGCCCCTGCATGCCTGGCCCCTCCTCTTAGAAGACCCTTCCCGACCTCGGGAAAGTAGATGTGGAGGGTGGCACCCTGCGTAACCCTAGCCCTGTCCCTCCCACTCCCTGGGGGGGCTATTCCACAGTGGCTGGGCCCTGTCCAAGGCAGTGAGTCCTCTACTTTGCTCCGTAGAGGAAGCTGGGGTACAAGGGGCCCAGTGCTGGCCACACAGCAGCGCAGCCGAGTCCCAGGAGCCCCTCAGGCCACAGCCCCTGGTGCTGCAGGTGGCCTCCCTCCTCGTCAGTCTCTCAAAGACCCCATGGTCCATCCCCTGAGGGTGGCCAGCCAAGGCTCCCATCCCGTGCGATGCCATAAAAGCCGCCCAGTGGTACCCACGGTCACACGGAGCGCCTCACCTGCATCCTCTCCCCCACAAGAGCCCCGAAGATCCCATGGGAGAGGGACACACAGCACTGCCTGCCAAGAGAGAATGTAGGCCCCGCCCCCTCGGCCCCTCACCTCCTCTTTCTACAGTCTAATTTATTGGATTACCTATTCATAGCCATCTCTGTGGCCAATGTGACTACCCTGCCAGCAGCGGGGACGGCCCAGCCTCTGAGTACCCTGGGGCCCCGGCTCCCACTGGTGCCAAACCCAGCCCCTGTGGCCGTCACCCCGCCAGCCTACACTGCCAGCCACCACCTGGCCACACGGACCTTTGCTTGCTAGCGGAGAGTGCGGACACCATGTTCCCAGCTCAGTACCAAAGAGGGGTCACCAGGGGGAGCTGTCTGCAGAGCCAGCACCTGCCCGAGAGAGACCCCACCGCCACCTTGTGCCTTTCCCGGGCCCTCAGCCTTCAGGCTGGGCGCCATCCCGAGTCCCCCCCCCGTAAAAGCCTCCATTGGCAAATGCAGTCCTTCCCCCCTGCCTCAGAGTCTGGTGGTGTCTGCTGCGGGTCTTGGGGAGAGATGGAGGAGAGAGAGTGGGTTGCCTGTGGGGGAAAGAGTGAGTTTGGGAAAGGAGTGGGCCTGACCCCCAAGCCCCTCCGTGGGGGAAAGTCACCAGAAGACATGGTCCAACGTGCCCTCCATCGAGCCTCACGCCAATGCTCTTAGGATTCCTGTGACGGTGGCAGGGCAGAACCTGCAACAACATTGCACAGAAATACTGGCTGAGCCCAAATAGGACTAGGGGAGGGGATCATGCTGGTCCCTGTGGGAAGAGCACGAAGGCAAGAGAAGGGATGTCTAAGCTGCCACACAGGGTGCTGCTGGCCCTTCTAGGGAGAGGAGGCCACTTGTGCAGGGGCCTTGGGGGAACTGGGAGCACAGTGCAGGGTGTTCCTGCTGCATGCAGGGGAAGGGAGGGCAAGGGAATGGAGGGCTGTGGCCGGCGGGCCTTGGAGGCCACACTACAGAGACAGGACTTAGCCCAGAGGCCACTGAGGAGCTTTCAGTAACAGGGAAGCAGTGTCGAGTACTGCAGGCCACGTGGCTGCATTTGAGGGTGGCTGGTGGGAATAGGGTGCGGCAGCCCATCTGGCCTCGGAGGCATGAGAACTGAGAACAGCTGTACGGCCATACCTTTATGCATGGATGGCCATAGCCTCCCAAAGGTGGGACAGCCTGAGTGTTCATCAACAGACAAATGGAGAAACAGCCTGTCCATAAGGCGCGGTGCCATTCCACCATAACACGACGGATAGACCTCAAAGAGTTCATGCTGGGTGAAAGAAGCCAGACACAAATGTCCAGAATAGGCTCATCGGGACAGAAAGCAGATGAGTGGGTTTCAGGGGCTGGGGCAGGGGAAGGAAAATGGGGCAGGGGCAGTCCTTTTTAAGAAATTTTGTATTTATATTTTATTTTTTAATGAGACAGACAGGGTCTCACCCTGTCACCCAGGCTGGAGTGCAGTGGCGCAGTCATAACTCACGGCAGCCTTGATCTCCCGGGCTCAAGCAATCCTGCCCCAGCCTCCTGAGTAGCTGGAACCACAGGCGTGTGCCACCATACCCTGCTAATTTTGTGATTTTTTTTTTTTTGTAGACAGGATCTCACTATGTTGCCCAGGCTGGTCTCAAACTGCTGAGCTCAAGCGATCGCCCTGCCTCAACCTCCCACAGTGCTGGATTATAGGTATGAGCCACCACACCCAGCCTCAGGTTTCTTTTTATTTTGAAGAAAATGTTCTGGAACTATAGAGCATACTAAATGCCACTGAATTGTGCACTTTAAAGGGATTGATTGTATATTTTGTAAATATCGCCTCAAAAACAGACAGATAGATGACTGATGGATAAATAGATACATAGATATATAGATATACAGACATGATATAGACAATTGATCAATAGATGATGGGTGATTCATAGGTGCTAACTGATAGATAAAATACACGATAGATACATGGATAGATGAATAGAGAGAGATGATAGATGATTTAAAAAAATTTTTTAGAGATGAGATCTCGCTATCTTGCCCAGTCTGGACTTGATCTGCTAGCATCAAGCAGTCCTCCTGCTTCAGCCTCCTGAGTTACTGGGACTACAGACACATGCTACTGTGCCTGGTGATAGATAAATTATTGAAAGATAGACATGATAGAGGCATAAATGATAGATAGATGGATAGACATGATAAAGGGTGGATAGGAAGATACATGGGATAGATCAATGATTGATTATAGAAGTAAATGATATAGATTAATAGATTATTGATTATAGATTAATAGGTGGATACCTGATTGATAGATGATTGATCGATTGTTTGGTTGACTGATGGAGAGAGACAGAGAAGCAAGCATAGCCATTGCAGCCACCCAGACAAGACTTGCTGAGGACTGGAGTTCCAGAAGTTTCGAGCAGTTGGAAGAACTTGACAGGCATGGGGGCAGCTTCTTCAGGGAGTAGAGGGGGCAGCAAGATACCACTGGGTTCTGGTTGGAAGGTTAGGTGAGCGACAGCACCCTTGGTGGACAGAGGCAGCTCCAAAGGAGGGGAAGGCCTGGGGAGCAGGTGCAGCCCGAGGGGATGGTGCGTAGGCAGTTGGTTCAGAGCCTGGGGCTCCTCAGTGGGACATGGGTCAGCAGGGAGGCCAGTGGTCATTAAAGTTTGGATGGAGACAGCATGGCTGAGGGGAGGGGCATGCTTGGCATCTCATTTAGGGGACAGGAGGTAGACTGTTTACCTGTATTTTGAGATTAGGATTTATTCCTGATCCCAGGAGGTGGCCTATTCGGAGGGCTGGGAGTTGTTCCTCCATTTCTTTTGATGATTGTGTAAGTCGCCCATGCTTGATCATAAACCCTTTTTGTTTATTTTTGACACATAGCTGGAATAGCTCTAATTACTAGAGACAGAAGGAGACACATCTGGCAAAGACCATCCAAAAGGAAGCTAGTGGAGAGAAGCTCATATCTCACAAAGTAGGCTCCAGGGCAAAATCATTATTAGGATTAAAAGTGATTGCAGCATACGGATGTATTCATTCCAAAGCATTCACTGGTGGGGGAGGGGTGGGGGAAAAAGAATAAATACATAAATAATTTAATTATTTTAAAAGAAGTATTAGTGGCCAGGCATGGTGGCTCACGCCTGTAATCCCAGCATTTTGGGAGGCCAAGGTAGGCAGATCACCTGAGTTCAGGAGTTCGAGACCAGCCTAAACAACATGGTGAAACCCTGTCCCTACTGCAGTACAAAATTAGCCAGGCGTGGTGGCTCATGCCTGTAGTCCCAGCTACTAGAGAGGCTGAGGCAGAACTGCTTGAACCTGGGAGGCGAAGGTTGCAGTGAGCCAAGATCAAGCCATTGCACTCCAGCCTGGTTGACAGGAAAAAAAAAAAAAAAAAAAGAAGAAGCATTAGCCATTCTGATCTTGTGTGCACCTGCATAATGATAGAGCCTCAGATGACTACAAAACAAAAAAGTGACAAGAAAAGGAAAAATTAATAAATGAGCACCTTCTCCACACAGGAAATTATACCACTTCTCACTGGAACTGCTGGTTTAAGCAAACTCAATTAGGAAGAATATAGAAAAATTGGGCCAGGCATAGTGTTTCATGCTTGTAATCCCAACACTTTGGGAGGCGAAGGCAGGCAGATTACTTGAGGTCTGGAGTTTGAGACCAGCTTGGCCAACATGATGAAACTAAAATAAAAAATACAAAAATGAGCCAGATGTGGTGGCTCATGCCTGTAATCCCAGCTACTCGGGTGGCTAAGGCAGGAGATTCACTTGAACTTGAGGTTTCAGTGAGCTGAGATCATGCCCCTGCACTCCAGCCTGGGCAACAGAGTGAGACTCTGTCAAAAAATAAAAATAAAAAGAATATGGAAAAGTTGAACAAACTTGATTTAGTGGACACCCAAAAACTACAGACCACACATTGTTTTCAAGTTCACCTTGGACATTTACCAACACTCACCATGTCCTAGGCTGCAAAACAAGACTCAACAAATAGCAAAAGAACTTGCATCACACCAGCCATGTTCTTGATGTAACAGAATAAAGGCATAAATTGGCAACCAAACTAAAATTAAGGGTTCCCCTATGTTTGGAAATTTAAAGATACACTACTGGCCAGGCACGGTGGCTCACACCTATAATCCCAGAGCTTCGGGAGGCCAAGGCAGGAGGATCCCTTGAGCCCAGGAGTTCAAGACCAGCCTGGGCAACATAGTGAGACCCCCCATCTCTATAAAACTAAATTAAATTATTTTTTAAATTAAAAAAATAAAAAATAATGCACTGGTCCGAGAAGAATTAGAATGAAAATCTAAAAGCATTTAGAACCGAACAATGAAAACTATGTACAAAAGCTTAAGCCATGTAGCCCAAGCAGTACTACAAGGAAATTTGAAAAAAAAAAGTGTGGCCAGGCGCGGTGGCTCATGCCTGTAATCCCAGCACCTCGGGAGGCCAAGGCGAGCAGATCACCTGAGGTCAGGAGTTAGAGACCATCCTGGCCAACGTGACGAAACCCCATCTTTACTAAAAATACAAAAATTAGCTGGGCGTGGTGGTGAGCACCTGTAATCCCAGCTACCTGGGAGGCTGAGGCAGGAGAATTGCTTGAAACTGGAAGGTGGAGGTCGCATTGAGCTGAGATCGTACTGCTGCACTCCAGCCTGGGCAAGAAGAGTGAAACTCCATCTCAAAAAAAAAAATTGTAAAAAATAGAAATAATATTATGAAGTACAGAGGGATCTCCCTGCAGGCACCACTGGGAGCTGAAACATCAGGGGCACCTGGGGGGTGAAAGACATGAGTGGGAACAACTTCAGCCCTTGCTTCTCCTCCAAACACCACTAAAAGGAATGCAAAGGGATTGCAGATGTAAAAGGGAAGAGTTCACAGCAGAGAGTGAGAGGAGCGCCTGCCAGGAACATCACAGAAGCTGGAAAACAAGTTAGGGAGTGATAACTGATTCAAAGGATCAGCGTGAACTTGGAAAAAAGTGGTGGGAAGCACCAAGGGCACAGGCCCACAGAGGAAAGGCCACGTGAGGCCACCACCCAGAAGATAGGACTTGGAAGAAACCAACCCTGCTGGCACCGTGATCCTGGGCTTCCAGCCTGCAGGACTGTCAGACCATTACGGTGTTGGACTGACACTGTAAAGAAAGAAGTAGTGATAGCACACATGGTTGTCTCACTCCAGTTCTAAAAGGGGGAAGGATGCCGGGTGTGGTGGTCTCCAGAAGGCCCTTCCATGTTTCTCTGTGGCACCCACAGTGCCTGGATGTCAGCACTGGGAGAAACCGCCTCCAAATTCATCTGTAAAATCCGAGCATCAGTGAGCTCAACTCTCCCGCTTTCTCAGCTCTCTGTTTCCATTAGGTTTGGTTGATCTGGGTCAGGGCCAGCATCAGAGGTAAATCCAAAGCTGTTCTCTGTGCACTGACCTCTTGTCCCTTCTCTTACATGTCTGCCATGTCCACTAGCCTGTGAGCTTCAGGAGACAAAGGAGCATGTTTCTTCTTCCTGATACCCCTGAAACTTGCACAGTACATGCTATAAAATGCAGATTCAATGAGGGATCTTTGCAATACAATTTTGAGAAAGAATCATGAACCAGGATTTAGCGTCTCTTCCCATCAAACCCCAGGCCCATAGAGCAATTGCCTTTACCTGTGATGCACACCTCCTACCTGTCCTCCCCGCAGCCCGGCATCTCTGTCCTGCAGACCAAACACAAAACTCATTGCCATCCCTCTTCAACCTGGCTTCCTTTCTGACTTCCCTTCAGGTGCCCCAGGCAGAACCATGGGGATCATCTGACCCTCTGTCTGCCTCATCCTTCCCTATCCCACCAGTCCATGTCCTACTGACTCAGTCCTTAAAGTCCCTCTCGCTCCCCACCGGATCCTCAGTGTCTGGTAGTACGGCGCCTGACATGGGAGGTACACAGCGACCACTAGGTGAATACAAGAATGATGTGATTGGCCAGGCGCAGTGGCTCATGCCTGTAATCCCAGCACTTTGGGAGGCCGAGGCAGGCGGATCACGAGGTGAGGAGATCGAGACCATCCTGGCTAACAGGGTGAAACCCGGTATCTACTAAAAATACAATTCTGGTCATGCGCAGGTACTATTCATCAAGAAAGGTATTACAACATCAGAAATGTGTTCAAAATGTATCCGTACTTTGACATATTAATGAAGTAATCACATTCTACACAAAACTACTCCATATGGAATATTGGGGAGGGGGTGTTCCAAATAAAGAGACTGAGGATTTCTCATGAGAACTCAGTGTCTGCTAGAAAATATCTAAGTAAAATATTTTACTTATGCAGAAAGTGTGGATGTTTGTGCATCAAAAGTTTCAAGAATCCCTAAAATGTACAATGGAGATGAGGAGAAAATATCAGAATTTCCCAGCACCAGAAATGAGGCAAGAAAAAATTCAGAGGAGTTGTAAATGTGAAAAGCCAATGGCTGGTCACACAGCAACATTGAAAACCTTGTGCCAGGACAACTAGAATAAATACATAAACATACAGATTGAAAATATTTCCAAATATTAGATCTCCCTCATGTGAGAATTAAATTATAAAGATTGAAGCATATAATAAGCTACCAGAATTTAGGCTACCAGAATAAATTCGATTACACATAAATTTCTGACATTGAAATTGTCACAAATGTTTAAGTTGGTAATGGAAGACAAAGGACATATAATCTTGGGAGTCCTAGGGCCCTGCCCACTGGCAGTGCCTCCACACTACTACAGCTGATGCTTTCTGGAAAACACCACCTCCTGGCAGTAGGCCAACCAGCACAAATATAGAGCATTAAACCACTAAAGCTAAGGACCCTCACAGAGTCTACTGCACCCTTCATCACATCCACTGGAACAGGCGCTGGTATCCATGGCTGAGAGACCCCTAGATGGTTCACATCACAGGGCTGTATGCAGACAACCTCTAGTACCAGCCCAAAGCCAGGTAGACCTGCTGGGTGGCTAGACCCAGAAGAGAGACAACAATCAATGCACTTCGGCTCACAGGAAGCCATGCCCATAGGAAAAGGGGGAGAGTACTATGTCAAGGGAACACTCCGTGTGACAAAAGAGTCTGAACAACAGTCTTCAGCCCTAGACCTTTCCTCTGACAGAGTCTACCAAAATGAGAAGGAACCAGAAAACCAACCCTGGTAATCTGACAAAACAAGACTCTTCAACACCCCCCAAAGAATCACACCAGTTCATCACCAATGGATCCAAACAAAGAAGAAATCACTGATTTATCTGAAAAAGAATTCAGGTTAGTTATTAAACTAATCAGGGAGGGGCCAGAGATAGGTGAAGCTCAATGCAAGAAAATCCAAAAAATGATACAATAAGTGAAGGGAGAAACATTCAAGGAAATAGATAGCTTAAATAAAAAAAAAATCAGGAAACTTTGGATGCACTTTTAGAAACGTGAAATGCTCTGGAAAGTCTCAGCAATAGAATTGAACAAGTAGAAGAAAGAAATTCAGAATTTGAAGACAAGGTCTTTGATTTAACCCAATCCAATAAAGACAAAGAAAAAAGAATAAGAAAATATGAGCAAAGCCTCCAAGGAGTCTGGCATTCTGTTAAACGATGAAACCTAAGACTAATTGGTGTACCTGAGGAAGAAGTGAATTCTAAAAGCCGGGAAAACATATTTGGGGGAATAATCAATGAAAATTTCCATGGCCTTGTGAGAAACCTAGACATCCAAATACAAGAAGCACAAATAACACCTGGGAAATTCATCACAAAAAGATCTTAGCCTAGGCACATTGTCATTAGGTTATCCAAAGTTAAGACAAAGGAAAGAGTCTTAAGAGCTGTGAGACACAAGCACTAGGTAACCTATAAAGGAAGACCTATCAAACTAACAGCAGATTTTGCAGCAGAAACCTTACAAGCTAGATGGAATTGGGGTCTTTTCTTCAGCCTCCTCGAACAAAACAATTATCAGCCAAGAATTTTGTATCCAGCAAAACTAAACATCATATATGAAGGAAGGATACAGTCATTTTCAGACAAACAAATGCTGACAGAATTTGCCATTACCAAACCAGCACTGTAAAAACTGCTGAAAGCTCTAAATCATGAAACAAATCCTGGAAACACATCAAAACAGAACTTCATTAAAGCATAAATCACACAAGACCTATAAAACAAAAACACAAGTCAAAAAGCAAAAACAGAAAACAAAAACAATGTACAGAGGCAACAAAGAGCATGATGAAAACAATGGTACCTCACTTTTTGATAGTAATGTTGGTTGTAAATGGCTTAAATGCTCCACTTACAAGATACAGAACCACAGAATGGATAAGAACTCACCAACTAACTATCTGCTGCCTTCAGGAGACTCACCTAACACATAACAACTTACATAAACTTAAGGAAAGTGGTAGAAAAAGGCATTTCATGCAAATGGACACCAAAAGCGAGCAGCGATAGCTATTCTCATATGAGGAAAAACAAACTTCAAAGCAACAGTAGCTAAAAGAGACAAAGACAGACAGTATATAACGGTAAAGGCCTCATCCAACAGAAAAATATGACAATCCTAAACATACATGAACCTAATACTGGAGCTCCCAAATTTATAAAACAATTACTAGTAGACATAACAAATGAGATAGACAGCAACACAATAATAGTGGGGGCCTTCAATATTCCACTGACAGCACTAGACAGGTCATCAAGACAGAAAGTCAACAAAGAAACACTGGATTTAAACTATACTTTGGAACAAATGGACTTAACAGATATATACAGAACATTTCATCCAACAACCACAGAATACACATTCTATTCCACAGCACATAGAATTTTCTCCAAGATAGACCATATGATAGGCCATAAAAAGAGTCTCAATAAATTTAAGAAAATTGAAATTGTATCACACACTCTCTCAGATCACAGTGGAATAAAAGTGAAAATCCACTCCAAAAGGAATCTTCAAAACCATGCAAATACATGGAAATTAAATAACCTGCTCCTGAATGGGCATTGGGTGAAAAATGAAACCAAGATGGAAATGTAAAAAATTTCTTCGAACTGGATGACACAACCTATCAAGACCTCTGGGATACAGCAAAGGCAGTGCTAAGAGGAAAGTTTGTAGCCCTAAACACCTATGTCAAAAAGTCTGAAAGAGCACAAACAGACAATCTAAGTTCACATCTCAGGGAACTAGAGAAGCAGGAACAAGCCAAACCCAATCCCAGCAAACAAAGGAAATAACCAAGATCAGAGCAGAACTAAATGAAATTGACACAACAATAACAACAACAAAAAATACAAAACATAAATAAAACAAAAAGTTGGTTATTTGAAAAGATAAATAAAATTGATAGACCGTTAGCAAGATTAACCAAGAAAAGAAGAGAGAAAATCCAAATAACCTCACTAAGAAATGAAACAGGGGATATTACAGCTGACACCACTGAAATATTAAAGATTATTCAAGGGTACTATGAACACCTTTTGGCACATAAACTAGAAAACCTAGGAGAGTTGGACAAATTCCTGGAAAAATACAACCCTCCTAGCTTAAATCAGGAAGAATTAGATACCCCAAGCAGACCAATAAAGCAAGCAGCAAGATCGAAATTGTAATATTAAAATTACCAACAAAAAAGCCAGATTCACAGCAGAATTCTACCAGACATTCAAAGAATGTTTTCTTTCATTCAAAGAAGAAATGATACCAATCCTTTCAGACTATTCCACAAGACAGAGAAAGAAACCCTCCCTGATCCATTCTATGAAGCCAGCATCACCCTAATACCAAAACCATGAAAGGACATAACCAAAAAAGAAAACTACAGACCAACATCCTTGATGAACGCAGATGTCAAAATCCTTAACAAAATACTATCTAACTGAATCCAACAACATATCAAAAAGATAATCCACCATGATCAAGTGGGCTTCATACCAGTGATACAGGAATGGTTTAACATATGCAAGTCAATAAATGTGATATACCAAATAAACAGAATTAAGAAAAAAAAACTCACATGATTATATCAACAGATGCAGAAAAAGCATTCGACAAAATCTAGCATTGCTTTATGATTAAAGCTCTCAGCAAAATAGGCATACAAGGGACATACCTTAATGTAATAAAAACCATCTGTGACAAACCCACAGTCACCATAATACTGAATGGGGAAAAGGTGAAAGCATTCCATTTGAGAACTGGAACAAGACGAGGAGCCTACTCTCACTACTCCTCTTCAACATAGTACTGGAAGTCCTAGCCAGAGCAATCAGACAAAAGATCTTCCGAGACTGCGGTGTGGATCTCGCACTGCGGCCACCTCGCCTTCGCAGGGGAGAACCTCAGTGGGCAGGATTCAGAGGGGCTTTTGATTTCCCGTTTTCCACACTGAACCCTTTTAACTGGTCTCTGACCCTGATTATTCAGGGCTGCAAACAGGAAGGATTTTATTCACCGTCGATGCGGCCCCGAGTTGTCCCAAAGCGAGGCAGTGCCCCCAAGGTCTGTGCTGAGGAGTATGCTGCTCTGCCTTCGCGGTGGCCCCCGGGGTCTGTGCTGAGCAGAACACACCTCATCCTGTGCTGAGGAGAATGCAGCTCCGCCCTCCCAAAGGCACACAGCGCCAGCGCAGGGCGCCGAGAAGCGCACCCGAACCTGAATCCTAACCCTAACGCCTTCCTAAGAGCCCTGGGGAGACCTTAGGGAACAAGCATTAAACTGACGCTCGAGTCTGTAGCCGGCTCTGCCAAAAGACTTGGGGTTCGGGTGATATGAGGGCAGGGGTCAGGGAAGAAAGCTTTCTGATTTTAGACCCACAGGAAGATCTGTGAAGTGCACTTGGGTAGAGCACATGTTGCCTGGTGTGTGCTTGAAAAGAGCCTAAGAAGAGGGGGCGTCTGGAAGGAACCGCAACGCCAAGGGAGGGTGTCCAGACTTCCCGCTTCAACACCTGGACACATTCCGGAAAGTTTCCTCAGAAAGCCAGAAAAATAATAATAAATAAAAATCCAGGAGGCGGGGGGTGGGGGGGCCTAATGGGGCTTTACTGGGACTATCTGTCTCAATCCTCCAAACAACCCTGCCATAGCAGCCCAGCCGTCCTCTGAGACAGGTGAGGAACCTGAGGTTACAGGAGGACACCCAGAAGGTCCAAGCAGATCCCCCTAGGCCCCCACACCTCCCCCCGTGGCAGCTTCAACCCCAGCTTTTTCACTAGTAAGGCACGCCGGCTGCTGGACCACTCCCACTCCCCCAAGCAGGAGTTTGATAAACAAACTGTTAATTATTATTACCTATATCTGGATGGGTTATGAGTGAATTTTTTTAAATTTATTTTTATTTATTCTTTATTTATTTTTGCGGGGACAGAGTCTTGCTCTGTCACTCAGGCTGGAGTGCGATGGCATGATCTCAGCTTACTGCAACCTCCACCTCCTGGGTTCAAGGAATTCTCCCACCTCAGCCTCCCAAGTACCCGAGACACAGGCGTATGCCACCACGCCCAGCTAACTTTTGTATTTTTAGTTAGAGATGGGGTTTTGCCACGTTGGCCAGACTAGTCTTGAACTCCCGATGTCAAGTGATTTGTCCATCTCTGCCTCCGAAAGTGTTGGGATTACAGGCGTAAGCTACCACACCCAGCTTAAAATATATTTTTGTTTTCAAAAATTGTGTGGTATGCATGAGTTTTATAGCAAGAAAAAATTATGAACTTATTTTGAATTAAATTCCATTGTTTTAAAATTAAGCAATAGGTGAGCTCGAATTTTAAGCTCCACAAATGACCAAGAACTTCTTTGATTCCCTTTTAAACCTGTTGTCTGTTTTAATCACTCATATGGAATCATTCATAGGTTTTTACTTAAAATCTAAACCAAATAATGAAGTAACTGTTTAAATTGTTAGATTTTGAATATGGTTCAGTTGGATGTAAAATGTAACTATTACTCAGGAAAACGATCTGATTTTTTTTAGCAAGCGATATTCTTTCTTTCGGAGAGCATTTCACAAATGTTTCTACCTAATGAATCATATTTTAAAAATAACACTTGTAATTCTTTTTTCTTTTTAGTTTCCTGCCTGCGATGGTTCACATAATAAACACAATGAATTGACAGGAGATAATGTGGGTCCACTGATACCAAAAAAGAAAGAAGTATAATAATAATATTATAACAATATTTTCTCATTCTTTGTGTATAGAAAATTTTAAAATGTTGGTCTTAATTATTACTACTGGTTGAACAATTATTTCTTCCAATTTATTTTCTTCCTGCACTACTGTTTGTATTTGATCCTTTGTCTATTCAGTCACTTAATTAGAAATTAAATTGTCAAGCCTCTTATTCTGACTTCAAAGAATTAATGTATCTTCCAACAATAAAATCACTTCTGATTTTAATCTAGGAAAACCTAAATTGTGGTTATGGATCCAAAGCTATTTGTTTCTTTGAATATCAATATTTTCAACAGGATCTTGTATTTAAAATTCCCGCCTACATTGTTAAATATGTTATTTTTTCATATCTCTTTTCGTTTTGATAATCTGAAGTGTTTTTTTCTCCTTTTGGCCTTCCAAACTGCATTTGTTTAGGTGAATTAAGAAAAATATTGCCATCAAGAATTACTTGTGTTTTCACAGAGATAGACTCGTTGCTTTATAGAGATTGTTGGGTATTTAATATGAATATCCCATCTTTAGAAAAGAAGTAAACTGGATACAAAAAGTTCCATTGAGGAACAGTTATTTACAGTATAAAAGATTTGTTTACTTTACAAAAGGCTTGTGTCTGTTTGTGTGTGTATATTTTAAACTGTTTGACTCAGTGACAGCTGGGGTGGAATGGCAAGAACACTTACAACCAAACTCATGGGCTGCTGCAATTTGAAGATCAGTTGGTAATAAATATAAGACATATTAATTCATATTAAAATAGTTCAGTGTTCAAAATTGTGGTTACGTGGACATTTTTCTCTTTTTAACACTATAAACCATTAAAATACAGTCATCCCTTGTATACACTGGGGACTAGTTCCAGGGCCACACATATACCAAAATCTGCCCATACTCAAGTCTCACAGAAAGTCTTGCAGAACCCATATGTAGAAAAGTTGGCCCTCCAATTGACCCTCCATACACATGAGTTTCACATCCCATGCACAAATGCTGATCTGTGTGACCTCACCTGCATTTGATTGAAAAAAGTATGCGCATAAGTGTAACCACCCATTTCAAACCCATGTGTAAGGGTCAACTGTACAAAAAAGTTTGTGAAATAAACGTACTGGAGAATCTTTAAAATTTTTGTGCTTTTTAATCCTACTATTATCAGTCTTTTTAGTTTCATCTTACATTACTACTCTCATAATAGCTATCCTTAGCCAGGTGCCATGGCACAGGCCTGTAGTCCCAACTGCTGG
Organism: Homo sapiens; assembly: GCF_000001405.40. NCBI lineage: Eukaryota > Metazoa > Chordata > Mammalia > Primates > Hominidae > Homo > Homo sapiens. The sequence goes on from NC_000010.11 coordinate 38,618,604, forward strand.
GAAGATTGAGGTGGGAGGATGGCTGCAGTGCTGGAGCCCAGGAGTTCAAGGCCAGGCTGGGCAAAATAGTGCTCTGCCTCTGCTGGGCTCTTTAGGGAATCCTTTCTGTTCTGAAAGAGTTACCATTTAACCCTCTTCATTGAGTGCATTTCTGATACCTTGCTAGGCACTATGGAAACTGCTTAGTTGAGAAAAGACAAATACAAAAGCTTTTCTTTAGTCTATTTAAGATACAATTTATTCAGTTCACTTTGCTTTCTTTTTATAAGAAGGTACAAGGGACAGAGGTAATCCTAGAAACAAAACTAATTGTCATTGAGAACTTGTATGTACCAGACACTACACTAAGCATGGTACTTGGGTTTTTAATTTATTACATGTAATGTCAGTAGGTTAAATTATATGATCAGAACATCTTCATGACCAGCAGCATGTATTTTAGAGTTAGAAATGTAGTCTGGTTTTCGAGAAGTTTTACAAGGTGTATGTCCAAAATTATTTTTCTTTCCTCACATGTCAGTGGGGGATAAATACAGCATTGCTCTCACTTCTTTGACTCTCTGTACTTTTTTGGATACATTTTCTTCAACACTGTTAAAGGGCCTCACTGTCAGATTAACCAATTATTTTTCCACAGTTGGTCACCAGACTTTGGAAAAAATCCACCTCACCAAAATTTTGGATATCCTGGTCTGTGGTCATGAAATGCTTTTCTTTTTGTAAAATCTGTCACTGCGTCTCACAGCAACTTGTTTTCACACATGTTCTAGTGGTTCCCATAACTTAGATTTTACAGGAGGAAAATTTACTAAAAATGAGGAGACTAAAATGAATGACCAACTTTGAATTTTGTCAAATAACATTGAAAATGAATTATCTCATAAAAGGTAATATTAATACCCCAAAAGTAAGATGGTTATACTCTCAGAATAAAGACTTTTTCCCTGCCACATTTTCAGTTGTTAAAATATGCTAAGAGCTATGCCCATATATTTTCCCACCTGTGCAAATTTTTCAGAAGCCTAGGGTTGGTAGTAAGCTCTTGCTTTAATAACTCTTTTAAATAAGCATTATTAGCAGTTTCCATTACTTCTTGTAAATTTACACAATTTTATCTTGTCCATCTTTAAAAAATAGACATCTAATAACCAAATGTATTTGAATTGATACAGTATAAGTAACTCGTAGAACTTGAGGATAAGTGGTAAACGAAAAAAAAAGTAACTTGGCTCTTGAAATACGTCTTGGGTTTCTAGAGCCTTCAAAATACAGCCCTGTTGTTATTGTTTCACATTATGATTGTTTTGAGGGCTACTTCTGCTTACCTAGGAAACTACTCATGCCTTACTCAGCAAATGAGCACCACCATTACATAAACATAAGGTATCCAAAAGTGTTAGTAGGCTTGAGGTATGAATGATTCATTCTTATGGGTAATTAAGCAAGTTGAATTATGGAAAGCACCTCACAATTCACACAATTCAGCTTTGAGTTCAATGCCAAATATGATGATTCATTAAGATGCCTTTGTATTTTGTAACCTAATTTGTTAATAAGTTACAGGAAGCCAATTAAGCTAGCTGCTGATCTATATAGTACTACCTTCCTCATTGTGATTCCATAGTCTTCCAATAGAAATGTGCTGTCAGAATCTGTATAAAGAATTTGTAAATTCCACTATTTAACAAGGTTCTTAAGAATTTAGGTGGATGTTTTATTTGATACCTACTAAAGAAACTTAACTAATTGTATAGCACTTAACCCATTTAGAATTCAGTTGTGGCAGCATAACCAATCTGGAGAGACCAGGGGAGATGTTACTAATGCTTGTACTTTATTCAGAAGTGAGTGCCTCATTGGCTTGGTGCAGTGACTACACACCTGTAATCTCAGCACTTTGGGAGGCTGAGGTGGGTGGAGTACTTGATCTCAGGAGTTCCATACCAGCCTGGGCAACATGGTGAGATCTCACCTCTACAAAAAAATACAAAAATTAACCGGGCACCAGTGGTGCACCCATAGTCCCAGTTACTCAGGAGGCTGAGGCACAAGAATCTCTTGAGTTGAGGAGGCCAAGGTTGCAATGAGCCAAGATTGTGCCACTGCACTCCAGCCTGGGCAACAGGAGTGAGACTCTATCTTAAAAAAAAAAACTCTTTTTTCTTCATCTAATCAAATTTATTGGGGCAGAAATCAGTACGAAGTTCATAGGACAGGAGGAAACCAATATAAACATCTCAGCATTGTAGGAAATTCAACCCATGGAAAGCAGGGCTGAATTAAAGACCACTTTGAAGGCCAGGAAAAGCAGATAATTTAGATATAGTCAAAGTATGAAATCATTGATAGATCCAGAACAAGGGAATGATGTATGTGTTTACATATTAGATCTACTTTATTAACAATTTTCCCTCTGTTAAACTAATATCGACTAATAGTAGTCTAGGTAAGTCAAGTTCAAATTAAATGGCAATTGAAAAGTCTTCTTTTTAAAAAAATTTTAATGGTAGAGGCAGCAGCTACCCAGAGTCTACTTATTCTTACTTCACATTGAATTCTAACAAGTTAGGTTATCTGATTTCTGCTTCCTAACAAATCACAAGTATCGAAAGGGTCTTGCAGAAGGGGTGAACTATAAAATGTGACAACTGACAGCAAGGCAGGGGAACAAAAATAAATTTAAGGTGAACATTAAAAGCATAGCACCTTGAGACAATTTATAGGATTCCGCATACAACTGTCTCTGAGGACATCACTGCGATCAAATTATACAAGTGATGTTTAGGGATGAATTGAAATCAAGATAAGTAGTATGTGTTATTTAAAAAGGCAGGATATGTGTTGCATTCAATGGCAACAATTTCCCCTTAGCTATTTAGTTAAAAGCTTAGTGCTTAACATGTTGGAAAATTTATGCGTAAAATATATTGACTTATTCCTTGATGATTCGAGGCTTTATCACAGGAAGTTTTCCCATTCAATTGAAACATTTTTCAAGCTTAATGACTATAACTTACTACATAATTTATTTTGTTAAAGTTTGAGGAAAACTAAATAAAGAAGTAGCAATTTAAGTCATAATAAATTTTGTTAGATGACTTCTTCCACTTTAGGGGGAATTAAAAATCTTGTTTAAAAACCACATGTGCAGCAGTTCTGTGACTGCCTCAACACCTAGTTGGCCATATAGTCCCTTTGCACCACAGAGGTTGGAGTATAGAACATGCCCAAAGCTGTTTTGTTTTGTTTTAACTATGCTGCATCATCTGAGGTTGTGTTAACATAGTTTGTCCTAATAGTCTTTTACTGGAAAGTTGCTATATTTGATTATGTTCAGCAAGTAAACTAATTTTATCTACTTTCATATATTTTGAGACAAAGTCTGGCCCTGTCACCCAGGCTGGAGTGCGGGGGCTTGATCGTACCTCACCGCAGCCTCAGCCTCTTGTGCTCAAGCGATCCTCCCACCTCAGCCTCCCAAGTAGCTGAGACTACAGTCATGCTTCATCATGCCTGGCTAATTTTTTACTTTTCTAAGAGACAGAGTCTCACTATGTTACCCAGGCTGCTCTCGAAGTCCTGGACTCAAGTGATCCTCCCTGCCTCAGCACTCCCAAAGTGCTGGGATTGCAGGTGTGAGCAACCATGCCTGGTGTTTTATCTTTTGCAGAAATCCAATTTAGTAAAGTCATGTTGTAGCAAGCATCATTTTCATATAAAAAGTGTACAGTTCACATTATTAGCAAATGTATTGTGTAATTTTATATTAGTTATGGTCTTCAAGGACATTGAAAATCTATTCAGAAAGACTGTGTTTTTCAACCAGAGATGACATCACTCTAACTTTCCTTTGGTTTAAACGCTTGATTCTTTGCTTACAAAATTTCTGTTTTGAAAAATTATGGTGAGGAAGTATATTTGTGATACTGTTTTCTTAGAACACTGTTGTCAGATAGATCAGCCATAATGTTAACACATTTCTGATCTCTATTATAAGGCTGTAATTTTCCAAAATAACATAGAAAAGGAGAAAAGGGTAGTACATTTCATAATTACTGAGATGAACCTTGTACTAGTGAGAAAATAAAAATGCCAACAATTTATTAAATTTTCAGATTTCCTGTAATTTTCCATCACTATCCCTCATACATTTCTCTGCATGATCACACTAAAGATATAAATTAATCACATCCATTCATCAAATAAAGAAACTCAAAACTCACAAGTACAATCTTCAACTTTGTAGAATGCTACCAAGAAGTAAAATAAGATGAAGGTAGAAAGATTCTCTTTGAGGGCCAGGTGCGGTGGCTCACACCTGTAACTAATTCCAGCACTTTGAGAGGCCAAAGTGGACAGATTGCTTAAGGTCAGGAGTTCAAGACCAGCCTGGTCAACATTGTGAAAACTCGTCTCTACCAAAATACAAAAATTAACTGGGCATGATGGCGGATGTCTGTAATCCCAGCTACTCGGGAGGCTGAGGTGGAAGAATCACTTGAATCCAGGAGGCAGAGGTTGCAGTGTGCCAAGGTCATGCCATTGCATTCCAGCCTGGGCCACAGAGCAAGACTCCATCTCAAAAAAAAAAATAAAATAAAATGAAAAAGAAACATTCACTTTGAAATGCTGCATGCAACTATATGGCCACACATTGGAAAATCTAGAGAAAATGGGTAATTTTCTGGAAAAATATAAATGACCAAAACTAATCCAAGAAGAAATTTAAAATGTTAATAGACCAGTTACAAAGAAAGAATGTACAGTGATTTTTTAAATCCATAATTTAAAAAAGTACTAGGGTTGCAAGAAGGATAATTCCAATGTTATTTAAAGTATCCCAAATATTTTTAAAAAAGAGAAACCAATTCATTTCACATAGGCAGTGCAGCATTAATATGAAAACCTGATAAACATAAGACAAAACTATAGGCCAGGTGCCATGGCTTACACCTGTAATCCCAGCACTTTGGGAAGCCAAGGCAGGTGGATCACTTAAGGTCAGGAGTTCAAGACCAGCCTGGACAATATGGTGAAAACCAGTCTCTACTAAAAATACAAAAATTAGCCCGGCATGGTGGTGCATGTCTGTAATCCCAGCTTGAACCCAGGAGGCAGAGGTTGCAGTGAGCCAAGATCACGCCACTGCACTCCAGCCTGGGTGACAGAGCAAGTCTCCATCTCAAAACAAAAAACAAACAAAAAAGCCAAAACTATAGACCAATCTGACTTATACATATGAATGAATATTCTAAATAAAAACCCAGCACTTTTATCAATAATTGCAACAACAAAAAAGAGTAATACAGTATGCAAAGAGCATTGTATTTCAGGAATTCACGGGTATTTCAATATCAGTTAAGTATATTAACACAATTACATAATTGACATCAAAGAAGAGGAAAATGTGATTATATCAGTAGATGCTGAGAGGGCTATTGTTAAGATTAAACATCCACTGCTAATGAAGATTCTCGAGTAAAATAGAAATTGAAGGAAAGTGTCTAAACATAACCGTTATTTATGAAATGCCTACAAAACAAGTATTTTAAATCATAAAGGAACATTTCAATTAAAACAAGGAACCAGTAGGAATAGCTGCTGTCAGTATTTGTTATTAAAGATTATCTTGGAGGATCCATGAATGTAACAAGATTTTTAAATGAAATAATCAGTATAAATATACAGAAAACTTTTTGTGGATATGATTATATGCCTAGGAAATCATAGAGATTAGGAAAAACAGAACTTTCAAATATTTTAAAGAGGAATATTGGTAAGGTATTTGGAAATAAGATCATAATACAAAATAGATTAGCAATAAGCACCTTGAAATGCTAATGGTAAAAATATTCACAATAACAAAAATAATAAAGGTAAAATAAATTTACCAAGAAAGACGATCTATAAGAAAAAAACTATAAAAATGTTACCAAAAGCTGTTGAATAAGAAACACATGAGGCTAGGTGCAGTGGCTCATACCTGTAATCCCAGCACTTTGGGAGGCTGAGGCAGGAGGACAGCTTGAGCCCAGAAGTTCAAGACCAGCTTTGGCAAATTGTGAAACCCTGTCTCTAAACAAAACAAAACAAAACAAAAAACTAGTTGGGCTTGGCGCATGCTTATAGAACCAGGTACTTGGGAGGCTGAGGTGGGAGGTTGGGGCTTCAGTGAGCTGAGATCCCACAACTGCACTCCTGCCTGGGTGACACAGTGAGACCCTGTCTCAAAAAAACAAACAAAACTCTTGTAAAAGCATAAATCTCCTAAAATTATATATAAATTCAATTAAATTCACATTAGAATCACAAAAACATTTTAAAATTTGATTAAATTATCTTAAAGTTCATGTAGAAGAATAGTCAGAAAATTGTACCAAAAAAAAAAAGACTATTGAGAGGAACTTTTCTCACCAGATATCAGCACCTACTATAGAACTATTGGAATTGATCAATTAAGAAAAACAATTGTATTAATTAAGAATAAGCAAGAGTGGTAAAAAATTGAGAATCTACAAGTAGATGAAAAATTAATATATGAAAATAAACAATTCAAAGAAAACAAAATTGGACCCTCAATTTACACTGAAGGCTTTGAAGTGATACATAAAATGATTTTTAAAATGATTTAAATACTTACATAAATGGAGAGAGGAAGGGTGGGAGAGAAGCGGGAGAGAGAGAAAATAGAAGACTAAAGACAGGAACACCTATGTGGAAAAAGATAACACTTAATGACAAAATATGTTTTATGTGATTATCAGTTATACATAATAAATATTGGGGACATTGCGTTGTGGATTACAGTAAAGCATTAAGAAACAGAGTAAGTGAATAAAAAAAGGAAAGAAAACTACCAAATTCCATGTGTGATACCCCGTTTTGAAATTACATAAATTAAACATGTGTACACATAAGAAAATTTTAAACATTAAAATTTTGTTTACAAAATGGATTTGATGACACGAAGGCCATTGATGACCTTACCCACAGCAGCTTTGTTTAAATGGGGATTAAGGATGGAACAAAATTTTTATTAGAACACTTTGAATAATGAATTAGCAAACTACAATAAACTGAAATCTTACCTACCAAATAATCTCAGTAAAGTAAACAAATCTAAAAGAAATGAATAAAACAATTGTGAGCAAAAAAGGATAGAGTCACTGCATATAATGTAAATGAGACAAGGATGGTCTCTGTGTATTGGCACCTAGGTTATTTCTTCACAGCAAGCTGAAACCCATTAGCTCAAAAACGAACTGGCACCAAACTCAAATTTTTAAATATCCAATTGTGTTAAACATAGCCCAGACATGCAGATTTGTAGGCATTTAGAGCCTGCCTGATTTACATGCCCTGGGAAACTACATCCAAAATCTGCTTGCCACAGATAAACTCTAGGCTGTAAAGACTCCAAACTGCTTCTGCTCTTTGGAACTCTGTGAACTACAGACTCCATGCCATGCTGCTGAGTGATATCACTGAGACATGAAAGCCTCCTCTCTGATCCTTTCCTCCCTCAGGAGTTCCTTTGCCCTCCTCCCTTTCTGAATGGTGGCCCCCTTGTCTCAATCCTCTGGTCCATCTCTTGCTGTGAAGGCCTTCCCCAGGATACAAACCTGATAAGAGATCATCCAGATAAAGCCCATGTGTGCTTCTTTCACATCTTTTTCTATATTTTTCTAATTTTTTTCTAAACTTTTCTAATTTTTTCTTAATTTTTATAAAATTGTGGATACCTAATAATGTAGTCTCAAAATAAATAAAACCAAAATTAGAATTGGAAATAGCAATAAAAAAATCTACACAGTGAGAGATTTTAACATTTCATTTTTAGTAATTGAATAAATAAACATAAAATTAGTAAGGCTAATCAACAGTTAAAGAATTTCGATTCTTTTCAAGCACACTTGGAGTATTTACAAAAATTGACCAGATATTAGGCCTAAAGGTAGTATCAAATGTTTACATTGGTATAACAAATGTGTCATAGCACTATTAGAAATCAATAACAAAATCTTATCCAAAAGTAATCCATGAATTTTAGAAACTACAAACAGCTTCCAAATGATTCATGGAAGCAAGAAGAAATTATAATAAAAATTAGAACATGCTTAAAATTGAATTAAAATGAAAAGATTACCAATCAATATATATGTAAAATAACTGAAGCAGTACTTAGAGTGAAATTTACCAGAAGCAATTCACATTCTTGGGAAGGACAACAGCATGCATTTAGAGACTTATCCAAGATGTATATTAGTTCTTTGACTCTCTGTCCTAATGTAGTCCAGAGACCTGAGCTGTCTGGACATTCTGTAGCATGTTACATTTTTCCATTTTATTTACCAGTTAAAATAGACTGGGTAAGAAATAACATGCTGGATGGCCTAGAGAGACACAAGCATCCCTGAGAGAGAAAATCATCTGAAGATTTAAGGATCTGTGACATCAGTCACAGAAGATTTTAGAGGGCCCATTTTTCCCCCCCTATACTAAGGAATACTGTTCTGACACATTTGCTGAGTGACACAGAAGGCTTCCACCTTTGACAAAAGCTTAGGGCAGAAAAGGCCTCTGCAGCAGGTCCAGGATCCAGGGCAAGCAGCCCTACTGTTTGAGCCATACAATCTAGTAGGCTCTATGGTATTAGAAATATATGTAGTTGGAAAAAGCACCATGTAGAGTTTATAGCAAACCCTAATAGACGATTCACACATAGTCTTGTGGGGTTCACTAGCATGGTCATGCTATCTGCCAGTAATTGTATATTGTGTAAATATATAGCATAATTGTGTACTTTAATAGCTCCTAGCATGCTACTGCACCTAGGTAGAGATGGACTATCTGACAACAAATATTAAGTGACCATGTAGCTAAAAGTTCCCACAGTGAGTTTGGTTTTGTTAGATCTACCAGATCATAAGGACAGGCTGGCCCAGCAACAAATCATAATAAAATAGAAGTAGCACATTGAATTAGTCCATTTTCACATTGCTATAAAGAACTACCCAAGACTGGGTAATTAATAAACAAAAGAGGTTTATTGACTCACAGTTCCTTATGGCTGGAGAGGTCTCAGGAAACTTACACTTATGACTAAAGGCAAAGGTGAAGCAGGCACCTTCTTCACAAGGCAGCAGGAGAGACAGAGAGCAAGGGGGGATGTGCCAAACACTTTTAAACCATCCGCTCTCATGAGAACTCACTCAATATCATGAGAACAGCATGAGGGAAACTGCCCCCATGATCCAGTCACCTCCCACCAGGTCCCTCTATCTACATGTGGGGATTATAATTTGAGATGAGATTTTGTGGGGACACAGAGCCAAACCATATCACATCAAGGATTGGGCATGAGAAAGACTAGAGGTCACAAGTAAGCAGTATGATCAGGTGATCCAGGTCCCCACATTATCCAGATTGTGACACTAGATTCTCTCCCTCAGCTGGCAACTCTGCCTATGTGGGAGTTCCAATATTGCTAAAGGAGGAAAAAAGCTAAGCTTGTTCATTGGAAGATCAACTCAGGATGTGGATGTAAGTAAAAAATGATAGCAGCCTACTTCAGCTATGGAAAGATAACAGTAGATTAAATCCTCCCATTGACAGTTCAGCATATACGAATCAATAAATATGATATACACATTAACAGAATGAAGGACAACAACTATATGAATATCTCCATGGATGCAGAGAAAGCATTTGACAAAATTCAACATCTTTCTGTAATAAAAACTTTCAACAAATTAGGTATCAATGTCCACATAACACAATAAAGGCATATATGATAGGCCCACAGCTAACATCATACTCAATGGTAAAAAGTTGAAAGCTTTTTCTCTAAGATCAGAAACAAGATGGATGCCCATTTTCACCACTTCTATTCAAGTTCTAGCAATTAGTCAAGAAGAAGAAATAAAGGCATTAAAGTCAGAAAGGAAGAAGAGAAATTGTCTCTGCAGACAACATGATCTTAAATGTAGAAAACCCTAAAGAGTCCACCAAAAAAAACTGTTGGAACTAGTAAATTAATTCAGTAAAGTTGCAGGATGCAAAATCAACATAAAAAAACGAGTAGCATCTGTATACACTAACAATGAACTATCTGAAAAAGAAATTAAGAAAACAATTTCATTTATAATGGCTACACAAATACTTAGGAATTAATTTAACCAAGGAGGTGAAAGACCTGTACACTGAAAACTATAAAACATTGGTGAAAGAAATTGAAGAAGACACAAATAAATGGAAATATATCCCATCTTCATGGATTAGAAGAATTCATACTGTTAAAATGTTCTTAGTACCCAAAGTGATCTACAGATTCAATGTAATCTCTATCAAAATTCCAATGATATTTTTTACGTAAACAGAAAAAAGTCCCAAATTCATGTGAAACCACAAAAAACTCCAAATAGCAAATTGTGAGCAAAAAGAACAAAGTAGAAGGTATCATATTATCCAGGTTCAAAACATACTATGATGATATAGTAATCAAAAATATAACATGATACTGGCATACAAACAGACTGGTAGACCAATGGAATAGAATAGAGAGCCTCAAAATACATCCACGTTTATGGCCAATTGATTTTCAGTAAATATGCCAAGAATACACAATGAGAAAAGGACAATCTTTTCAATAAATGGTGTTGGGAGAACTCCACATGCAGAGAAATGAAATTAGACCCTTATCTCACTCCATATACAAAAAAAAAAACCACAAATGGACTAAAGACTTAAATATAAAACCTGAAACCATAAAACTACTAGTAGAAAATATACAGGAAAAGCTCCATGAGACTGGTCTGGGCAATGATTTTCTGGATATGACCCCCAAAGCACAGGCAACAAAAGCAAAAATAGACAAACGGGATTATATCAAACTAATAAGCTGTGCAAGCAAAGGGAGCAATCAATAGAGTAAATAGATAGCCTACAAAAAGGGAGAAAATATTTGCAAACCATACATCTGATAAAGGATTAATATCCAGAATATATAAAGTATTCATACAATTCAATAGCATGAAAACATATATCCTGATTAATGAAAGGGAGGCAAAGTACCTGAATAAACATTTTTCCAAAGAAGACATACAAATGGCCAACAGGAATATGAAAAAATAACCAATATCACCAGTCATCAGGGAAATGCAAATCAAAACCACAATGAGACATCCCTTTTAGAATGGCTACCATGAAAAAGACAAAAGATAGCATGTGTTGGTGAGGATGTGGAGAAAAGGGAGCCTTTGTATACTGTTGGCGGGAATGTAAATTAGTACAGCCATTATGAAAAATAATATAGAGGTTTCTCAGAAAGTTAAAAATAAAATTACCATATGATCCAGCAATCCTAGTACTATTTATATACCCAAAGAAAATGATTCAATATGTCAAAGAAAAATCTGTACCTCATGTTCATTGCAACATTATTCACAATAGACAAGATATGAAAAAAACCTAAGTATCCTTAAACAGATGAATGATTAAAGAAAATGTGGTGTATATATACATAATGAAATATTGTTCAGCCTTAAAGAAGGAAATCATGTCCTTTATAATAACATGGATGAAACTGGAGGACATTATATTAAGTGAAATAAGCCAGGCACAGAGAGATAAATGCCATGTAATCTCACTTATATGTGGAAACTAAAAAAGTCAAACACATAGAAGCAGAAAATAGAATAATGGTTATTAGGGGCGGGGGGAGGAGGGTAGAACTGGGGAGATGTCGGTCAAAGGATACAAAAATTAAGATAAGCAGGAAGAACAAGTTCAAGAGACCTATTGTACAACATGGTGACTACAGTTAATAACAATGTATTGCATACTTGAAAATTGCTAGGACAGTAGATTTTAAGTGTTCTCACCACAAAAGAAATGATAAGTATGTGAGGTAACACATGTATTAATTAGCTTGAGTTAGCCATTTCACAATGTATCCATATTTCAAAACATCAGGTTGTACACTCCAAATATATACAGTTTTTGTTTGTATATTTAAAAAGTTTTAATATTTAAAAATTCAACTCAAAAATAAATTCTTGGCCAGGCACAGTGGCTCACACCTGTAATCTCAGCACTTTGGGAGGCCAAGGCAGTGGATCATGAGGTCAGGAGATCGAGACCATTCTGGCTAACATGGTGAAACCCCATCTCTACTAAAAAAATACAAAAAAAATTAGCTGGGTGTGGTGGCGGACACCTGTAGTGTCAGCTACTCGGGAGGCTGAGGCAGGAGAATGGTGTGAACCCAGGAGGCAGAGCTTATAGTGAGCTGAGATCACGCCACTGTACTCCAACCTGGTGACAGAGCAAGACTCTGTCTCAAAAAATAAAAAAATTAAAAAAAAAATTTCAGTTGGCAGAACTTTGCACTATGCACCTTGTCATTCACTTTGCATGGAAAGAGAAGAGACTCATAGTAAGAATGTACTGACTCATGGTCAAATGGCTTGGCTACAGTTCAGGGGGATGGAAGGAGAAAATTTGGAAGACTGGAGAAAAAGACATCTGAGAAAAGGACATATGGGTGGACTTATGGGGATGTACAAAAAGTATGAAGATCTTTGTTTCACATGTTAACACCTACAAGAGGTATCTATCAACAACCAAGGAGAAAAGTGACTCAGCCAGATGATGTTAGCCAACCTCTTCCATTGGCCAGCTCAGTACTGGTGAATAAATATAGTGACAAGGATGGAGGCTATGCAGAGGCCCAAACAGCAGAAGTCTCCACTGACTAAGTCTTATCTAGCTACTGCTGCTTCCGAATGTCAAAGTTGTCATCAAGACAGAGCAACACTGAGGCCTCAAGATAGCATCATCGCTCAAGGACACCAAGTTGCCACCTGGTGGCAAGCTGAATGCACTGGATTCTTTCCATCACAGGAAGGGTAATGATTCTTCTTGGCTGGAACTGATACTTATTCTGAGTATGGATTTATCTTTCCTACTTACATGGCCTCAACCAGCACCACTATCCAAGGGTTGACAGAATGTTTAATCCTCCAATATGGAATCCTACACATCCTTGCATTGTACTTTATAGCACTGTATAAAGGGAATGTACTTTGTAGCACTGTAGTTGCAGTGATGGACACACGAAAATGCAATTCAGTGATCCTACTACAAATCACGAAATCACAACAGCTAGAAGCTGTCAAACTGATGGAGTGATGGAACAGCCTCCAGTAGCCCTTTGAAGCTGCAGGGATGGGATACAAGCATATATCCTAGATCAGTAACCATTATGTGGTCCCATGTTGCTAATAGAAAGAGGACCATGGATTGAAGAAAGAGTAGCACTATTTACCGTCACCGCCAGGGATTCACTTAGGAAATTTCTGCTTCTTATCTCTGCAATTCAATGCTGTTACACAACGGAAGTAGACAGGAATGTGTTTGGCAGCCAAGGGATGTTTAAGTAGTCCCTTACTAAATTTTGATTGCTCAATTTAAAAGGACAAGTCTAGTAGCCATGGCTACTACACCCTCCTCTCCTATCTCCAGGTAAGTGACCTAGACCAGTGGAGGTGCTAGCTGAGGGTGAGAATGTAAACCTGATAGTACCTGTATCGTAGGAAAGGCAGATGATCACTTTTATCACTGATAAAAGACCAGTTGAAGAGCCAAGGAGCTATTGTTCCCTCCATGAATGTTACTTTCACGTTTCCCCGCAAAAAAAACCAACCAAAATCCTGGAGGAGCTAATCCTAGATGAAGAGAGGTTATATGAAGTCATGGATCCAAATGACACGAGGGATGGACAGAGTAGTGTATTCTGTGCTGTGTAGTCCAGGCCTCCCTGCAGAATGGAGACCCTCATTCCCCAGCTTCCTTAGAGTGCTGTCTGTTGAGGGCACACGACTAAGTTCATGCCCTAGGAATTGCCCTCAGGCCAAAAGGAACTGTGTAGTAGAAGTCACATCCTTGGGGCAAGAAATTAGTTTGAATTCATATTGATTGTTGTCAACAAAATTTTAAGTACTGTATGGTATGTGCGTGAAAGGAAAAGAACATTTGAAATGAGCTAATGTAGAGCGGATCTGTTGGAGAACTATTGGTGAATAATGATGATGTGGTCACTGAGGGTCACTGAAGTTCACAGGGTTATTTGAACAGAAAACATCTGGGAGAGGTGGATTTGACACTCAGATTGGGGGACTGCACAAATAATAAGGTATCTGGGCTTCAGTTTTCTCATCTAGAACATGAGGGACTAAAAGACTGCCAAGTATCTTCCAGCTTCTATATTCTGTAATGCTTAAGTACTCTGCAGAATATTAAAACGAACAGCACTGGGAGATAGTCCGTGGGCTTGAAAAGTGAGGAAAAACAGAAACTGCCAGGGAGAGTTTGTTAAAACCTTAAAAACCTGTGCACGGCTGTTTATAACAGTTGTATTCATAACTGCCAAAACTTGGAAGCAACCAAGATATCCTTCAGTAGGTTAATGGCTATGCAAACTGTGGTACATCCAGACAAGGGAATATTATACAGCACTAAAAAGAAATCAGATATTAAGCTAAGAAAAGACATGGAGAAGACTTAAATGTATATTGCTAAGTAAAAGAAGCCAGCATGAGAAGGCTATATATTGTATGGTTCTAAGTGTATGACAATCTGGAAAAGGCAATACTATCATGTAGAAACATCAGTGGTTTTCAGCAATTTGCAGAAAGTAAGAGAGGGATACATAGGTGGAACACAGAGGATTTTTATGGTGATGAAACTATTCTATATGATACTGGTGGATATCTGTCATTATACAGTTGTCAAAATTCACAGAACTTTACAACACAAAGTGTGAACGCTAATGTAAACTATGGACTTCAGTTATAGTAATGTATCAATATGTATCAATTGTAACCAATATACCACATTAATACATGGTGTTAATAATAGGGGAAATTGTGTACAGAGGTAGGGATTGGGTGGAGAGTGGGATAGGAAGGTAGTGTTACATGGGAATTCTGTGTACTTTCTGCTCATTGGTTTCTGTAAACCTAAAATTGCTCTAAAAAACAAAGTCTACTAATTTTGAGAAATTTGATGAAGAATAAATATTCATGTAGTACCAAGGTATAATCTCAGAGATCACTGGCTAATTACAGAGGAAAATATACCATTACGATATAGACATCTGGCAATCACCTACTTAATTTAGGAATGAAAATTAACATCACTGGCAGTGGGACAACCAGACATAAACTTCGTAATGTGCCACTATTGGAAGTATACAACATCACCTTTGAATGATTCTGGCCAAAAAAGTTTAACCTGAATGTAACCAAGTCTTTAAATTTAACTTCAAATTTCAGAAAATTGAGGGGATAGACAAACAAACTAAATGAAACCATGAACAGTCCCACAATTCCAGAATGTGAGATATTCTACGTGACAACTAGCATGGTTCCTTTAAAATGTCAATACCGGCTGGGCACGGTGGCTCGCACCTGTAATCCCAGCACTTTGGGAGGCTGAGGAGGGTGGATCATGAGGTCAGGAGATCAAGACCATCCTGGCTAACGTGGTGAAACCCTGTCTCTAGTAAAAATACAAAAAATTATCTGGCCGTGGTGGCAGGCGCCTGTAATCCCAGCTACTAAGGAGGGTGAGGCAAGAGTATCTCTTGAACCCAGGAGGCAGAGGTTGCAGTGAGCCAAGATCACGCCACTGCACTCTAGCCCGGTGACAAAGCAAGACTCCGTCTCAAAAAAAAAAAAAAAAAAAGTCTATGCCATTTAGCAAGGGATTAAGTATGGAGAAATGTACTGGATTACAAAATAAGAGACAAAAACAAAATGTAGTGTCCAGTTCTCGATTGGATCCTGGCTTTTAAAAATTGCTATAATTGGGAAACAATTAAGAAAATGTGAATCATAGGGTGTAATTATGCAAACCTAGATGGTATATATACGTATATTTTTGAGACAGAGTCTCACTGTGTCACCCAGGCTGGAGTGCTGGTGCGATCTCAGCTCACTGCAACCTCAGCCTCCCAGGTTCAAGCAATTCTCGTGCCTCAGCCTCCTGAGTAGCTGGGATTACAGGCACCTGCCACTGCACACGGCTAATTATATTTTCAGTAGAGATGGGGTTTCACCATGTTGGCCAGGCTGGTCTCAGACTCCTGACCTCAGATGATCTGCCCACCTTGGCCTCCCAAAGCGCTGGGATTACAGGCATGAACCACTACATCCGGCCCTATATATTTTCACTTATTTATTTTTTATAAGGAAAATCAAATGTTCCAGCACCACTACTGAGCATCAGTCATTTCCTCTACTTGAGCTGCAATGCCAATATCAAGGGCCATATACTGTTTATCAAGTTTCTATATATGTTCCAGTTTAATCTTATGAGACCACCACAGTGTAGATGGTCGACTAGTTGACTGAAATGTGTTACATGGGGCATGACTGTTTATATTTGAAAATATTTGGGAGTTGAATAATTGTAAGGAATTACTGATAACTTGGTGTGAAAGGATAAGGGAATTGTGGTTATGTAAGAAAATGGCTTTAGTTTTTGAATATGCAGGCTTAAGTATACACAGGCAAATTAGCATGATGCCTATAATTTACTTTTAATTCAAATCGAAAAATTACATAAAGAAAACTTGACAAAATATTAACAATTAATTGGATTTAGGTGGTGGTTATGTGGGTGCCCATTTTTTCTACCTTTCTGTAGGCTCCAATGTTTCATAATTAAAAGGGAAAAAACGGGGCCACAAGAGAAGGTACAATTAAACATTAATGGGTCCCTTCTCCCAAGCGGTTAGTGCCGAGAGTGTGGAGTGTGTTCTCCAGGATCAGCACATATTTATTATCTTGAAAAATCCATTCCCCCAAAAAAAATCCCATGAAAAAAACTTAAAAAAAAAAGGTTTCTGTTTTAACACCCGTCACCCCTGCAAAACACTTTACAAAAAAATCCTTGTCTTCACTGCCAGAGACATTTTCCTTTTCTTCTTGTATAAGATCGCCCGTGAGGCAGCCGAGAGCGACCCACCCGCCCACTCGCAGCTCCGAAGCAGCTTCAAGAAGGAACAGGATCCCGAGGCCTGGACGCTGGACCCTACACCGCCACCCTCGTCCCAGCCCGCTGCAGGCCGCAGTTCCTCGGGAATGGAGTAGTTTTAGATTCCAGGTGATTTTGTCTCTCTGCGCTGGCCCAGGCTTCCGCCCCAGCCCTTACTCTCCTTTCACGGAAAGGTCGCAGCCGGTGGCCCTACCGGCAGACAGGTGCAGAGGTGAGCCCAGCATCCCAGCCATCCCCTGTCCTCGCACCGCACGTGACCAGGCCTGCTGGCTGGTCCTCTCTATCACGGGCTACAGGAACCAGATCACCGGCGCTCCTTGGGAAACGCAGGATGTGGAATGTCCTTAAGACCCCATGAATTTTGATATTATAAAAGACTAGCTAATACACACTAAGTAGTCTCGGTGTGATCCATCACTCCGCAAAAATGGAGTGGGCAACATGTTCATAAAAAAATTGGACAAATCTATTGATTATAAAGCATTGCATGATACATCTGCTTTTGGTAACATCTTTTTGTTGCAGAAAAAACCAGGTTCTTGTCATACTACCAGGAAAAGGCACGCAAACACTTGAAGGGTGAGGGGGAACGGAGTTTATTGGGTGGAAAGGAAAAAGGAAAAATAACTCTTAGCAAAGAGAGAAAGAGTCCTGCTAGCGGGTTTCCCGCCTCATAGATTAAATCCTAGGTCACTACATGGGAAAAGGCCAGACTCCTCTCCACTGCACACTGCACAAACTTCCCGAGGCTCCACCCCGTAATCCCAGTGCGCAGGTGGGCATTATTCAGAATCAGTGAGGAAAGGGCGGCTTCAACCAGGACCTGCAGTCCAGTTTATCAGCCTTCAGGCTGTTTTTGTCTTGAAGGTAAGGTTTTACCAGGGGACCCTTGGCTGCCTCCTGTCTTCATCACTTTCACATTAGGTGCTTTGTGGTGAAAACGGTTTCAAGGGTGATGGCACTGTACATTTTGAGACACAGAAGCAGCTGAAAGATCTATTCAAAAATGAAATGGATGCTTCTAAATGATAGCAAAGTCTTTGTTGGATTAAGTCTTGTAAACAATGAGAAGCAGAACTCAGAGTTAAAAAGTTCACCAATGTTTACAGGAAGATTTTTGGAGAAGACATGGATGGTAGGTGCCTTAAAGATCTCTTTGGCAAGTTGGGATCTGTCTTAAGTGTGATAGTAGTGGTTAATGAAAGTGGAAAACCCAAAGGTTTTGGATTTGTCAGCTTTGAAAGGCATAAAGATGCGCAGATGAGATGAACAGAAAGAAGCTCAATGGAAAACAAATTGATGTTGGTCAAGCTCAGAAAGAAGGAGAATTGCAGATGGAACTTGTGTGCAAATTTGAAAAGATCAAGCAGTATAGGATCACCAGATAACAAAGTGTTAACATTTATGCAAAAAATCTTGATAGTATTGATGAATGTCTCTGGAAAGAACTTTCTCCACTTGGTACAATCACCAATGCAAAGGTTATGAAGGATGGTTGTCACAACAAAGGGTTTGATTTGTGTATGTTTCTCCTCTCCAGAGGAAGCAACTAAAACACTTTCAGAAATGAATGGTAGAATTGTGGGCACTGAGCCATTGTATATAGTGTTAACTCCATGGGAAGAAAAGCAATGAAGAGCACCAGGCTCAGCTCATTAACCAGTACACTATGTGCAAAGAATGGCAAGTGTAAAAACTATGCTCAACCTGGGAATCAGTCCCTATCAGCCAGCACCTTCTTCAATTGACTTCATGGCAGTTATCCCACAGACTGAGAGCCATGCTGCAAAGTATTCTCCTAGCCAAACTGCTCAACTAAGTTCAAATCCTCCCTAAATTGCTCAGGGTGCCAGACCTCATCCATTGAAAAATATGCCCAAGCCACTCCTAGCTCACTACATTTAGTAGTAAGAGACCAGCTTCTTCACAGCTTCCACGAGTCATGTCAACACAGCTGTTGTAACACATCGACACAGACAATAGGAGCACATCCTGCAGTTGCCGCTACTGCTACTACAGATACTCCTGCTGTTTGTACCATTTCACAGTATAAATATGCTATGGAAGCTCACAATCCTCAATGATATTTTCATGCACAGCCCCAGGTTACCATGCAGCAGCCTGCTGTTCATGTAGAAGGTCAAGAACCTTTGACTTCCATGATGGCATCTTCTCCTCCTCAAAAGCAAAAGGAAACGAGTGAATGGCTGTTTCCTCTTCTTCAAGCCACGCCCTAGTCGTGCTGGTAAAATCATTGGCATGTTGGTGGAGATTGGTAATTTAGAACTCCTTCATATGCTTGAATCTCCAGATCCTCTCTATACTAAGGTTGACAAAGGTATAGCTGTACTACAAGAGCACCAAGCTAAAGAGGCTGCCCAGAAAGCAGTTAATGGTGCCACTGGTGTTCCAATTGTTTAAAACTGATCAGGGACCACAGAAAGAAACTTGAGCATCACTGAAGAAAAATATCTCAATATCGAAAACCTTAAATATTATGGAAAAAAATTGTAAAGTATAAAATAAATTTAAAAAGGAAACTTTGAACTTTACATACCAAGCAAATGTCAGATCTAACAAATGCAATGATAGTCTTAGATTACTTATTGATTTGAAAAGAAAAATTCCTCCCAAAATAATAAAATATAAAAACACTGTAATGCTTTTCAGACTCTGTGATAAATAATTTTCAGAAAAGTATAAAAATTTAAAACATTCCTTTAATTTTGTAATTCATTAGTGTGGAATAGCTAAGAATGTCACTTCTGTTTTAAGTAACAGAATTGATAACTGAGCAAGGAAAGGTAATTTGGATTATAAAATTTTGCTTTAATAAAAATTCCTTAAACAGTGAAAAAAAATAGGCAAAGATACAAAAAAAAGTTTATAAGAAACAACAATCTTGTATTTGTTTGTTATTTTATTTTATTTTATTTTATTTAATTTTTTGAGATGGAGTCTCGCTCTGTCACCCAGGCTGGAGTGCAGTGGCGTGATCTTGGCTCACTGCAACCTCTGCCTCCCAGGTTCAAGTGATTCTCCTGCCTCAGCCTCCTGAGTAGCCGGGACTACAGGCACCTGCCACCATGCCTGGCTAGTTTTTTGTATTTTTAGTAAAGACAGGGTTTCACCATGTTAGCCAGGATGCTCTCCTTCTCCTGACCTCCTGATCCACCCGCCTTATCCTCCCAAAGTGCTGGGATGGTGTGAGCCACTGTGCCCAGCCTTATTTGTTTAAATACTATAAACACTAATATCATACACATGGTTAACTGGTTGTAATTTTTAAATTATATTAATAAATTTTTATGAAAACATTTTATAAATAAACTTAAAATTTCAAATAAATAACAACATCTGCCACACTACCTTAAAATGGCGACTATTTCAGTATAATAAACGTATATCACATACACTTAGAGAAAGTTCAATAAATAAAGAATAAAAAGAATAGGTACAACAATTTTCCTCCTAATCAAAAGCACAATTCCTCATTTTGAAAATTATTTCTTATCTCTCTTTTATTAAAATAAACTTTCTACTTTGAAATCTAATCCTCTTGTGAATGTAAAATACTATCTTGTAAATATATATATATATACATATATTTTATTATTATTTTTTTTTGAGACAGAGTCTTGCTCTGTCTCCCAGGCTGGAGTGCAGTGGTGCGATCTCAGCTCACTGCAACCTCTGCCTCCTGGGTTCAAGCGATTCTCCTGCCTCAGCCTTCTAAGTAGCTGGGATTACAGGTGCGTGCTACCACACCTGACAAATTTTTGTATTTTTAGTAGAGACGGGGTTTCACTATGTTGGTCAGGTTGGTCTCGAACTCCTGACCTCGTGATCTGCCCGCATTGGCCTCCCAAAGTGCTGGGATTACAGGCATGAGCCACAACAGCCTGCCCATATTTTTATTTTTTTATAAGTGACAATGAGATGTCCTCATGATTTAAATAGTAGTCAAAACACTGGCACAGTTTAAATTTTTAGAATTTGAGTACTAGAATTACAATATTTGAAAATGGAGTCTGTACTTTGTTGTAAAACTATAAAGAGAAAATGTCACTAAAACAGTAGCTATTTTATCTTTTCCCAGAGTTATTCTCCCAGAGTGTATTTTCTAAGAGTTATTTCCCAGACGGTTTTAGAACTTTTGGCAGTTTCGGTGATATATTCTATAAAAGCCCTTAGTCTTAATAGGAATAACACATAGTTTTGATTGCCTTAAATTTTAATTGCTTCACTTGGCAAATTTATGTGTAAATTTCATATTCTGTGGTATTTTAATATCTTGCTTGTGGAGAAGAGGAAAAAGAGGAATGAAAGTAATATTCAGTCCTTGCATTGAGCTTTTCCCAAAGAAGTCCAAACAATTTCTAAAATGCCTTTCAATAAGGCCATTTTAGAAGTGTTTATATGACTCTTATAACTTTAAAATAAAGAGTCTTGAAGTTAATTAAAACTCACTTTGCTTATGATGGGTTCTACATTAACATGGCAGATTTAATCAGCCAGAATTAAAAGGTAATTCTGTATTACTAAGGAGAAGAAACTGCCACATGACAGTAGTCTCCAAATCTTTCATTTTTGGAGGCTGCCTTTTATGCCTAGATTTTAAAACACTAATTGAAAAAAATATAGTTTACTTCCATTTGTGATTTAATTTTATTTCTATAAATAAATATATAGATAGTGTTTCATCTAAAAACTGCTAAACCAGACTTTCATTTTAAGGGCATGGCAGAAATAAGGAAAGACTAACTTGGTTCTATTACTTAACATATTATTTATTCAGGTAGTCACCAAAACCAGAATTTAAAATCTATTCAGTTAACCCATTTAAAGTTGATGTGTTTTACTCCTTTTTTTGGTAGTGATCTTTTTAACTGAATTACTGGACATCATGGGGAGTTCTACTCCTCCTATTTGGAAACTTAGGCTATCTTACCAAGTTCAATATTCAAAGTTTTTCTTTCTGCCATTAAGTTTGTTTAATTTTATATTAAGCTCAGTTTGTATTATGATATCAAATTCAGCCTGAGGGATTACTTAAACTTTCCTAAGGTATTTACAGATTTAATTTGTTCTTACAGTATGTAAATACCAAGAGAGCATTCCATTTAATATTATTTTTATTAAATTAACTTTGGAGTAAAAAGTCCAAGAAAAGCCCTGTACTGAAATCACATGTTTACTAAATCCTGGATTTTCTGTACAGTCCCTACATATTTCTACTTTAAAATTCTTCTGTCATGTGAAATAATTCATTAAAAGAAGCAGGCAGATGATGACAGGTAAACTTTTTAATGATGTTCTAATGTTGACAATTGCAGTTTTATTTTGCTTGGATCATAATGGCGTGTAAGCATTTTAGGCCCCAGAATGCCCATAAGTAGAGCTCCATTTGGAGCTGTGATCGAGATGGCTAAAAATGCTACTGACATCACATCCTTCGCATATGGTTCCAAGTGGGGTGCAGAGACTCTTGCTGTTTCTAGAGCCAGAGGACCTAACACAGCCTACATTTAGGGGTAAAAATGGGGGATAAAGAAAAATATTAAACTGAGTTAATATATAATGTAAATGGCTCTGTTAAAATAAACAAGATCTAGTACTAGACTATTAGAAAAAAAAAGTACTCAGTAATTATCATAAGTTACTCATCAGTTCCATGTTCTTCCTAGCAAATATATGTGGAGGAAGAGTACAATAGTGACAAATCAACATGCAAACATTTTTGGGCTGATTTTGCACTCTTGTCCTCTCAGTGTTCCTCTATTCAAATATCTCTTTTGAGTGTTGCCCTCATAACACCAGGAGTTCTAACGAAACCAGTTTTGCTTAGTTGCCTTTATCGTGTACCAGTAGTTTTTGACTACAAGAAGACAAAATAAAATATTAAGTTTTCTTATGGTTCTCTAGGATTTGTTGCCCTTCTTCTCATTGTTCTCCTTATTCAGGGGGCACTGGGTTATAGCAGAACTGACAGCAGGCTTGGAATCTAGCAAACTGGGTTTGAATTCTATTTTTGCTGCAACCAGGCTAGTGACCTTGTACAAATGACTCACACTCTCTAAACTTCTACTTACTTACGTGTAAAACGAAGAACAAAATACTTATCTTACTGGACGGTTGTGAAAATTAAATATGAGAATGTGAAGAATACCTGGCACAGATTAGGTATTCAGATAGTAGTAAGTTTCTTTCTCCTTCACTCCTCATCCCCTGCCAGGTCAGAGAATGAGTTCCTTGAAGTTTTTGTTTTAGAATGACTACTGGGTCACAAGATTTTTCCCTAGTTACCTTCTACCACATTATTTTTAATAACATAAAGCAAATTTCTTGTAAGTCTCTTTCCTTGTGTTTAATAACAAGGCATGAAATTGCCTTAAAATTTGGGGGAATTAAATACCAATATATAACATATTTTCTATGGAGTTGCAAAGTAACAACATAATGGTAGAAACATTACCTCTGATATGGAACATTATGGCAAAAGAACCCCTCAATTTAAGATCAATTTCTACATCCTAAATCAATAATTTAAAATGGTATTATTTTTATATCATAACTTTTAATGTACTGAACATGATCCATTGTGCTGGAGGATGCTAGGGAGAAAAAAAAATCATGCAGGAAACCACCTTGAAAGAATCTCACAGTTTAGAAGAGGATTTGAACATAAAAGAACTGCCAACAGAAAAAACAAAAACAAAAACCAAACCCACTGACTTTTAAGAGATGATGACGATAATGGTGAAACTAGAAATAATATTTTTATAGTTTTATGGCATTCATCATATGTCAGGTATCATTCTTAAAGCTTTCCATTTATCAATTCATTTAATCCTTATGACAACCTTATTATGTGAGGACTTTTATTAGATGATAAATGATTTCCTCCTAGTGACTGAGATTTAATACTCTTTCTTTAAAAACATCCAATTGCCAAGCTGATCTCACATTTGTAAACTAAATTATTTATTTACTCTCCTAATAGCTTCTATTTTTCCAGTCTAACTTTTATCAGTAACTCGAAACTAAAGAACAAGAGAAAGCTGAACCTTAGCCAATTTTATTTTAGCAGCAGAGAATGGCGGAAGAGGATAAAGGTGAAAATAATTTAAAATTGAAATTTAAATATTTGTTGATCGTATTTACTTGTGACATTATTGTTATCTATTATTGTTGTTGTGACTCTACTTGTATAAATAATTAATTTTTTATGTCTTGCCAGTTCCTGGGACCGGCTTGATATTCTTTGTGTAGAAGCCAGCCTGGAGCCAGCAGACAGGAATAGGCAGAAGCAGAATAATACTGCAGGACTAGAGTGAGTGGTCTCTTTCCTCATACCTGCTTTTCTTTTTTCCCTGCTTTATGAAAATTATGAAATAATGAAATAAAATTGCAAGAGTATTGTTGGAAGGAGAGAGAACAGATACTCCTTTTGTAGATTTATTATTCCCTACAGTAGACATTAAAAATAAAAAGTTATTATTTATATTACTTGAAGGTAAGATAAAATAACAACATTGTTTGTTAACTGAGCACCACCATATGCCAGAGAGAGTGCTAAGCACTTTACGTGGATTATCTCATTGAATCCTGACAACACTGCTAAGAAACAGATACATTCATAGACTTCATTGCAAGATGAGAACACTGAAGGACTGAGAGACTAGAAAATAATTTTCCTGAGGTTATAGGCAAGTAACATGGTATTCAAAACAGGTAGTCTGGCCCTATGAGCCTGCTTTTCTAACAACTAAGAAAGAGCCACAGGAAATTAAGGTATATTATGCTGCCAAGTTAAACAGTCTAACAAGAAGTAGCAATATATTTTAGTAGGAGGAGAATCTCCTTGAATAACAGGGCAAAATTACAAGGTTTCCCTTTCTGTTCATTCATCCTTGCAGGCATGCAATACGTATTTGTCTCCTGCATGTCAGGCACTGTGTTAAGTGCCAGGGAGAAATAATGAAAAACAACTGCAACAACTAGACACTGTCCCTGTCCTTACGTAGTTTATCAAGGGGGCAGGGGCAGGGATTTAGCCATTAACCAAATAGTATACAAATAAATGTGTAATTAAAAAAATATATGCACATTTGTGTGATGGAGTGAGTGGCAAGGTAGGAAAAGTATTTTTTAAAAAATCAATGTGTCTCTATTCTACTTTACTTTTTTTTGTGACAGGGTCTCACTTTGTCACCCAAGCTGCAGTGAAGTGGCATGACCTCAGCTCACTGCAGCCCCAAACTCCCGAGTTCAAGCAATCCTCCTGCCTCAGCCCCCAAGTAGCTGTGACTACAGGTGTGTGCCACCACACCTGACTAATTTTTTTGTATTTTTTGTAGAGACAGGGGTTTTACCATGTTTCCCAGGCTGCTCTTGAACTCCTGAGGTCAAGTGATCTGCCTGCCTCAGCCTCCTGAAGTGCTAGGATTACAGGCATGAGCCTCCATGCCTGGCCTTTGTCTCTACTTTTTAAAATCATAACATTTAGCTTTGTTATATTAAGCAAAATATAAAAACTCCAATTTTCAGATATATTCTTATTATATATTTTAGGAAAAAAACATATTTTCATAAACTTAGAAAGTACTTATTGAAAGAATACTTTTTGATTTCAAAATAATTGCTTTTAAAACTGAGATTTCAAAAGGTTACGTTGGCTGTGCCCAGTGGGTTATGCCTGTAATCCCAGAACTTTAGGAGGCTAAGGCAGGAAGATCACTTGAACCTAGGAGTTCAAGATCAGCCTGGGCAACATAGCAAGACCTCCTCTTTACAAAAAAATCAGAAAGAAAAGGCCAGGCACAGTGGCTCATGCCTGTAATCCCAGCACTTTGGGAGGCTGAGGCAGGCAGATCACTTGAGGTCAGGAGTTTGAGACTAGCCTGGCCAACATGGTGAGACCCCATATCTCCTAAAAATACAAAAATTAGCTAGGTGTGGTGGTGTGCACCTGTAATCCCAGCTACTGAGGAGGCTGAGGCAGGAGAATCGCTTGAACCTGGGAGGTGGAGGTTACATTGAGCTGAGATCATGCCACTGCACTCCAGCCTGGGCAACAGAGTAAGACTGTCTCAAAAAAAAAAAAAAAAAAAAAAACTGAAAAAAAGCAGTTGGGTGTGGTGGCAGGTGACTGTGATCCTAGCTACTCAGGTTTATGTGAGAGGATTGTTTCAGCCCAGGTGGTTAAGGCTGCAGTGAGCCGTGATCATGCCACTGCACTCCAGTTTGGGTGACAGAGTGAGACCTGGTCTCAAAATGAAAATAAAAATGAAAATAGAAAAATGTTACATTGTTTCTTTGTTTGTTTTTATTTATTTATTTATTTTTTTTTTGAGATTGAGTCTTGCTCTGTCACCCAGACTGGAGTACAGTGGTGCCATCCCAGCTTACTGCAACCTCCACCTCCTAGGTTCAAGCAATTCTCCCATCTCAGCCTCCTGAGTAGCTGGGACTGGTTACGTTAATTTTAATGAATAGTTATGATCAATCAAACATTTAAAAAGTAAGGATAATAGCTCATATTTTGTGATTGGAGTAACATTTTTCATTTTAAATTTTAAAAGCATCAAAACGAAAGCATTAAGCAATAGGCTTAATATGTTCTTACCTGTACTGTAGCTTTGGGCATCCATGCTAAAGCAATAAATATTTTCTCCTTAAAACTAAAACCAGCAAAGCACATCAATAGATATGTGGTTAAAATTCGAACACATAATGCCAAACTCAGAGTGGCAACAGATATGCTTACAGCAGATGAAAACATAAATAACAAAATATTTGTGAAGAAGTGTTCTTTATGCCCAGGAATATGATTTTTAAAACTTTTGAAAGCATTTTAAGGCTACTGTCTCTTCATGTGTTTAATTTTTACATAAAACAATCATAATAAAAAATGAATATGATGGAGGATTCTCTGTAAAGTGCAAGACAGTATCTGATGGTGGAGATACCATGAAAAATAAGACACATGACATTTATACAATTCTGAACTAATAGACTTTTTTTGAATACTTTTATTATTATTAATAATAGTTTACTTTTTGAGAAGGATTCTTGCTCTGTCGCCCAGGCTGGAGTGCAGTGGTACAATCTCAGCTCACTGCAACTTCCGACTCCCGGGTTCACGTGATTCTCCTGCCTCAGCCTCCTGAGTAGCTGGGGTTACAGGCACGCACTACCACACCTGGCTAATTTTTGTATTTCTAGGAGAGATGGGTTTCCCCATGTTAGCCAGGCAGGTCTTGAACTCCTAACTTCAAGAAATCTGCCCGCTTCGGCCTCCCAAAGTGCTAAAATTACAGGCATGAGCCACAACACCCAGCCAATAGTTTTAATGAAAGTACTCAAACAGTGCTGATCGTATCAAATACGTTCCCTCAGGAAAGAAATCTTATATTTATTTCCTTAGATAACTCAGGGAAGATATTCAGGGCTGTCCTTGGTTTAAAAAAAAAGAGCACACAGTGTAAAGGAAGAGCAATATGAAAATATGACACTGTATCAACATGTGTTTCTGAAGAAGGTCCTTGTAGCCATTCAAAGATATATTGTAAATAAAAATAAATGTATTTATAATTTTCTTAAATATTTTTGAATTTCATATTTTTTGTGCTCTAATTATTCTTACCAACAATATTTGATTCAAGCGATGAAACAGATACTTCTGCTCCAACTAAACCAAAAAGAAGTGGTTGAAAAATATCCCATACATTTGTAATAATCTTTTGGACTTTCATCTATAGAAAAGAGAAATACATTTATAATTATTTTGGCACATAAATATATTTCAGAAAGTTAAAGTCTCCCTCACCTTTTTTTTTCACTTTTTAAGTATTTTAGAGATGGGGTCTTGCTCTGTTGCCCAGGCTGGGGTGTAGTGGCATAATCTTAGCTCACTGTAGCCTTGAACTCCTGGGCTCAAGTGATCCTCTCGCAGTCTCCCAAGTAGAACGACAGGTGTGTACCACCATGGTGGGCTAATTTTTAAATTGTTTATAGAGATGGGGTCTCGCTATATTGCCCAGGATGGTCTAGAACTCCTGTCTTCAAGTGGTCTCTGGCTGTGGCCTCCCAAAGCACTGGCATTATAGACATGAGCCACCATGCCTGGCCTAAAGTCACTTAACATTTAATAAATTTAAGACACTTTATTTTAATAAAAATATTAAACTTAATAAAAACTGAGCACTTCAATAGTTTTACTCAAACACTTAGGTAGAATTTGATTAAAAGAAACTCACAAAGCAATAAAATAATACTATTTGGCCATTTTGTCACAGAATAAGTGATGTCTTTAGGGTTCTAGCCATGTTTCATATGAGTTCCAGATTTTGTCTCTAAGTTAACTGAATAGAGATAGAACTACATCATGCCTGATGAGAACATACCCAGTTCATGCAAACATTTGGGTTCTCAGAAGGGGGTTGGGAAGCCTTCCACTAACAACCATCCTGGAACTCAATGCCATTAAAGTGAATCCTGATATATATAGCATATACTACTAGGAAAAACAATTTGGAAGTCTGCTAGGCCTGCTTCCAAAGAACCCATGTTGAATACTTTAAAGTTACTTTTTCCTTAAAACAAAACCAAAACATATATTAGATTCTCATTTAGCTGCCTACCCAGCTTCCCCTTCTGGAAACGAATGCCTCCCAGTGCTACTTCCCCAATTAAAAGGTTACAGGAAAGGCCCCTATTGGCCTACATTACTCTGGCTCTTCTCCAGGAATTTGGATGAAGAGATTTCAGTCTCAGTCTGGGTTTAATTTTTTTCTTTAAACAGAAGATACATAAGTACTTTGATGTCTCTTCCTTGAGGCAAAAACTATCTTCACAACTATTTCCCTTATGACTGTGTTTTCTGATCCCCACTTTTTATAGTTTAAAAAAAGAAAAACAAAGAAAAAAGATGTTACCACTCTTTACAGCATAATTATCCTGTTCGTTACTTTAAATCTTTAAAACTTGTTTTGGTTCTGTTTCTTTTACCATTTAAAAAAATTCTAGCAGTTTCAATTTTATTTATTGATTTGCATTTCATTCATTTCATTTCTTTTATAATTATGATTATACAAGAATACTAAGCAAAATGCCACTATGATTTTTGATTAGGGAACTTCTCAAGTTGATTCTAAAATTTATCTAAGGAAGAATATGTGTAGGAGCAGCCAAAAAATACTTTAAAAAGAAGTATAATCTATATTAGATTTTGACACATAAAACTGCAGTGATTTAAAACAGAGGTGTTGGCATAGAAATAGAGAAGTAGGATTAAACAGACCACAATTAATATATATGGGAGAATTTAGTTCATGTTAAAAAACTGAATTATTAATGAATTGGTCAATAAATAAACAATTTGGCAAAAAATGACTGTCTAGTTTATGTGCATATATCTGTATGTACATATTCATCACATGCAATTATATATGTGTGTCTGAATATATATATATGTGTGTGTGTATATATATATACATATATATATATACACACACACATCAGCCATGATGTAGTTCTATCTCTGTTCAGTTAACTTACAAACTGTATATGTGTGTGTGTATATATACATAGTTTGTAAGATACACATATATATATATATATAACCTTACCTCACAGCATTCACAAAGATAAATTCCAGATAGATTAAAAGCCTAAATGAAAAAACAAATTAAACAAAAACTACCAAAATATTAAATGATAATACACAAAATAGTATATCTTTGTAATGTTTATATGTTATAATCTTCAGTGAGAAAGTCCTTCTTAAATGAGATGCAGAATCCAAAACCAAAAAAGGAAAACCCAATAGGTTTGGTCATAGGAAATTTTACTTTCATACACCAGACACCGTAAACAAAGTTGAAGATAAGCAAAAATTATATGCAATATATACATAACAAAGGATCAGTAGCCCTAACACTAAGAGAAACTATAAATTAGAAACAAGAAATAAATAACCCAATAAAAATGGTCAAAGAAGATCATAGGTATTTTAAAAAGAATATATGAAGAGAAGCTTACTATACTACTAATCGGAGAAATGTAAATAAAGAATAACAACATCACATAATTGTAAGAAACTATAAGAATTGGATGATGAGGTCATTTAATAGTAAAAAGAATAGAACTAGTGATAATATCAAGTGCTGTTGATGAGTTAAGGTATTAGATATTTTTGTGCACTGTTGGCAGAGTGTAAATAACCAAAATTTTTGAAGGGATAATTTAGCAGTGTCCATCAAAATAAAACACAGATCATTTCCAGCGAGGTGTGGTAGCTCATGCTTGTAATCCTAGCACTTTGCAATGTCAATTTGGGAGCATCCCTTGAGCTCAGGATTTTGAGACCAGCCTGGGCAACATAGACAGAGACTCTGTCTCAAAAAAAAAATCATTTCTAGAACTCTATTCCTACAGATGTACCTGTAATCCCAAAACTTTGGGAGGCCGAGGCAGGAGTATCACCTGAGGTCAGGAGTTCAAGACCTGCCTGGCCAAAATGGTGAAACCCCGTCTCTACTAAAAATACAAAAATTTGCTGGGCATGGTGGTGCGTGCCTGTAATCCCAGCTACTAGGGAGGCTGAAATAGAAAAATCACTTGAATCCAGGAGGTGGAGGTTGCAGTGAGCCAAGATTATGCTACTGAACTCCAGCCTGGGTGACAAGAGTGAAACTGTGTCTCAAAAAAAAAAAAAAAAAAAGACATGAACAACACTGTTTATGACAGCACTGTTTGTAAATAACAAAAAGTGGAAACTATCTTAATGTCTATAAATAGGACACTGGTTACTTAAAAAAATGTAAGGCGGTTAGATATTTGACAGTGGTGGGGAATAAAGAAATCTTTTACATTTTTTCTATGTTTTATTATTTTACAAGCATTTCTCTTTTTATTATTTATTTGTTTGTTTATTATTATTTTTTGTGTGTGTGATGGAGTTTTGCACTTGTTGCCCAGGCTGGAGTGCAATGGCATGATCTCGGCTCACTGCAGCCTCCACCTCCTGGGTTCAAGCAATTCTCCTGCCTCAGCCTCCTCAGTAGCTGGAATTACAGGTGCCCACCACCAAGCCACCATGCCCAGCTAATTTTTGTATTTTTAGTAGAGATGGGGTTTCACCATGTTGGCCACGCTGGTCTCAAACTCCTGACCCCAGGTGATCTGTCCACCTCAACCTCCCAAATTTCTGGGATTACAGGCATGAGCCACCGTGCCTGGCCTTTTACAAACATTCTTCATGGATTAATTGCATAATTAAAATTTCAATGAATAAAATAATTAAATTGATATAAGTAATATAATAATATTATATAAAACTTGGGAAAAAGAGAAGCCTGATGTGATTAACTCAACTTCTGATTCCATATTAGTATATTTCCAGCTGCTTTTATTAAATATTTTATTTCCTCGATTGATTCGTACTCTTTCTTGAGGATAGAAAACCTTTTGGAATATTTTCCAACCAGAATGAGGGGATTTCCTAAATATATGTAAAAAATTCGGTTGTCTTAGCTTTTAAAATATAGCATATTAAAAATATTCACCTTTTCTTGGGACCATTTTGTCCCTGCAATGAAACTCAACACTAATGTGCATAATCCTCCAGATCCATGTAAACCAATACGTTGGCTGCCTAAGACAGCAGAAACACACGTAGTCAAAACAAGGAATCCTCTCTTCAATGTAAGTTTTTTCTAGAATTAGATAGATATTTAGAAATTAGTTTATATTAAATATATAATACAAGATTTGACATTATCTATTACATATGTTTGACCCTTTGATATTATGTCTTTAAATGTTATATTAAATGTCTAAAATTTTGATTTTCTTTCTCACCATACATTTTAGCAGACTTACTACCAAGTAACAAAATTTCCAATTAGTAACGTTTCTTCTTCTGCCACATCTCTGATACTAGTATCAGTAAAATAGTTAAAGTATTACTTTAAGTGAAGAAGAAAAGAGACCCATAAAATCTCCAGTTTCATATAACATGTCCAATGAATTCTTAAAAAATATTTGAATATCTCTTTGGTCAATATGTTACAGCTAAATTTGGATGGAAATTACAGAAATACAAAAGTAATGGCATGTTTTCCTTTAAGGCAGGAAATGGCTAAGTTTGAGTGTTGCCTTTGTCAAAGGATAGCAGGAGTGAATTTCAGTCAGAAAATATGCAGAAATGAATGGGAACCTATCTCCCCCTAAAATGTTTAAGGGAAAATTTGGGGAAAATTATCAAACATCAATAGGCAATTTAGTAGAGAAAGGGAAAGTATAATTCAGAGGGATACTCTGCATTAAGTATAGTTTTTGACATTCCTTATTTGCAAAATCAGGAAGCAGAGACTTTAATCAAAGCCATTGACCTGTATCAATCACCGCTGTGCTCAGTTTTAAATACAGAGTAGGCATTGGAGGCTAGTTTTAGAAAAATAGAGTTAAGTATTAAATTTCATGGATCTTACCAAAGTTTAATATTTTGAAAAAAATGTCTAATACTATACTTCTATAAAATAGATTTTGTATTTAACTGGTCTTCACTTGGAAAATATCAAACAAAAAATCCCAAAACAATTCCTGCCAGCCGACTAATACATACGTTCCTTATAGAGGCTATGGCGTTATTAAGCTTACCACCTGTAGGGGCACACAATAAAGAAAAATTCACAAAGAAATATTTTCACATACACTACACATCAGAAAAGCAAATCTAGGTGGCTCATGAAGAAAAGTAAGCATTTTATAGAACAAATATATGCAAATGGTCTTTTTATAGTGACATGTATGAAAACACGTAGATCTATTTAGTACATTAAATATATACTCTCAAATAATTTAATATATACACACAACTCAGAAATGTCCATTATATAAATAGGCCAGAAAACAAAGACTTAACAAGCACAAGATGCTCCCCTTACATAGCCAATTTAAAAGACAGAGTGGGGTAGTCCAGGCGCAGTGGCTCATGTCTGTAATCCCAGCACTTTGGGAGGTTGAGGAGGGTGGATTACTTGAGGTCAGGAGTTCAAGACCAGCATGGCCAACATAATGAAGCCCCATCCCTAATAAAAATACAAAAATTTTGTGGGCATGGTGGCACACAACTGTAGT
This sequence comes from Homo sapiens, assembly GCF_000001405.40. Lineage (NCBI taxonomy): Eukaryota > Metazoa > Chordata > Mammalia > Primates > Hominidae > Homo > Homo sapiens. The sequence goes on from NC_000010.11 coordinate 38,651,811, forward strand.
CCCAGGTACTCAGGAGGCTGAGGGAGGAGAATCACTTGAACCTGGGAGGCAGAGGTTGCAGTGAGCTGAGATCATGCCACCACACTCCAGCCTGGGTGAAAGATGGAGGCTACACCTCCAAAAGAAAAAAAAAGACCAAGTGAGGTACAAGAATGGAGAGAGACCAAAACACTTGTGGCACTTAGCATATGGCTGGTAAGGGCTATATTAACAATTCTTCTTTGATGTACTATATGAAAAAGAAACAAATGATTTTAACATGAAAAGAACAATGTAATAACAACATAAAAAATTTTGTTCCAGGGTCAGTCCCAGAAACATTCAAGGGTCATTTAAGATTTCAGTGTATTTAAGTTTCTGCTTTTGGTGAAGAAAAAAGGAAAAAAAAATACAAAAGATTCCAGTATATTTTATATTAATTAATATTAATATATCCATACTTGTAGTTCATTGTAATAAGTAAAAAGCAAAAAATAAAAAAAAACAGAATGAGTCACAAAAATAGTTCAGTTAAGCTCTGGGTAGTGGATTCAATATAGTACATAAGTATATTTTTAGATATATTTTCTACTAAATATAACAGGCAGCGCATGGTGGGCTCACACCTTTAATCCTAGCACTTTGGGAGGCCAAGGCAGAAGGATTGCTTGAGCCCAAGATTTGAGAGTAACTTGGGCAACAGAGTGAAACCCCATCTTCACAAGAAAATAAGAAATTAGCCGGGTATGTGTTGTGTACCTATAGTCCAAGTACTCAGTAGCCTGAGAGAGGAGGTCCCTTGAGCTCAGGAGTTCCAGGCTGCACTCTAGCCTGGCTGACAGAGCAAGATCCTGTCTCAAGGAAATAAAATATAATAAAAATAAAAAATAATATAAACAGAGTGATGTCAGCCAGATGGTGGAATGGCTCCAAACCTTGATTCTCCATAAAGATAGCAACTGAAAAACAATATATGGTCTAAAAGCCTTTATGGAGTTCCATAAACCATTAAGAAGTTGTAGTAGCACAGACAAGTGCAAAATCAAGAATAGTGGCATTGAACAAATAAGAAAAGCTGTTGCATTATACTCATGATACCCCTTCCCCAAGCTCGAACAGGTTGGTTTGGCTGGGAAGCACTCAACTTGCAGCTTCTCCGTTAGCAGGGAAAGAGAAGACTGGAACGGAATAGTTTTATGAGGTTACCTGAAGCTCTCTCTCTCTCTCTAACTTGACGCCCAACTGGCATACTTTGGATGCATGGGAACCACTGGGAATAAAGGAGAGGTCAGAGATGATGCAGCACCAGGGAACCTGCAGTACCACAGACAGATACCAGAGGGAACAACAGCTCCAGAAAAAGAAACTGGCAAACCTCTACTTGGGATGTTGCAATGTATAAACCCAAAGAAGATGCATTCCCAGAAAAAGTTTGAGAGGCTGCTGGAACCTATAGCCATGCTGATTCAGGTATGAAGGTCTTCCGTATGAAGCCAGCTGATAAAAACTGGGAGAAGTGGCAGTTTTTTCAAACACCCAAATCTTGGCAAAAATAAATAAAAAATAAAAAATAACAAGACATAAGAAGAAACAGAGAAACCTGATGACTAAATTAAAGGAGCAAAATAAATCTCCAGAAACCAACCCTAAAGAAATAGATAAATGAGTTACCTGACAAAGAATCCAAATTAACTCTCTTAATGAAGCCCAGTGACAACAGAAATAGACAACTAAGTGAAAGCAGGAAATAATTCATGAATAAAATGAATATATTAATGGAGATAGAAACTAAAAAAAAAAGGAACCATACAGAAACTCTGGAGCTAAGGAATACAGTAGCTCAATTGAAAAATTCCCTATCGGAAATCACCAATAGACTGTGTAACTGCCCAATGGGTTCACCTCGTGCCCTGCTTAGACAGAGCTGATTTATCAAGATAGGGGAATTGCAATGGAGAAAGAGTAATTCAGGCAGAGCTGGCTGTGCGGGAGATCAGAGTTTTATTATTACTCAAATCAGTCTCCCTGAGCATTCGGGGTTCAGAACTTTTAAAGATAATTTGGCATGTAGGGACTTGGGAAGTGGGGACTGCTTATTCATCAGGTTGGAGATGAAATCATACAGGGTTGAAGAGATGTTTTCTTGCTGTCTTCTGTTTGTGGCTGGGGTGGCAGAACTAGTTGAGCCATATTACCAGTCTGGGTGGTGTCAGCTGATTCATCCAGTGCAGGGTCTGCAAAATATCTCAAGCACTGATTTTAGGTTTTACAATAGTGATGTTATCCCCAGGAGCAATTTGGAGAGGTTCAGACTCTTGGAGCCAGAGGCTGCATAACCCCTCAACTGTAATTTCTGATGTTATAGCTAATTTGTTTATCCTGCAAAGGCAGACTGGTTCCAGGCAAGAAGGGGATCTTTTTGGGAAATGGCTATTATCAACTTTGTTTCAGAGTCAAACCATGAACTGAATACCTTCCCGAAATTAGTTCATCCTACTGCCGGGAATGAACAAGGACAGTTTAAATGCTAGAAGCAAGATGGAGTTGATTAAGTCTGATGTCTTTTGCTGTCATAATTTCTTCAGTTATAATTTTTGCAAAGGCAGTTTCAATAACATCAAGCAGAAGAAAGAATCAGTGAAACGGAAGACTAGTCATTTGAAATTATGGAGTCAGAGGAGCAAAAGGGAAAAGGAGTGAAGAGTGAAGACAGCCTAAGAGACTTACAGGATGCCATCAAGCAGACCAATGTATGCATTATGAAAGTGCCAGAAGGAGAAGAGAAAAATAAAGGGGCAGAGAGCCAGTTAAAAAAATAATAACCAAAAACTTCTCAAACTTAAAGAAGGAAATGGACATACAAATCCAAGAGGCTCAAAGAACTCCAAGTTGGATAATTTGCAAAAGACCTACAATGAGACACATTACAATCAAACTGTCAAAAGTTAAAGACAAAGAGAGAATTTTGAAAGGAACAGGATCAAAGCAACTTGTCACATACAAGGGAGATGCTATATGGTTATCAATGGAATTATCAGCAAAAACTCTACAGGTCAGAAGAGAATGGGATGATATATTAAAAGGGCTGAAAGAAAAAAAAAACTGTCAACCAAGAACTGTATAGCCAGTAAAACTCTACTTCAAAAATGAAGGACAAACAAAGAGTTCCCCAGAGAAGTAAAAGGTGAGGGAGTTGATCACCACTAGACCTACCTTACAAAAAATGTTAAAGGGAGTCCTCCAAGTGGAAATGAAAAGGCATTGGATAGAAATACAAAAGCATACAAAATATAAACTTCTTTGGTAAAGGTAAATATATGAGTGAACATAGAATCCTTTAATACTCTAATGGTGGTAAGCAAAACACTTTTTGTCCTTTACTTTTTTTTTTTTTTTTGAGACGAAGTCTTGCTCTGTTGCCCAGGCTGGAGTGCAGTGGTTTGATCATGGCTCACTGCAGCCTTGCAGTCCTGGGCTAAAGCAATCCTCCCACCTCAGCCTCCCGAGTGGCTGGGACTACAGACATGCACCACCACACTCAGATAATATTTTTAAATTTTTAGCAGAGATAAGGCCTTGCTGGTCTCAAACTCCTAGGCTCAAGTGATCCTCCCATTTTGGCCTCTCAAAGTGCTGGGACTACAGGTGTGAGACACCACACCCAGCCTGTAATTCACTTTTAATTGAAGCTTAGAATTTAAAAGGTAAAAGCATAATATTACTGTATTAAATTATGTGAATAAACAATATAAGATATATATTGTGTGACATTGATAACAAGTGAGAAGGAGGTGTAAAGAAGTAGAGTTTTTGTATGTGATTAAAGTTAAGTTGTTGTCAATTTAAAATAGATTATTATAACTATAAGATGTTTTCATGTAATTCTACAGTAACCACAAAGAAAAGACCTACAGAAGATACAAAAATAAAAATGAGAAAGGAACCAAAGCACGTCCCTACCAAAAAAAGAAATCAGTGAAACATAAAGGGAGGCAGAAAGAGAGGAAAAGTGGAAAAAATACCTGGAAGACATGTATAAAACAATGAACAAAATGACAATAGTAAGCCCCTCCCTATCAGTAACTACTTTAAATGCAAATAGGCTAATTTTCCAATCAAAAGACAGAGAATTGGCTGAATGGATTAAAAAATCTAAATATATACTATATGCAAGAGACTTATGTTAGATCTAAACACACACAAAGGTTGAAAGTGAAAGGATGGAAAAAGATATTCAATGCATTTGGTAACCAAAAGAGAACAAGGATGGCCATACTTAGACAAAATAGAGTTTAAGTCAAATAATAGCACAAGAGACAAGGATATTACATAATAATAAAAGGGCCAATTGACCAAGAAGATATAGCAAATATAAATGTATGTGCAACTAACAGTACAGCATCTAAATATATGAAGCTAACATAGACAGAATTGAGGGGTAACATAGATAACAACATCATAATAACAGAAAACTTCAATATTCCACTTTCAATTATGGATACAATAACCAGACAGAAGATCAACTGGAAAACACAGAACTTGAACAACATTGTAGACCAATTGGACCTGTCTGACATATACAGAACACTTCACCCAATAATAGCAAAATATACTTTCTTCTCAAGTACATATCAAGACGTTTCCAGGATAGATGGCATGCTGGTCCACAAGCAAGTTTTTAAAACTTTAAGAAAACTGAACTCATACCAAATATCTTTTCTGACCACATTAAATGAAATTACAAATTCATAGCAGAAGGAAAAAGGAAAAGTAATAAATATGTGGAAATTACAAAAATATACTCTCTTAACCAATTGGCCTGTGTGGTTAATATTAATTGTCAGTTTGATTGAGGGATGCTTAGATGCCTGATGAAGCACTGTGTGTGTGTATATCTGTGAGGGTGCGGCCACAGGAGAATGATGGATGAGTTACTGGACTGAGAGAGAAAAACCCATCCTCACTGTGGGTAGGCATCATGCAATTGGTTACAAGTGTGACTAGAACAAAAAGGCAGAAGAATGGGAACATTCAGCTTGCTTGGATTTCTTTTTTATGCACTTTCTCTCTCTTCCAGAGCAGTATGCCTTTTTCTCCTCTTGCCCTTGCACATCAAACTCTAGGTTCTTTGGCCTTTGGACCCTGGGACTTGCATCAGCAGCCTTTTGGGAGCTCTCAAGCCTTGGGCCTCAGACTAGTGGCTGCACTGTCAGCTTCCCTGGTTTTGAGACTTTCAGATTTGGACTGAGCCATGTCACTGGCTTCCTTGGGAGCCATGCTGTAGGCTTCTCTCATTTTCCAGCTTATAGATGGCCTACTGTGGGACTTTGCCTTTGTAATTATGTGGGCCAATTCTCCTTAATAAATTATATTTCATATATATGTAAATATATTCTCTTTTAGATGCATGTATATGTATCTATATCTATATCTATTATCTATATCTATATCTATATCTATATTTCCTATTGGATCTGACCCTCTGGAGAACTCTGATTAATACATAGTCAAAGAATAAGTCACAAGGAAAGTTAGAAAATGTCTTGAGACAAATAAAAATGGAAACACAACATTCCAAAGCTTGTGGGATGCAGCAAAATGAATATGAAGAGGACAGTTTATATATCTAACTACCTACCTTAAAAAAGAAGAAAGATCTAAAATCAGTAACTTAGCTTTACACCTCAAGAAACTGGAAAAAGAAGAACTCAACCCAATGTTAGCAAAAGTAAGGAAATAATAAAGTCTAGAGCAGAAGGCCGGGAGCAGTGGCTCACGACTGTAATCCCAGCACTTTGGGAGGCCAAGGCAAGTGGATCACCTGAGGTCGGGAGTTCGAGACCAGCCTCAGCAACAGGGAGAAACGTGTCTCTACTGAAAAATACAAAATTAGCCAGGCATGGTGGTGCATGCCTGTAATCCCAGCTACTCTGGAGGCTGAGGCAGGAGAGTCACTTGAACTGGGAAGCGGAGGTTGCAGCTAGCGGAGATCACGCCATTGCACTACAGCCTGGGCAATAAGAGCAAAACTCCATCTCAAAAAAAAAAAAAAAAAAAAAAAGGCTAGAGAATAGAAAAAATCCAGTGAAACTAGTAGTTGTTTCAAAGTTCAACAAAATTGACAAATCATTAGCTAGAATATTTAAGAAAAAAAAGAAGACTCAACTTCTTTTAGGAACAAAAGAGAAGACACTGCAACAGATATTACAGAAATAAAAAGGATTCTAAGAGTCTACTATGAATGATTATATACTGACAAGTTGGATAACCTAGGAGAAATGAAGAGATTCCTTGTAACATGCAAGTTACCAAGACTAAGTCACAAAATAAAAAATCTTAATAAACCTATAACTAGTAACTGAATCAGGAATCAAAAACCTCCCAGCAAACCAAATACCTGACAAGGGGTTAATATCTAAAATATATACAGAACAACAACTCAATAACAAAACAACCTAAATGAGAAATGGTCAGTTGACTTTGCTATGGTCCAAGTGTTCTCCCAATATTCATATGCTGGAGCCTAATATTCAATGTGATAATATTAAGAGGTGGGGCATTTTGGAGATGATTAGTTCATGAAGTCATAGCTCTCAGAAATGGGACTAGGGCCTTTATAAAAGAGGCTTAAGGGAGTTTTTTTTCCCTTTTGAACATGTGAGGACACAGAGAAGGTGCTATGTATAGTGAATATAGTGACCTCACCAGTCACTGAGTCTGTTGTAGCCTAAATCTTGGACTTCTCACACTCCAGAATGCAAGAAATAAATTTTTGTTGTTTATAAATTACCAGCCTAAGATATTTTGTTATAGCAGCAGGAATGGACTAAGATAGACTTGAATCGACATTTTTTCCAAAAAAAATACAAGTGGCCAACTAGCATATCAACCCAAAACTACATGGAAACTGCCAAGGCTTGGGGATTGAACTCTGAAGCAATAACCTGAGCTGTACATTGGCTCCTTTTAGCCATGGCTGGGACACAGGGCACCAAGTCCCAAGACTGCACAGAGCAGCAAAGTTCTGGGCCTGGCCCACAAAACCATTTTTTCCCTCCTAGGCCTCCAACCCTGTCACGGGAGGGGCTGTTGTGAACAACTCTGACATGCCCTGGAGACAATTTCCCCATTATCTTGTCAATTATCATTTGGCTCCTTGTTACTTCTGCAAATTTCTGCAGTCAGCTTGAATTTCTCCCCAGAAAATGGGTTTTCTTTTCTATCACATCATCAGGCTGCAAATCTTCCAAACTTTCATGCTCTGCTCCCTTTTAAACATAAGTTCTAATTCCAAACCATATTTTTGTGAATGCATAAAACTGAACACTTTTAAGAGCACTCAGGTCATAAATTGAACACTTTGCTGCTTACAAATTTCTTCTACCAGATGTCTTGGATGGGTTCCAAGATAGCCAAATAGGAACAGTTCCGGTCTGCAGCTCCCAGCATGATTGACACAGAAGACAGGTGATTTCTGCACTTCCAACTGAGGTACCTGGTTCATCTCATTGGGACTTGTTGGAGAGTGGGTGCAGGCCCACGGAGGGTGAGCTGAAGCAGGGTGGGGCATCGCCTCCCCGGGAAAGCACAAGGGGTTGGGGGATTTCCCTTTCCTAGCCAAGGGAAGCTGTGACAGACTACCTGGAAAAACAGGGCACTCCCGCCCAAATACTGCACTTTTCCCAAGGTCTTAGCAACTAGCAGACAAGGTGATTCTCTCCTGTGCCTGGCTCAGTAAGTCCCACACCCATGGAGCCTTGCTCACTGCTAGCGCAACAGTCTGAAATCCATCTGCAAGGTGGCAGCCTGGCTGCGGGAGGGGGGTCCACCATTGCTGAGGCTTAAGTAGGTAAACAAAGTGGCCAGGGAAGCTTGAACTCGGTGGAGCCCACTACAGCTCAACAAGGCCCATAGCCTCTAGACTCCACGTCTGTGGGCAGGGATAGCTGAACAAAAGGCAGCAACTTCTGCAGACTGAAACGTCCCTGTCTGACAGCTCTGAAGAGAGCAGTGGTTTTCCCAGCATGGTGTTTGAGTTCTGAGAATGGACAGACTGCCTCCTCAAGTGGGTCCCTGACCCCTGTGTAGCCTAACTGGGACACACCTCCCAGTAGGGGCTGACAGACACCTCATATAGGCGGCTGCCTCTCTTGGACGAAGCTTCCAGAGGAAGGATCAGGCAGAAATATTTGCTGTTCTGCAATATTTGCTGTTCTGCAGCCTCCACTGGTGGTACCCAGGCAAACAGTGTCTGGAGTGGAACTCCAGCAAACTCCAACAGATCTGCAGCTGAGGGTCCTGACAGTTAGAAGGAAAACTAAAAAACAGAAAGGAATAGTGTCAACATTAACAAAAGATCATCTAACCCAAAACCCCATCTGTAGATCAACAATATCAAAGACCAAAGGTAGATAAAACCAAAAGGATGGGGATAAACCAGAGCAGAAAAGCTGAAAATTCTAAAAATCAGAGCACCTCTTCTCCTCCAAAGGATCACAGCTCCTTGTCAGCAATGGAACAAAGCTGGACAGAGAATGACTTTGACGAGTTGACAGAAGTAGGCTTCAGAAGGTTGGTAATAAGAAACTTCTCCGAGCTAAAGGAGGACGTTGGAACCCATTGCAAGGAAGCTAAAAACCTTGAAAAAAGATTAGACGAAAGGCTTACAAGAATAAACAGTGTAGAGAAGACCTTAAGTGACCCAATGGAGCTGAAAACCATGGCATGAGAACTTTGTGACGCATGCACAAGCTTCAATAGCCGATTCAATCAAGTGGAAGAAAGGGTATCAGTGATTGAAGATCAAATAAATGAAATAAAGTGAGAAGACAAGGTTGAGAAACAAGAGTAAAAAGAAATGAAGAAAGCCTCCAAGAAATATGAGACCATGTAAAAAGACCAAATCTACATTTGATTGGTGTACCGGAAAGTGATGAGGAGAATGGAACCAAGTTGGAAAACACTCTGTAGGATATTATCCAGGAGAACTTCCCCAATCTAGCAAGGCAGGCCAACATTCAACTTCAGGAAATACAGAGAACAACACAAAGATACTCTTTGAGAAGAGCAATTCCAAGACACATAATTGTCAGATTCACCAAGGTTGAAGTGTAGGAAAAAGTGTTAAGGGCAGCCAGAGAGAAAGGTCAGGTTAGCCACAAAGAGAAGCCCATCAGACTAACAGCTGATCTCTTGGCAGAAACCCTACAATCCAGAAGAGAGTGGGGGCCAATATTCAACATTCTTAAAGAAAATAATTTTCAAACCAGAGTTTCATATCCAGCCAAACTAAGCGTCATAAGTGAAGGAGAAAATAAAATTCTTTACTGACAAGCAAATGCTGAGAGATTTTGTCACCACCAGGCCTGCCTTACAAGAGCTCCTGAAGGAAGCACTAAACATGGAAAGAAACACCCGGTACCAGCCAGTGCAAAAACATGCCAAGTTGTAAAGAACATCAATGCTAGGAAGAAACTACATCAATTAACGGGCAAATAACCAGCGAATATCATAATGACAGGATCAAATTCACACATAACAATATTAACTGTAAACATAAATGGGCTAAATGCCCCAATTAAAGGACACAGACTGGCAAATTGGATAAAGAGTCAAGACCCATCAGTGTGCTGTATTCAGGAGACCAATCTCATGCGCAAATTCACACATAGGTTCAACATAAAGGGATGGAGGAAGATCTACCAAGAAAATGGAAAACAAAAAAAGGCAGGGGTTGCAATCCTTGTCTCTGATAAAACAGACTTTAAACCAACAAAGATCAAAAGAGACAAAGAAGGCCATTACATAATGGTAAAGGGATCAATGCAACAAGAAGAGCTAACTATCCTAAATATATATGCACCTAATACAAGAGCACCCAGATTCATAAAGCAAGTCCTTAGAGACCTACAAAGAGACTTAGATTCCCACACAATAATAATGGGAGACTTTAACACCCAACTGTCAATATTAGAAAGATCAACAAGGCAGAAGGTTAACAAAGATATCCAGGACCTGAACTCAGCTCTGCAACAAACAGACCCAATAGACATCCACAGAACTCTCCACCCCAAATCAACAGAGTGTACATTCTTCTCAGCACCACATCTCACTTATTCTAAATTTGACCACATAATTGGAAGTAAAGCACTCCTCACCAAATGTAAAAGAACAGAAATCACAACAGACTGTCTCTCAGACCACAGTGCGATCAAATTCGAACTTAGGATTAAGAAGCTCACTCAAAACTGAACAACTACATGGAAACTGAACAATTTGCTCCTGAATGACTACTGGGTAAATAACAAAATGAAGGCAGAAATAAAGATGTTCTTTGAAACCAATGAGAACAAAGACACAATGTACCAGAATCTCTGGGACACATTTAAAGCAGTGTGTAGGGGGAAATTGATAGCACTAAATGCCCAGAAGAGAAAGCAGGAAAGATCTAAAATTGACCCCCTAACATCACAATTAAAAGTACTAGAGAAGAAAAAGCAAACACATTCAAAAGCTGGCAGAAGGAAAAAATAAGATCAGAGCAGAGCTGAAGGAGACAGAGACACAAAAAACCCTTCAAAAAAGCAATGAATCCAGGAGCTTGTTTTTTGAAAAGATCAACAAAATTGATAGACTGCTAGCAAGACTAATAAAGAGAAAAGAGAGAGGAATCAAATAGATGCAATAAAATGATAAAGGGGATATCACCACTGAGCCCAGGGAAATAAAAACTACCATCAGAGAATACTATAAACGCCTATACACAAATAAACTTGAACATCTGGAAGAAATGGATAAATTCTGGGACACATACACCCTTGCAAGACTAAACCAGGAAGAAGTTGAATCTCTGAATAGACCAATAACAGGCTCTGAAATTGAGGCAATAATTAATAGCCCACCAACCAAAAAAAAGTCCAGGACCAGATGCATTCACAGCTGAGTTCTACCAGAGGTACAAAGAGGAGCTGGTATCATTCTTTCTGAAACTTTTCCAATCAATAGAAAAAGATAGAATCCTCCCTAATTCATTTTATGAGACCAACATCATCCTGATACCAAAGCCTGACAGACACAACAACAAAAAAAGAGAATTTTAGACCAATATCCCGGATGAACATTGATGCAAATATCCTCAATAAGATACTAACAAACTGAATCCAGCAGCACATCAAAAAGCTTATCCACCACGATCAACTTGGCATCCCTAGGATGCAAGACTGGTTCAACATACGCAAATCAATAAGCGTAATACATCATATAAACAGAACCAAAGACAAAAACCACATGATTATCTTAATAGATGCAGAAAAGACCTTTGACAAAATTCAACAGCCCTTCATGCTAAGAACTCTCAATAAACTAGGTATTGATGGGATGTATCTCAAAATAATAAGAGCTATTTATGACAAAAACACAGCCAATATCATATTGAATGGACAATAACTGGAAGCATTCCCTTTGAAACCTGGCACAAGACAACGATTCCCTCTCTCACCACTCCTATTCAACATAGTCTTGGAAGTTCTGGCCAGGTCAATCAGGCAAGAGAATGAAATAAAGGGTATTCAATTAGGAAAAGAGGAAGTCAAATTGTTCCTGTCTGAAGATGACATGACTGTATATTCACAAAACCCCATCATCTCAGCCCAATATCTCCTTAAGCTGATAAGCAACTTCAGCAAACTCTCAGGATACAAAATCAATGTGCAAAAATCACAAGCATTCCTATACACCAATAACACAAAAACGGAGAGCCAAATCATGAGTGAACTCCCATTCACAATTGCTTCAAAGAGAATAAAATACCTTGGAATCCAACTTACAAGGGATGTGAAGGGCCTCTTCAAGGAGAACTACAAACCACTGCTCAACAAAATAAAAGAGGACACAAACAAATGGAAGAACATTCCATGCTCATGGATAGGAAGAATCAATATCGTGAAAATGGCCATACAGACAAAGATAATTTATAGATTCAATGCCGTCCCAATCAAGCTACCAATGACTTTCTTCACAGAATTGGAAAAAACAACTTTAAAGTTCATATGGAACCAAAAAAGAACCTGCATTGCCAAGTCAATCCTAAGCAAAAAGAACAAAGCAGGAGGAATCACACTACCTGACTTCAAACTACACTACAAGGCTACAGTAACCAAAACAGCATGGTACTAGTGCCAAAACAGAGATACAGACCAATGGAACAGAATAGAGCCCTCGGAAATAATACCACACATCTACAACCATCTGATCTTTGACAAACCTGACATAAACAAGAAATGGGGAAAGGATTCCCTATTTAATAAATGGTGCTGGGAGAACTGGCTAGCCATATGTGGAAAGCTGAAACTGGATCCCTTCCTTACACCTTATATAAAATTTAATTCAAGATGGATTAAATACTTAAATGTTAGACCTAAAACCATAAAAACCCTAGAAGAATACCTAGGCAATACCATTCAGGACATAGGCATGGGCAAGGAATTCATGACTAAAACACCAATAGCAATGGCAACAAAAGCCAACATTGACAAATCAGATCTAATTAAATTCAAGAGCTTCTGCATAGCAAAAGAAACTACCATCAGAGTGAACAGACAACCTACAGAATGGGAGAAAATTTTTACAATCTACCCATCTGACAAAGGGCTAATATCCAGAATCTACAAAGAACTTAAACAAATTTATATGAAAAAATCAAACTACCCCATCAAAAAGTGGGCAAAGGGTATGAACAGACACTTCTCAAAAGAAGACATCTATGCAGCCAACAGACACATGGAAAAATGCTCATCACCACTGGCCATCAGAGAAATGCAAATCAAAACCACAATGAGATACCATCTCACACCAATTAGAATGGCGATCATTAAAAAGTCAGGAAGCAACATGTGCTGGAGAGGATATGGAGAAATAGGAACACTTTTACAGTGTTGGTTGGAGTGTAAACTAGTTCAATCATTGTAGAAGACAGTGTGGCAATTCCTCAAGGATCTAGAACTAGAAATACCATTTCACCCAGCCATCCCATTACTGGGCATATACCCAAAGGATTGTGAATCATGCTGCTATAAAGACACATGCACACGTATGTTTATTGCGGCACTATTCACAATAGCAAAGACTTGGAACCTACCTAAATGTCCATCAATGATAGACTGGATTAAGAAAATGTGGCACATATACACCATGGAATACTATGCAGCCATAAGAAGGATGAGTTCATGTCCTTTGTAAGGACACGGATGAAGCTAGAAACCATCATTCTGAGAAAACTATCGCAAGGACAGAAAACTAAACACCACATGTTCTCACTCATAGGTGGGAATTGAACAATGAGAACACTTGGACACAGGGTGGGGTACATCACACACTGGGGCCTGTCATGGAGTGGGGGGAGGGGGAATAGCATTAGGAGATATATCTAATGTAAATGATGAGTTAATGGGTGCAGCACACCAACATGACACATGTATACATATGTAACAAACCAGCACATTGTGCACATGTACCCTAGAACTTAAAGTATAATAATAGAAAAACTATGACACTCTCCTACTTACCATATCTGTAGAAAAATTATAAATTTTAGATAACCATCCAGAGATATTTCTCTAATTCTTGGAAAAAATATCAACATTGAAAACATCAAAAAAAATTAAACAGCTCTTTTTTCATCCAAAAAAAAAGAACAATAGAGAATCCTCCCTAAGTCATTTTATGAGGCCAACATCATCCTGGTACCAAACCCTGGCATTGACACAACAAAAAAAGAGAATTTTAGACCAATATCCTTGATGAACATCGATGCAAAAATCCTCAATAAAATACTGGCAAACCAAATCCAGCAGCACATCAAAAAGCTTATCCACCACGATCAAGTGGGCTTCATCCCTGGGATGCAAGGCTGGTTCAACATAGGCAAATCAATAAACGTAATCCATTACATAAACAGAACCAAAGACAAAAACCACATGATTATCTCAATAGATGCAGAAAAGGCCTTTGACAAAATTCAACACTCCTTCATGCTAACAACTCTCAATAAACTAGATATTGATGGGACGTATCTCAAAATATTAAGAGCTATTTATGACAAACCCACAGCCAATATCATACTGAATGGGCAAAAACTGGAAGCATTCCTTTTGAAAACCGGCACAAGACAAGGATGCCCTCTCTCACCACTCTTATTCAACATGGTGTTGGAAGTTCTGACCAGTGGAATCAGGCAGGAGAAAGAAATAAATGGTATTCAGTTAGGAAAAGATGAAGTCAAATTGTCCCTGTTTGCAGATGACGTGATTGTATATTTAGAAAACCCCACCGTCTCAGCCCAAAATCTCCTTAAGCTGATAAGCAAATTCAGCAAACTCTCAGGATACAAAATTAATGTACAAAAATCACAAGCATTCCTATACACCATTAATAGACAAACAGAGAGCCAAATCATGAGTGAACTCCCATTCACAATTGCTACAAAGAGAATAAAATACCTAGGAATCCAACTTACAAGGGTTGTGAAGGACCTCTTCAAGGAGAACTACAAACCACTGCTCAACGAATTAAAAGAGGACACAAACAAATGGAAGAATATTCCACGCTCATGGATAGGAAGAATCAATATCCTGAAAATGGCCATACTGCACAAAGTAATTTATAGATTCAATACCATCCCCATCAAGCTACTAATAACTTTCTTCACAGAATTGGAAAAAAACTACTTTAAAGTTCATATGGAACCAAAAAAGAGCCTGCATTGCCAAGACAATCCTAAGCAAAAAGAACAAAGCTGGAGGCATCACACTACCTGACTTCAAACTACACTACAAGGCTACAGTAACCAAAACAGCATGGTACTAGTGCCAAAACAGAGATACAGACCAATGGAACAGAATAGAGCCCTCGGAAATAAGACCACACATCTACAGCCATCTGATCTTTGACAAACCTGACAAAAACAAGAAATGGGGAAAGGATTACCTATTTAATAAATGACGCTGGGAAAACTGGCTAGCTATATGTAGAAAGCTGAAACTGGATCCCTTCCTTACATCTTATACAAAAATTAATTCAAGATGGATTAAAGACTTAAATGTTAGACCTAAAACCATAAAAACCCTAGAAGAAAACATAGGCAATACCATTCAGGCCATAGGCATGAGCAAGGACTTCATGACTAAAACACCAAAAGCAATGGCAACAAAAGCCAAAATTGACAAATGGGATCTAATTAAACTAAAGAGCTTCTGCATGGCAAAAGAAACTGCCATCAGAGTGAACCAGGCAACATACAGAATGGGAGATAAATTGCAATCTACCCATTTGACAAAGAAAGAATTCAAACAAATTTACAAGAAAAAAACAACCCCATCAAAAAGTGGGCAAAGATATGAATAGACACTTCTCCAAAGAAGACATCTATGCAGCTAACAGACACAAGAAAAAAAGCTCACCATCACTGGTCATCAGAGAAATGCAAATCAAAACCACAATGAGATACCATCTCACCCCAGTTAGAATGGTATTCATTAAAAAGTCAGGAAACAACAGGTGCTGGAGAGGATATGGAGAAATAGGAACGCTTTTACACTGTTGGTGGGAGTGTAAACTAGTTCAACCATTGTGAAAGACATTGTGGTGATTCCTCGAGGATCTAGAACTAGAATTACCATTTGACCCAGCAATCCTATTACTGGGTATATACCCAAAGGATTATAAATCATGCTACTATAAAGACACATGCACATGTATGTTTATTGCGGCACTATTAACAATAGCAAAGACTTGGAATCAACCCAAATGTCCATTAATGATGGACTGGATTAAGACATGTGACACATATACACCATGGAATACTATGCAGCCATAAAAAAGGATGAGTTCATGTCCTTTGCAGGGAGATAGAAGAAGCTGGAAACCATCATTCTCAGCAAAACTATCACAAGGACAGAAAACCAAACACCGCATGTTCTCACTCATAGATGGGAATTGAACAATGAGATCACTTGGACACAGGGCTGAGAACATCACACACTGGGGCTTGTTGAGGGGTGGAGGGCTGGGGGAGGGAGAGCATTAGGAGAAATACCTAATGTAAATGATGAGTTGATGGGTGCAGCAAACCAACATGGCACATGTATACCTATGTATCAAACCTGCACGTTGTGCACATGTACCCTAGAACTTAAGGTATAACAACAACAACAACAACAACAAACGTTTCTTCTACCAGATGTCCTCAGTCATCTCTCTCAATTTCAAAGTTCCATAAATCTGTAGGGCAGGGGCAAAATGCCACCAGTCTCTTTGCTAAAGCATAACAAGAGTGACCTTTACTTCAGTTCCCAACAAGTTGTTCATCTCCATCTCGGACCTCCTCAGCCTGGACTTCACTGTCCACGTCACTATCAGCAGTTTGGTCAAAACCATTCAACAAGTCTCTAGGCAGTTACAAACTTTCCCACATCTTCTGGTCTACTTCTGAGTCCTGCCAACTGTTCCAAACTCTGCACATTACACAGTTCCAAAGTCACTTCCACATTCTCAGGTATCTTATAGCAATACTCCATTACCTCAGTATCAAAATCTGTATTAGTCATGGTTCTCTAGAGGGATAGAACTAATAGGATATATATATATATATGAAAGGGAGTTTATTAGGGAGAATTGAATCACACCATCACAATCGAAGTCCTACAACAGGCTGTCTGCAAGTTGAGGAACAAGGAATCTAGTATTGGCTCAGTCCGAGTCCCAACACCTCAAAAGTAGGGAAACCTACAGGCCAGCTTTGAGTCTCTGGATGAAGGCCTGAGAGCCCCTGGAAAACAACTGGAGTAAGTCCAAGAGTCCAAAAGCCAAAGAACCTGGAGTCTGATATTTGAGTGCAGGAAGCATCCAGCATGGGAGAAAGATGAGGGCAGAAGGCTCAGCAAGTCAGCTTCTTCTAACCTTCTTCTGCCTGCTTTATTCTAGCCATGCTGGCAGCTGATTGTATGGTGCCCACCCACACTGAGGGTGGATCTGCCTTTCCCAGTCCACTAAATAAATGTTAATCTCCTTTGGCAACACCCTCACAGACACAACCGGGAACAATACTTTGGATCCTTCAATCTAATCAAGTTGACACTTACTGAATATTAACCTTCACAATGTAATATTCATCCAATTTGTAACTTTTCTTTAATATACAAGCTCCTTGAGAACATGCACCATTTGATCTTGTCTCTCTGTTGTGTTGGGAGGCAGTGGAGAAGAGAAGAGTTAAATGTGTGGGTGTGGAGTGAAAGACTGTCAGATTTGCATCTTGGCTCCCCTACTTATTGGATCTCTGTCCTTGAGAAAATTACTTAACATTTTTCTCAGTTTCCTTACCTGTAAATGAGTGGTGACATATATGGAACTTAGAACAAGAGCCAAGCAAGTATTCAATAAAAGCTAATGTTGTTGCCTACTGTTTATTCTCAGTGTTTGGCATAGTAGCCGGCAAAAGGAAGAGGAATTTTTTTTTCTTTTTTTCAGACAGTCTCCCTCTGTCACCCAGGCTGGAGTGCAGTGGTGTGATCTTGGCTCACTGCAACCTCTGCCTCTTGGTTTCAAGCGATTCTTGTGCCTCAGCCCCCTGAGTAGCTGGGATTACAGGCCTGTGCCACCACACCCAGCTAACGTTTTGTATTTTTAGTAGAGATGGAGCTTTGCTATTTTGGCCAGGCTGGTCTTGAACTCATGTCCTCAAGTGATCCCCCCGCTTTGGCCTCCCAAAGTGTTGGGATTATAGGCATGAGCCATTGGGCCCAGCCTGGAAATATTTTTTTGAAACATGACTGATAACAATATTTTTTGAAAGAAAGACAGATACCAATCATGAAGGAAAACATTTTCACAATTGACAATAAAAAAACTTTAACTTCTGAATGGTAAAAAGAGTGAGAAAATTAAAAGCCAAATCACAAATTGAAAAAACTAAAGTATATAAAACAAAGGTTTTCATTCTCAATTTAATGCAGAATCTTGACAAATCAAAAAGAACAAAAGGTGAACCCACCAAAAGAAATAGGCAAAAAACTTTCAAGAAAAGCAATTTACAAAATGCCAATGACGAATAAACATGGATATTTAACAACACTAGTATTCAAAGTACTTCATTTATAGAGATCCCTCCTTCACCTATCAAATTAGCAAAGATGAAAAAGGCTAGTAATACCAAGTTTTGAAGAGAGGTGAGAGGAAATGACAAGTTTATGTACCCTGGTAGGATTTGATATTGTGGCAATATGTTTCAGAACACTCATAAATGTATATACCTTTTAGATCAACAATTACACTTTTAAGCTTAAGAAAATATGAAGATTAGGTACAAATATTTCCCTATATGTTCTTCTAAGTATTATTTTTTTAATTAAAAAAATTTTTTTGAGACAGAGTCTCGCTCTGTTGCCCAGGCTGGATAGCTCACTACAGCCTCCGCCTCCTGGGTTCAAGTGATTCTTCTGCTTCAGCCTCCTGAGTAGCTGGGATTACAGATGCCCACAACCGTGCCTGGCTAAGTTTTGTATTTTTAGTGGAGACGGGGTTTCACCATGTTCGTTGGCCAGGCTGGTCTTGAACTCCTGACCTCATGTGATCCACCCTTCTTGGCCTCCCAAAGTGCTGGGATTATATGTGTGAGCCACCATGCCCGGCCAATTTTTTAATTTAAAAAAATATTTTTATAGCAGCACAACTAAGTATTATTTTAATAGTAAATATTGGAGTTAACTTTAATTTTGAACAGGATAAGTAATCATGATGCAGCACATTGAATACTCTTTCATTAAGCTAAACAACTATTAAAAATGATATACAAATACATTTACTGAAAAGAAACATGTTTGTGATATACAGTTAAGTGTAAAACAATTCAGGTTATAAGAACATATTAGGCCGGGTGCGATGGCTCATGCCTGTAATCCCAGCACTTTGGGAGGCCAAGGCAGGAGGATCACGATGTCAGGAGATCAAGACCATCCTGGCTAACACGGTGAAACCCTGGCTCTACTAAAAATACAAAAAAAAATTAGCCAGGTGCGGTGGCGGGCGCCTGTAGTCCCAACTACTTGGGAGGTTGAGGCAGGAGAATGACATGAACCCAGGAGGCAGAGCATGCAGTGAGCCGAGATTGTGCCACTGCACTCCAACCTTGGTGACAGAGCAAGACTCCGCCTCAAAAAAAAAAATAAAAGAACATATTGGTCAATATTCACTAATTTTTATAAGAATATTTGACAGAGAGAGAGGGGTAACGGAAGGGAAGGGGGAGGGGAGGGGAAGGGAAGGGAAGGGAAGAAGGGAAAAAGGGAAGGGAAGGGAATATGGGTGGATTTATATCAAAAGGTTCAGAAGGAAATGATTCTTTTCTTCTGGATGTGACTATTGCAGATTTTTTTAACTTTTCCTCTTTTTCTTATTTATTTATATTTTCTTATTTTAAGAGAAACTATAAAACTATATATATTACTTTTCAACTTAAAAATAGTTTAGTGCTTCAATAATACAGAAGACTCAAACATTGCAGATAATTAAAGCATTACTAAATGTGGAAATGTTTAGTTTCACAATTTCTGTAGTGATATTCAAGACCAGATATCACCTTGGGAATCAGAACTGGTGCAGGATCTTGTCCTAACACTACCAAAAAGGCATATGGCTGTCCCAGCTCTGTATGTTTATATTGTCTTATAATAGAGCAACCAGTTGTTTATTAGGATGGCCAAAAAGGCACATTTCAAAAATGCCTATTAAAATATTAGTAGTACAAATAATACTGCTGCTTAATTTTTTCTAATGAGAACTGATAAAATTCAAAAGCAACATAAGCATATAAATAGTAATAATATGGTGTATCAAATTAATTGTCACATGATTATTAAAGTGAGATCATGTGTGTTAAGTAGTGGTATCTTAAGCCACTGAAATATCTTCCTTGGTCTGGAATGAGCTTTCTATGGAGATTAAAAAGATGTTAAATTGAACAGTCTTGGTTAATAAATGAAGAAGCAAAGCCAGAAACCCTGTTTAAAGAACTAACAAAAAAGGTCATGAATGATCTGGTGGTTGTTATATTTTCTTGTTTACCCGAGAAGAAGACTATGCTCAAGCATGTATTGAATCCAGTGATAGCCAGAATGTCATCCATACTGCTAGCAGCCATTAGTAGGTTGGAATGTCTTCCTCAACACCATATCCATTTTCTTGCAACACCATCATGTAAAGGACAACAACAACAGGAGAGACAGCACCTAAAACAAAACTGAGAGAATGAAAATTAATTTAAAAGCATCTTTTTAATCAAGTAGTGTTTATAAGTACAAGTAGTTTATAATAAATTTATAACAAACATTGTTTAGAAGAATTTCAAATTTGAGTGAATGCAATTTAATGGTGATAAAACTTTTCATGCATGGTTTAGTGTTAGCTAAAATTTTATACAGACGTGGTTTAAAATGTTGGCCTGAGCACAGGTTGCAGCCTTTCCCTCTATTCCTAAATCCTTTGAAATGAAGATGTAAAGGTAATAGAAAAATTCATAACCTAACAAGAAAGCAAAAGGTGAATCATCAATGGACAAGAAACTAAGCATATGCCAGAAAGATAAGAGACAGACAATTTAGGATTGAAAAAAGGAAACCATAAACCAAAATGTGTGTAAATAAGATTGCCTCAAAAGATACATGTGCTTCTAAAAGTGGTCCAAGCCCTGAAATGACAGGTGCTGGGAGCAGGAGAGACCTCTGGGGAAACCAAATAGTTGATTATTTGGAGTACCACTGTAAGAATGGTCAGACAAATCTACCTTCCACACATTTCCTACCTCTCGAGTAAATAAGTAAGTAAGGAAGGAAGGAACAGAGTTGTCTGCCCAAAAAAACAAGTGTGGCCACCTAAGTTACAAAGGCAAATGAGAACATTTCTGGAGTGGTTGATGACACCCATGAGGAATGGGGAGGCTCCTGCTCAGAATACCTTCTATTGGCATATCTTATCCAGAATTTCACCCCATCTCTTCTACATTTACTTTATAAAGCGTGAAGTATATCCTGTGTAGAAATGCCTTTGGTGCTCCTGCCAGAATCCATTTACCAGGTCAATGAACACATCTCCCAGTGCTTCTTGTTGGCTGCTATTACCTGCAGGTTTCTAGAACCCTTGTCCTGCTGACAAGCACCTACTTGGGAATACTAGGGAGGTTGTGCACCCCTCTATTTTCCCTCCAGACAGCATCTGCCAATGACGGACTGATGTGAGATTTGCTTCTGGCTGTACAACTCTATGGTGCAGTTTATGCTACAGATTTCCCTGTGGGCTCAAGAAGAGACTAGACTTCTCTAAGACCACATACTGGTCTAGTTCAGTGGTTCCTGAGCTCTGCTGCACATTGTAATCACTTGTTGTATTATTTTTCTCATTTTGCTTAACAAGTCATCCCCAAACATAGCAGCTTAAAACAACAAATATTTATTGTCTTATGACTTCTGTGGGTCAGGAATCTGGGCATGGCTTAGCTGTATGCCTTGACTTAAGATTTCCCATGAGGTAGGGTGGGGTGGAGAAGATCTGCTTCCAAGTTTACTCATGTAGCCATTGCAGGCTTCAGTTTTTTCCAACGGGGTTTTCTCCACAGGGCTGCCTCAGGACATGGCAGCTGGCTTCCCCAGGAATAAGTGATCAAAGAGAATTTAATCCACAACATCAATTACAAACACAAAGTGTCTAAGAACAAAACTGTGAAGACAGTCTATACTTTTATAAAAATTGTGAATCTAATAATATAGTAATTAAGATAATACCTGAATACTTAGAGAGACATTTCACAAGTGTGAACTAAAAAGCCCCAATTTTACCATCACCCAACACCACGCCTGGCTAGTTTTTGTGTTTTTAGTAGATACAGTGTTTCACCATTTTGGCCAGGCTGGTCTTGAACTCCTGACCTCAAGTGATATGCCTGCCTTGGCCTCCCAAACTGCTGGGATTATAGGTGTGAGCCACCACGCCTGGCCAAAGCCTCAATAATATAAAGATGTAATCTCTCCCCCAAATGAATTAATCAGAGATACACCAATCAAAATCTTTGCAGGGATTTTTACTGAGCTTGACAAGCTGATTATAAAATTCATTTGGAAGAATAAGATCTTAGAATGAAAGATCAAGTAAACTTAAGAAAACAAGATACTGTTTTTGTAAAGGTAAAATAGTTAAAACTGAATAATAGTGACATATAAATAGACAAAATAAATTGGAAGAAAAGAGAATACAAAGTGTGGAAACAAATCTATGGGATTTGTTACATCATACAATTTGTATTTTAAATCGGTGGGAGAAAGAAAGAAATCTTTCACAAACGGTGCTGAGATAACTATTTATGTGGAAAGGAATATAGATCGATCCTTAAACATAATAAATGTTAAAAGCTCAAAAGGAAAAGTAGTAATAAGAAAATGTAGTGGGCTAGGCATGATGGCTCACACCTGTAATCCCAGCACTTTGGGAGGCTGAGGTGGACAGATCAGGAATCTGAGACCAGCCTGGCCAACATGGTGAAACCAATAGCTGGGTGCAGTGGTGCATGCTTGTAGTCCCAGCTACTTGGGAGGTTGAGGCAGGAGAATGACTTGAACCTGGGAGGTGGAGGTTGCAGTAAGCTGAGGTCATGCCACTGCACTACAGCCTGGGTGACAGCAAGACTCTGAACAACAACAAAAAAAGATGTAGAATAATATATTTGTGATCATGAGGTAAAAAGGACCTTTTGAATGATACATACAAAGGCATTAGACATAAAAAGAGATTTTGATACATTCAATTATATTAAAGTAGTACTTCAAAAGTACTATAATAAAGTACTACTTCAAAAGCAATTCTGCTCTTTCTTCCCCTTTTACTCTTTTTCATTTTCAAAGTCAAGTGAACAGTGCTGTGTATTGGCAATTCTGTCTGTTGAAAATAACAAAATACACTTCTTAGAGTGAAAAAAAATCATCACAAACAAAATTAAATATCTACTGATATTTGCAATACATATAATTTACAAATGCATATAACAGATATAATTAATAAAGAAGATCAACTCAACAAAAAAATGGACAAAGGATATGAACAGGCTAGTTACAGATAAGGAAAAGCTGAAGGACAACACATATATAAAAGATATTCAAGCTTGTGAATAATCACAGAAATGCAAATTAAAATAACAAAAATATGCCATTTTTTCAATTATCAGACTGGAAAACATTATAAAATTTAATAATATCAAAGATTTGCAAGGATTTTCAAGAACATCAGGTAGGCTCATAAGCTATTGGTATTGGGGCAAATTAAAGTGGCCATACTGAAAGGATTTTGGCAGTATACATCAAACTAAAAATGCATGTAACCCAGGTAACTATTCTAGACAAACTTATATTTATGTAAAATGAGACAAATAAAATGCTATTTTTGTTATAACATTGTAAATAAAATCTGCTGTTGACATACAATGTAATCTTATACAATTAAAAGGAATAAACTACATATGTATCTATCTTGAGATGGATAAACTTCAAGACTATTGTTGAATGAAAAGAACAAATTGTAAAGTAAAATTTTCTTGGGTATGATTAAGTAAAAGTGCACAAAATAATACTCTTTTTTTCTCTGGGTTCACAAATACATTTGTTAGAAGTCCAGAACATTATTTTTAAAGATCTAGAATGATAACATAAAACTCATGAAGATGCTGCCACTCTGTCTCCAGCAGCACATGAGTGCTCCCCACAGCACCATTGCCCCGGCTGGCACGTGTAAGTATGCAGAACACCCCATCCCACTCCTGCCGGCACTGCACCCCTGCCAACACAAGCATACCTGCTCTGTGCTGCTGCTGCTGGCACATATGTGTGAGTGGGGACCTTGCTACAATCACTACAATGAAGCACTTTGGCTGACACACCCCATCAGAGTGTTGTTGCCAGTGGACTGGGAACACCTCAGTGCTTAACACTGAAGGGCCAGACAACAAAACTGTGGGTATGGTACCAGCCTTGCAAAGTTAGAGCATGCAGTTCAGGAGTGCTGAGCTGAGCCTTTGTCCCCTGAAATCTTCCAGAAATGAATCCATTTGACTGAAACTACCTTGTGCCACAGTCAAACCCTCAAGGGCATTAAAGAATATAAAAAAGGAAAAAACTCCATCCAAAGGACAGTGATTCAAAACATTAAAGGAACTTTAGCCCACACAGATGTGAAAGAACCAGTGCAAGAACTCTGGCAATGTAAAAAGCCAGAATGTCTTCCTGTCTTCAAGCAATCATACTAACTCTCCAACAATGGTTGTTAACCAGGATTAAATGACAGAATCTGGATAGAAACAAAGATCATTGAGATTCAGAAGAAAGTCAAAATCCAATCCAAATAATGTAAGGAATCCAATAAGATGACATAAGAGCTGAAAGATGAAATAGGCATTTTAAGAAAGAACCAAACTAAACTGATAGAGCTGAAAAATGCACCTCAAGAATTTCATAATACAATAACAAGTACTAACAGCAGAACGGACCAAGCTGAGGAAAGAATCTCAGATCTCAAAGACCACTTCTTTGAATCAACTCAGTCAGATGAAAATAAAGAACAAAAAAGAATGAACAAAACCTCTGAGAAATCTGAGATTATGTAAAGAGACCAAACATATGACTCAAGACATCACTCAAAGAAAGGGAGAAAGAACAAGCAAGTTGGAAAACGTATTTGAGGATACTGCCCAAAAAATTTCCCAAATCTTGCTAGAGAAGTCACCATTTGAATCCAGGAAATGCAGAGAATCCTGTGAGATACTATACAAGATGACCATCCTCAAGACAGAGAGTCATCAGATTCTCCAAGGTCAACATGAAATAAAAAAATATGAAAGACAGCTAAAGTGAAGGGTCAGGTCACATACAAAGGGAATCCCATCAAGCTAACAGTGGAACTATAAGATACTCTACAATCCAAAAGAAATTGGGGGCCTATATTCAACACTCTTTTTTTTTTTTCGAGACAGAGTCTCACTCTGTTGCCCAGGCTGGAGTGCACTGGTGCTATCTCGGCTCACTGCAACTTCCAATTCCCGGGTTCAAGCAATTCTTCTCCCTCAGCCTCCCAAGTAGCTGGGACTACAGGTGCGCACCACAACACCCGACAATTTTTTATAATTTTAGTAGAGACAGGATTTCACCATATTGGCCAGGGTGATCTCAAATTCTTGACCTTGTGATCTGCCCACCTTGGCCTCTCAAAGTTCTGGGATTACAGGTGTGAGCCACCATGCCCGGCCTTCAGCATTCTTAAAAAAAAAATACTTGGCCAGGTGTGGTGGCTCATGCCTGTAATCCCAGCACTTTGGGAGGCTGAGGGGGACGGAACACAAGGTCAAGAGATCAAGACCATCCTGGCCAACATGGTGAAACCTCATCTGTAATAAAAATACAAAAATTAGCTGGGCATGGTGGTGCGTGTCTGTAGTCCCAGCTACTCGGGAGGCTGAGGCAAGAGAATCACTTAACCCAGGAGGTGGAGGTTGCAGTGAGCCAAGATAGCACCACTGCACTCCAGCCTGGGGAGAGAGCAAGACTCTGTCGCAAAAAAAAAAAAAAAAAAAAAAAATCAACCAAGAACTTAATATCCAGCCAAACTAAACTTCATATGTGAAGGAGAAGTAAGGTCCTTTTCAGACAAACAAATGCTAACGGAATCTGTTACCACCAGACATGCCTTACAAGAGGTACTTAAGCGAGTGCTAAGCACGGAAGTGAAAGACTGTTAATGGCCACCAAAAAATACATTTAAGTACATAGACCATTGACGTGTAAAGTAACTACACAATCAAGTCTGCATAATAACCAGCTAACAACATAATGGCAGGACCAAAGCTATAAATACCAATATTAACTGTGAATGTAAACAGTATAAATGACCTGCTTAAAACTCACAGAATGGCAAGTTGGATAAAGAAGCAAAGCCCAACTGTATCTGTTGTCAAGAGATCCAGCTCATATGCAACAATACTCATTGGCTTGAAGTAAAGGGATGGAAAAAAATCTACCAAGCAAATGCAAAACAAAAAAGGGTAAGCATTGTTATTCTAATTCAGACAAAATAGACTTTAAACCAACAACAATCAAAAACACAAAGAAGGGCACTACGTAATGATAAAGGGTTCAATTCAACAAGAAGACTTACTGTCTGATAGATAAATGTGCTCAAAACTGGAGCATTCACATTCATAAAACAAGTTCATAGAGACCTATAGAGAGACTTAGATAACCACAGAATAATAGTGGGAGAATTCAACATCTCACTGACGGTACTAGACAGATCATAGAGACAGAAAATGAACAAAGATATTCAGGACTTGAAGTCAACACTTGGCTAAATGGACCTAACAGCCATCTACAGAACACTCCACCCAACAACAACAGAATATATCTTCCTCTCATCTGTACATGGCATATATTGTAAAATTGATCACACTATCAGTCTAAAATTATTTTCAATAAATTAAAAGAAACCCCAGAAATCATGCCAACCACACTCTTGGACTGCTCAGTGTAACAAAAATAGAAGTCAACACTAAGAAGAACTCTCAAAACCATACAATTACATGGAAATTAAACAACCTGTGCCTGAATGACTTTTGGGTAAACAATGAAATTAAGGCAGAAACCAATAAATTCTTTGAAACTAATTAAAACAAAGATACAACATTCTAGGCTCTCTAAGACACAGGCAAAGCAGTGTTGAGGGAAAAATTTATCGTGCTAAAGGCCCATATTGAAAAGTTAGAAAGATCTTAAATTAACAACCTAATATCATACCTAAAGGAAATAGAAAAACAAGAATAAACCAACCCAAAGCTAGCAGAAGAAAATAAATAACCAAAATCAGGGCAGAATGGAATGAAATTGAGTCATGAAAAGCCATACAAAAGATAAATGAAACTAAAAGCTGTTTCTTCGAAAGAATAAATAAATTTGATAGGTCACTAGCTAGACCAATAAGAAAAAAAAAAAAGAGAAGATACAAAAAACACAATCAGAAATGGTAAAGTGGACATTACCGCCAACCACACAAAAATACAAAAAACTCTCAGAGACTATGATGAACATATTTATGCAAACAAAGTAGAACACCTACAAGAAATGGGTAAATTTCTGGAAACATACAACCTCCCAAGATTGAACTAGGAAGAAATTGAAATCCTGAACAAACCAAAAATGAGTTCTGAAACTGAATGTGTAATAAAAAGTCTTTGAGCCAAAAAAAAAAAAAAAAGCAAGCCCAGGACCCAACAGATTCACAGACAAATTCTACCGGAAGTGTAAAGAAGAGCTGGTACCAATGCTACTGAAATTATTCCGAAAAAATGAGGAGGAAGGATCCCTCCCTAACTCATTTTATGAGGTCAGCATCATTCAGATATGAAAACCTGGCAGAGACACAACAAAAAAGAAAACTTCAGGACAGTTATCACTGATGATCATAGATGCAAAAATCCTCAATAAAATACAAGCAGACTGAATCCAGCAGCATATCAAAAAGCTAGTCCACTATGATCAAGTAAGCTTTATCCCTGGGATGCAAGTTTGGTTCAAGATATACAAACCAATAAATGTGATTCATCATAAAATAGAACTAAAAGTAAAAACATCCGTTCATGATATAAACCCTCAACAAATGAGTTACTGAAGGAGCATACCTCAAAATATTTATGACATTTATGACATTTATGACATTTATGACAAACCCACAGCCAACTTCATACTGAATGGGAAAAAGCTGGAATATTCCCTTTGAGAACTGGAACAAGACAAGGATGCCCACTCCCACTACTCCTATTCATCATAGTGCTGGATGTCCTAGCCAGTGCAATTAGGCAAGAGAAAGAAACACAGACACCTAAATAGGAAGAATGGAAGTCAAACTATGCCTCTTCATAGGTGAAACACTTTTATACCAAGAAAACCCCATAGTAGCCTATCGAGAGCTCTCAGATCTGACAAAAGACTTCAGCAAAGTTTCAGGATACAAAAATCAATGTACAAAAATCTGTAGCATTTCTATACACCAACAACATCCAAGCTGACAGCCAAATCAAGAATGCAATCCCATTCACAGTAGCCACAAAAAAACTACAAAATACCTTGGAATACAGCTAAGCAGGGAGGTGAAAAATCTCTAAAATGAAAATTACAAGCGAGTGCTCAAAGAATCAGAGACAACAGAAACAAAAGGAAAACATTCCATGATCACAGATAGGAAGAAGCAATATTGTTAAAATGGCCATACTGTCTAAGGCTATTTACAGAGTCAATGCTATTCCTATCATACCACCAATGACATTTTTCACAGGATTAAAAAAAAGCATTCTAAAATTCATTTGGAGCCAAAAAAAAGAAAAAAAAAAGCCCAAATAGCCAAAGCAATCCTAAGCAAAAAGAACAAAGTCGAAAGCGTCACACTACCTGACTTCGAACTGTACTACAATGCTGCAGTAAGCAAAACAGCACGTTTATGCTCAGGAAAAGAAATAATCAGCAGAGTAAAAAGACAACCTATAGAGTGGGAGAAAATCTTTACAAACTATGCATCCAGCAAAGTACTAATATCCAGAATCTATAAGGAACTCAAAAACAGACATAGACCAGTGGAACAGGTTACAGAATGCAGAAATAAAGCCGCACACCTATAGCCATCTACTCTTCAACAAACTTGACAAAAACAAGCAATGGGGAAGGGAATCCCTACTTGGAAATTGTGCTGGGATAACTGGCTAGCCGTATGCAGAAAATTGAAACTGGACTCCCTATGTTTCACCGTTTACAAAAATCAACTCAAGGTAGATTAAAGACTTAAATGTAAAACCCAAAACTATAAAAACCCTGGAAGATAGCCTAAGAAATACCATTCTGGATACAGGCCATTCTGGACATATCCTAGGAAATTTCAATTCTGGAAAACACTTTATGACAAAGATGCCAAAAGCAATTGCAACAAAACAAAAATTGACAAATGGGACCTAATTAAACTAAAGGGCTTCTGCACAGCAAAAGAAATCATCAACAAACAACCTATGGAATGGGAGGAAATATTTGCAAACCATGCATTCGACAAAAGTCTAATATCCAGAATCCAAAAAGAACTTAGAAAAATCAACAAGCAAAAATCTAACAACCCCATTAAATGGGCAAAGGACAGGACAAGACAATTCTCAAAAGAAGACAAACATGTAGTCAACAAGTATACGGAAAAATATTCAACATCACTAATCATTAGAGAAATGCAAAACAAAAGTGCAATGAGATACAACCTCACAGGAGGCAGAATGGCTATTATTAAAAAGTCAAAAAGTAATAGATGCTGGCGAGCTTGGGGAGCTACTCCCAGGTCTTTGGAAGGCTGAGGCATGAGAATTGCTTGAACCTGGGAGACAGAGGTTGCAGTGAGCTGAGATTGGGCCATTGCACTCTAGCCTGGGCAACACAGCAAGACTCCATCTCAAAAAAAAAATACAGAAAGAGAAAGAAAGAAAAACCCACAGCCAACATTATACTGAATGGGGAAAAGTTGAAAGCATTCCCCCGAGAACTGGAACAAAACAAGGTTGCCCACTTTCACCACTTCTATTCAACATAGTACTGGAAGTCCTAGCCAGAGCAATAAGAAAAGAGAAAGAAATAAAGGGCATCTAAATCAGTAAAGAGGAAGTCAAACTGTTGCTGTTCCTGATGATATGATCATATAATGAGAAAACCCTAAAGACTCATCCAAAAAGCTCCTAGATCTGATAAATGAATTCAGTAATGTTTCAGGATACAACATCAATGTACACAAATCAGCAGCACTGGTATACACCGACGGTGACTGAGCTGAGAATTAAATCAAGATCTCAATCCCTTTTACAACAGCTACAAAAAAACCAAAACAAACAAACAAACAAAACCAAAGAAAAAACCCCAAGCAAACTAACTTAGGAATATACCTAACCAAGGAGGTGAAAGAGCTCTACAGTGAAAACTACAAAACACTGCAGAAAGAAATCATAGATGACACCAAACAAATAGAAACACATCACATGCTCATGGATAGGTAGAATCAATATTGTGAAAATGACCATACTGCCAAAAGCAATCTACGTCATCATTCTTCCCTGAACTAGAAAAAGCAATCCTAAAATTCATGTGGAACCCAAAAATAGCCCGCATAACGAAAGCAAGACTAAGCAAAAACAACAAATGTGGATGCATCACATTTCTTGACTTCAAGCTATACTATAAGGCTATAGTCACCAAAGCAGCATAATACTGGTATAAAAATAGGCACACAGACTAATGGAACTGAATAGAGAACCGAGAAATAAAGCCAAATACTTAAGCCAACTGATCTTTAACAAAGGAAACAAAAACATAAAGTTGGGAAAGGACACCGTATTCAACAAATGGTGCTGGGATAATTGGCAAGCCATATGTAGAAGAATGAAACTGCATCCTCATCTCTCACCTTATACAAAAATCAACTCAAGATGGATCAAAGACTTAAATCTAACACCTAAAACTATAAAAATTCTAGAAGGTAACATTGGAAATACCCTTCTAGACATTTGCTTAGGCAAAGACTTCATGACCAAGAACCCAAAAGCAAAGGCAACAAAAACAAAGATAAATAGATGGGACTTAATTAAACTAAGAAGCTTCTACACAGCAAAAGACATAATCAGCAGAGTAAAAAGACAACCTATAGGGTGGGAGAAAATCTTTACAAAACTATGCATCCAACAAAGTACTAATATCCAGAATCTATAAGGAACTCACACAAATCAGCAAGAAAAAATCAAATTATCCTATCAAAAAGTGTGCTAAGGACATGAATAGACACTTCCCAAAAGAAGATATAAATGGCCAAGAAACATGAAAAAATCCTCAATATCACTAATTATCAGGGAAATGCAAACAAAACCACAATGCGATACCATCTCACTCCTCCAAGAATAGCCATAATCAAAAAATTAAAAAAAATAGATGTTGCCATGGGTGTGGTAAAAAGGGAACACTTTTACACTGCTGGGGGGAATGTAAACTAGTACAACCACTATGGAAAAGAGTATGAAGATTTCTTAAATAATTAAAAGTAGATCTACCATTTGATCTAGCAATCCCACTACTGGGTATCTACCCAGAGGAAAAGAAGTCATTATATGAAAAAAACACTTGCACATACGTTTATTGCAGCACAATTTGCAATTGTGAAGGATATGGAACTAGCTCAAATGCCCATCAATCAAAGAATGCATAGAGAAAATGTGGTGTATATATATATATGTGTATATGCACACATATATGTGTATATATGTATATATATATATATGTATGTGTGTATATATATACACACACAGACCATGGACGGAATACTACTCAGCTATAAAAAGGAATGAAATAATGGCATTCACAGCAGCCTGGAAGGAGTCGGACACCATTATTCTAAGTGAAGTAATTCAGGAATGAAAAAACCAAACATTGTATGTTCTGACTTATAAGTGAGAGTTATGCTATGAGGATGCAAAAGCATAAGAATGATACAATGGACTTTGGGGACTTAGGGGGAAGAGTAGGAGGAGGGTGAGGGATAAAAGACTACACCTTGGGTGCAGTGTACACTGCTCTGGTGATGGGTGCACCAAAATCTCAGAAATTGCCACTAAAAATATTTTCCATGTAAACAAACACCACCTGTTCCTTAAAAACTAATGAAAAAAATAAAAAAGACATGAGATCAACCTAAATGCCCATCAATGGTGAACTGGATAAAGAAAACGTGGCACATATACACCATAGAATAATACACAGCCATAAGAAAGAACGAGATCATGTCCTTTGGAGCAACGTGGATGGAGTTGCGGCCATTATGCAAAGTGAATTAATGCAGGAACAGGAAACCAAATATCCCATATTCTCACTTATAAGTGGGAGCTAAACACTGAGTACACATGGACAGAAAGAAGGGAACAATCGTCACTAGGTGAATTTGAGGGTGGAGGGTGGAAGGAGGGGGAGAATAGAAAAACTACCTATTGGGTATTATACTTACAACCTGGGTGACAAAGTAATCTGCATACCAAACCCCTGTGACATGCAATTTATCCATATAACAAGCCTGCTGATGTACCCCTTGAGCCAAAATAAAAATTGGAAAAGAAAAAAACTCCTAAGAGTTGTCACTTTGGGTGGAGTTATGGGCATTATGATTTGAAGGCATAGTTTAAGGTCATTCCTCCTTTATTTATAAAGTTCTAATTTTTAAAATAAAAGTACATTTGAGTATTTTATTATAAACATTAATTTAAAAATTCACTGGATTTTGTAGTAACTATGTAATGGATGAACTTTGCTATGAGTGTCATTGGAATGGATAAGCAGAGACAAAATTTGCTGAATTAAGAAATGAAAAGGAGTTAGGATCTAGAGACAGTAGTTAGAGACTTATTTTGAGGAATTCAAACATAAGACAAATGGATGGTAGATAAAGATGGATGGGGCATTGGATATACGGCAAGAGTTTTTGTTTGCTTGCTTTCTTTAAAATGGGAGAGTTTATATTTATACACCTATGTCTATATAAAATGTTTTTCAAATATATATATACACATACATATATATGAAATGTGCAACTGTATTTACATATAGTTATGAGGAATAGGCCATTAGATAGATTAAAACATACAGATATAATACAGATGAAAAGGAATAAATTGATCACGTGAATTTTCTTGATGATAAACATTTAGGGGCTATGAATGTTTGTTAAAAAAATTTCGTGCAATTTGGGACATGCTCTGCTTTTAATCAACTGCTTTCCAAGGATTTTAACACTGTGAAATGAATTTTAATAGAGCTTTTCTATACAATATTCTGAATATTTTAACAGTTTTAACCAAGCATCCTTAATTGAATATTTTCATAAGAAAAAATGAGAAATAAATTACCCTAATAGAATTGCCCATTGCCAGGGAAATTTCATAATGAAGTGGGAAAAAACAGCAGCTGCACTTGCCTCCATAAGGCATGGACCTACAGCCAATCTGAAACAAACCACCTTCAAATGCCTCCAAGCCTGAAACACAAAACAGTCATATTTGATACATTTACAATGGCCAAAAAGAAAATTATTTTAACAAATGTTGGACTATAAAGTCTTTTTTCATAAGAAGTTTCACTAAACAAAATCTCATTTCAACAGATTGTCCCACTGGACTTTGAACTCTATTATATTTTATATGTCATCATAGGTTGGATTATAAACAATTTCATCTTTCATAAAATATTATTGTATTTTAATTATTAAAAGACCAATTTTACTGTGATTAAATAGCTAATGCTACCTTCCTGAACTTTCCTAATACATAGTATAATAATAGTGTCCTATTAGTGTTTTCCCATTGACTTTTTGATATGAACTGTTTGATTAACGTGATAAGTATAAATACAATACTAACATGCCAAAGAAAATAACTTAAAAACTGCATAATTCATTTTAAAAGAGAGAACTTTTCAATTTTCTCCTTGGTTCATACTTTCTACTGGAGAATATAATCTCATTGGCTATAATTATTTATGCTCTTGAGCTATTTCTATTAAACCACATTTGCCACATTTATTTGAGTGGCTGTCATATTCATGAATAGTCATCTTCTTATAGATGGGATTTATGATCCCTAGAATGTAATATTTTAAGAAATGCTTTAAAAGATTAGATTTTACAATAATGCAAAGATAATCAGGAACATAATCCTGTAGAGAAAACATAATAAAAAATTACTGAAATCCTTAATCTCCCTAAAAAAATAAAAAGAATTGTATAAGTTTTTTTTTTTTTTTCTGTATGTGACATTTTTTCTTTTTTTTTAATTATACTTTAAGTTTTAGGGTACATGTGCACATTGTGCAGGTTAGTTACATATGTATACATGTGCCATGCTGGTGTGCTGCACCCACTAACTCGTCATCTAGCATTAGGTATATCTCCCAATGCTATCCCTCCCCCCTCCCCACACCCCACCACAGGTTTTTCTTATAAAACATTTGTTTGTTTGTTTTGTTCTGTTTTTTGAGACAGAGTCTCACTCTGTCCCCCAGGCTGGATTGCAGTGGCACTATCTCAGCTCACTGCAACCTCTATCACTCAGGTTCAAGCGATTCTCTTGCCTCAGCCTCCAGAGTAGCTGGGATTACCAGGTAAATGCCACCATGCCCGGCTAATTTTTGTAGATTACAGGCATGAGCCATCATGCTCGGCCTATTTTTCTTTATCTTAGGTTTGTTTACAGACTCCACTTGGAACAGGTAAATAAAATTTTTGCTTATTTTTCTTTCTCACCATCCTCTAATATTTGAAATAACCTTACTCGATTTGTAATTGTAAATCTACCTGTGGATCGAGTCCAAGCCCAGCTCGTATTAGAATAATGTTAAGGGCAATGCTTCTTAAAATTGAAGACCATGCGTTAGGAACATGGACATGTTCATTGATGAATGGAACATTCCTAATTGTAAAACCAGCCAGTAACATCCCTTAAAAGAAAGAAAATAAACATACTTGACAGTTCATTTTTCTGAGAAAGAAAACAGAAATGTTTACTTTATTTTCTAATGCACTATGTCTCTCATTATTTTGGTAAAGGGCAGGTTACAAGCAAGTAGAGAAGGCAGCATGAATAAAGGAATGGCGATAAGAAACAATACACCTAAATGGGGTTCAACAAGTAATTTAGTGTTGCTGGAATATACAGGGCAAGGAAAGGAGGGAGGAGAATGAGCTTGGTGGGCCAGATCATAGAAAGGTCTCCCCCGACTTTGGCAAAGTAAGGCACCATGGGAAGGTTTTAGGCAGGAAGTAACATAATGAGTCTTGCGATTTTTATATGAGGGTCTTGGTGAATTAGTTAGGGATAAAACTGGAGACAGAGACCAAATTGAAGGCTCTGCCACAGTCCACGCAAAAGTTGGAAACAAATAGCCCAAGCTAGAGCAAAAGAGAAAGTTTGGAGAGGAGGAAAGTGATTCAATAAATACTTGGAAGGTGCTGCAAGAAAACTGTGGATACAGAAGGGACAGCAGAGATAAGATGTAGAGATTATCTCTACTGACAGTGTACTGAATATATATTTATTTTTGGGGACAGGGTCTCATTCTGTTGCCCAAGGTGAGTGCAGTGATGCAAACATGGCTCACTGTAGGCTTAAACTCTTGAGCTCAAGTGATCCTCTTGCCTTAGCCTCCTGAGTAGCTGAGACCCAGAAAAATTTTTAATATTTTGTAAAGAGAAGGTCTGCTATGTTGCCCAGGCTGGTTTTGAACTCCTGGGCTCAGGTGATCCTCCTGCCTTGGCCTCCCAAAGTACTGGGATTATGGGCATGAGCCACCATGCCTGGCCCACTGTACTGAATATTTAGACATATTTGAATACAGTAAGTTCTCACTTAACATCATCGATAGGTGATTGGAAATGGCAACTTTGAGTAAAATGGTATATAACAAAACCAATTTAACATAGGCTAAGTGATATAAAGAAGAGTGAATTTCCTACAGCATATTTCTGGTCACAAAACATCACCAAACTTCTAAATAAAGATCCAAAACACTTCTAGTATTAAACAATGAAATAAATGTGAGCTCTACATACATTTTACAAAGTTTTATAAAAACAAATAAGATAATTCTTTACTTAATTTTTGGTGAATCCACGAGTGATGGTGGTTATAGCAGTGATGGTTAAAATCAAAGAATAAATGTTTACAAAGTGAAAATTGTAAGGAGCACCTCCTCCCACTATGCAGCTCAAAAACAAACACAAATATGGTAGGTGGCTGAGAGTTTTCATATCACATTGTTTATTGTTTTGCATTTGTATGGTTATCATATACTTAACAAAATTTTATTTTACAATAATTTATATTCATTCATTTTTTCATTGTACAATCCACTAGTTCAGGGTCATTGTACAATCCACTAGAACAGTAGTTCAGGGTCAAAGGTGATTGAAACTTAATCCAAAAAAATCAAAGAGGGACTACCTTCCTAACACATTCTATGAATCTAGTATCACAATTATACCCAAATCAGGCAAAGCCATACACACACACAAACACACACACACACACACACACTCCACCGGTCAGTATCCCTGATGAACATAGATGCAAAAATTCTCAACTAGCAAAATGAATTCTATAGTACATCAAAAAGATAATATAGTTAAGTGTGTTTTACTCCAGAAATACAAGGATGGTTAAACATGTGAATCATTCTTCCATAAAGAGATGCACACACATATGTTCATTGTGGCACTATTCACAATAAAAAGACATGCAATCAACCTAAATGACTAAATAAAGAAAATGTGGTACATATACACCATGGAATACTATGCAGTCATAAAAAAGAATGGCATCATGTCCTTTGTAGCAACATGGATAGAGCTGAACACCATTATCCTAAGTGAAATAACTCAGAAACAGAAAACTCAAATACCACATGTTCTCACTTATATGTGGGAGCTAAACAATGGGTACATATGGACATAAAGATGGAAATAATAGACACTGGGGAGTCCAAAAGGAGAGAGGGTTGGAGGGTTAAGGTTGAAAAATTACCTATTGGGTATAGTATTCACTGTTTGGTGATGGGTTCACTAGAGCCCAAATCTCACCATTATGCAATATATCCATGTACCAAACCTGCACATGTACTCCGTGAATCTAAAATTTTTAAAGGTTCTATTAAACAAAAAAGCAACAGGAATAATGTGCTAAGGATATTAAATTTATTTCAAAAATAAATTTTGGGTAAAACTTGTGTGTGTATATATGTAGACAGAGAGAGAAATAAATGCCCATATAAAGGATCTGTACACACACACACACACGCAGTAAATACACACATGAAGAAACTATATAAAACATACTACATTGAAATATTGCTGAATTATAACTAATTCAACAAGAAAATGTTCAAAATTTGCATATAGTCAATAATAAAGAAAAGAGAGCTAATTATATGCTTACCAAGAAGAGGTGGAAATGGCGGCACTAAAGGTATTCTAATGAGTTGTAAATTTTTTCCCCCAATAATGGCACTATAAAAAATAATTAACAATCCAAATAAATTTCCACCAGGGAGAGCTTCAGAGCCTAAGATTGACCAGGTCATGTACCATATCACAAACAGTGTAACTCCTGAAATACGAAAAAGTGAACAGCTATATATCTACATACACATAGATGTATACAAACAAAGGATCAATTCTCTTTTATCATATATACTAATAGCCAGTTCTATAAAATGATACATGGTATAGATCAACATTGCTTACTAGTTTGGTGAAAGAGATATCTGCTTAACATATATTCCAAATAACCTGTCAATTTATGAAGTAGGTTTTAAACAAAGTGTTTTCACTTTAAAAATATTTAAAAACTGTATGTGGGCCAGGTGCAGTGGCTCACGCCTTAATCCCAGCACTTTGGGAGGCTGAGGCGGGCTGGATCACATGAGGTCAGGAGTTTGAGACCAGCCTGGCCAACACAGTGAAATCCCGTCTCTACTAAAAATGCAAAAATTAGCCAGGCGTGGTGGTTCGTGCCTGTAATCCCAGCTACATGGGAGGCTGAGTCAGGAGAATTGCTTGAACCCAGGAGGTGGAGGTTGCAGTGAGCCAAGATTGTGCCGCTGCACTCCAGTCTGGGTGACAGAGTGAGACTCAGTCTCAATAAAAAAATTAAAAAAAATAAAAAAAACCTATATGTGAACTCTTGAAAATGCTAACTTATAATACATGATAGTTAAAAACATCATGGCAATATGATGAGATTTACTTCATTTTATATTTTAAAATAGCTTTTTTATCAGGATGGAAAATAAGAGGATGATTGGCTGTGATAAGAATTCACAACCTTATTGAAGATCACAGTGTCAAGGTGCCAAATCTTTTAACAGGAACCTGCTAAATCTTTTTATTGAAAGGATAATTCAACTGATTTTTGGCATAAATGTATTATAGGAGGTAATGGCTGGAAGAAATGAACCTAGATTTTGTGGGAATAAATATAAAGTATCTTAGATTATGTGTAGGAGGTAGAGGGAGATTAAGATGAGTAGGTATAAATTACTAGACATCTTGTTTCTGGCAACTAGGTGCTACTCACTGAGGAATCCATAGGTTTCTGTAAAGAACAGACAATAACATGGTAAATTTCCATTTGCTAATTAAATGGCTACCTTTATTTGCTATGAATCATAATTGATAATGCTTTTAATATTCTTAAAACTGCTTACATGAATTTTTTAGCTATGACCCCTTTCTGGCTGTATAGAATTTGCCAGGGTAGAAGAGGAGGATTTTGACTCACTCCAGGCAGAGAGTTAGAAGAAAGTTTCTTTCCTCGTCCCCTCTGATTATTGTCATCCTGCAAAACTGGAAGCCTTGGAGGGCTAAACATTTACTAAAATAATGGACCAGGCTGGGCATGGTGGCTCGCGCCTGTAATCCCAGCACTTTGGGAGGCCGAGGTGGGTGGATCACCTGAGGTCAGGAGTTCAAGATGAGCCTGACCAACACGGTGAAACGCCATCTCTATTAAAAATACAGACAATTAGTCTGGCCTGGTGGTGCATGCCTGTAATCCCAGCTACTTGGGAGGCTGAGGTAGGAGAATTGCTTGAACCCAGGAGGCGGACATTGCAGTGAGCTGAGATGGCGCCACTTCACTCCAGCCTGGGTAACAAGAGCAAAACTCCATCTCAAGAAAACAAAACAAAACAAAACAAAAAACAAAAAGATAAATAAAAAACACAGACCAGAAAATGTCATCTTACTGACAAATTGAGAAGACAAGGCAGTTTTTCTTAGCTGGTCTCTGGGTGGCAAAGTCTTTTTTGAGAATTCATATGTAAAACTGGCCTCATCCAACTTATGTGTAGGGCTCAAATTACATTACGTGCACAGGTTAGGGATCCCAAAGTTCTAAACCTACCATAAAAGTGTCCCTGCATAGAAGTATCCCTAGAACATTTACTAGATGCTAATTCAAAAAATCTCTAATAGACACTCCTGATCCCAGACTGCATAAAGTCAATAGAACCACTAGATAGACACTATAAAATATGTATTTTCAAAGGGACTAGATAAAATTTTTAAAAATTGCAGACATGAGAAGAAGAAATTACTTGAAAGTATTGTAAAATAATTAAATAGAACATCTAGAAAAAACTTTAAAATTTACTCAACTGAAAAAAACCCACTAAGTACTGAAATAGCAATCTAGACAAAGCTGAAGAGAGAACACAGCAAAGTAGTAGATATGAGGAAATTATTTAAGAGCATAGCACACACACAAAAAAATGAGGTGGAAAATGAGAGATTTAGATTATGGAAAAGATCTAAAACACAATTATTGGTAGTTTCAGAAACATAATTGAAAGAATGAAGAAGACATAATATTTGAGAAGAAAACTGGCTTCAAATTTTACAGAATTGATTAGGGTTTTTATTGATTTGGACACAGGAAGTCAAATGAGTTCTAATCAGGATTAAGTAAAAATAGATACTTAGATAAAATGTTGAGAAACTATAGACTACCAAAGGCAAAAATAAAATCTTAAATAATCTAGACAGAGAAAGAGAGATTAATCATAATTGAATAAACAATAGAGCAGATTCTCAATTCTTATCAGCAACAATAGAAGATGGAAGATAATTAAATAAAGTCTTCAAAGTACAGAGATAAACACAACATTCAATGTTGAATTCTGTAGCAAGTTAACTGTCACTCGAACAAAAGACAAATGAAAGATATTGTCAAACAAATACATTTAAGAACATATGCCATTTTTTACCAGGGAAAAATCTACTGAAAGATATGCTTTAGAAATATGACATAGAACCAAAAAAGACGGAACAATGTGCAAAGAAATTGGTAAAATGTAGGTTAGTCTAAACAAGTATTTGTTGTGTAACACATTACTAATGAAAATTGTTAATCAGAGGATATAAAGATAAGGTTGGGAGGTGACATGAAAAGGTTGGCAATTTATTTCCACACAAAAAGTCCCCCCAGAAATTGCAGAAATACCAAAAACAGTCATTTCAGGACCCTGAAAACTCATCAAAGGCAGTTATCAAATTTAAGAAGCATTTATTCTTGAAAAAAGTGTTAGGGTTTTGGGTAGGATTGGTAAAAGTCTGAGCCCTTCCTGACTGGGGTTGCTCCCTGATATGGTTTGGCTTTGTGTCCCCAACCAAATCTCATCTTGAATTGTACTCCCATAATTCCTATGTGTTGTGGGAGGGACCTGGTGGGAGATAATTGAATCATGGGGGTGGCTCCCCCCCATACTGTTCTCGTGGTAGTGGATAAGTCTCACAAGATCTGATGGCTTTATCAGAGTTTTCCGCTTTTGCATCTTCCTCATTTTCTCTTGCAGCCACCATGTAACAAGTGCCTTTCACCTCCCGCCATGATTCTGAGGTCTCCTCAGCCACCTGGAACTATAAGTCCAATTAAACCTCTTTTTCTTCCCAGTCTTGGGTATGACTTTATCAGCAGAATGAAAACGGACTAATACACTCCCATCTCTCTTCTCACCCCCAAGCTCAGTTGGGAAAAACTGTAGCTTTACAAGTTTGAAGCTGGATGTAAAACCCAGCAGCTTTCCTGTTAGGGCTGCGGGCAAGGGGGGATTTGGTATGGAGTGGAGGGAAGAAATCAATGGTTTTGCCAGTTAAATATAGCAGAGTGGTTTGGGAATGAACAGAGAGAATTGCAGATTTGCTAGTCTGAGGTTGCAGTTTCAATTGGGGAAGTGGAAGACAAGACAAAAATTTAAATGAGAGATCCTGAGGGTCAATAGGTGCAGCAAACCACCATGGCACATGTATACCTGTGTAACAAACCTGAATGTTCTGCACATGTATCCTGGAACTCAAAGTAAAATTAAAAAAGAAAGAAAGAGAAAGAAGGAAAGAAGGAAAGAAAGAAAGAAAGAAAGAAAGAAAGAAAGAAAGAAAGAAAGAAAGAGAGAAAGAAACAAAGAAAGAAAGAAAGAGGAAGAAAGAAAGAGAGAGAAAGAAAGAAGAAAGAAAGAAAGAAAGAAAGAAAGAAAGAAAGAAAAAGAAAGAAAGAAGAAAGAAAGAAAGAAAGAAAGAAAGAAAGAAAGAAAGAAAGAAAGAAAAGAAAGACCCACATGCAAGGTTAGAGTTTTCCAGTTCCAAGTTCCAATTCTCTCACTAAGAAGAGTGGCTCACTGTGCCTAAACTGTTTATACAAACAATGTGGTTTACTCTGAACAGCTGCTTTTCCTCTGGGAGTCTAGAATTCTGGTACATGTGAAGGAGAGTAACCTCCGTAAAATCCTGAGTACTGAGTCTCTAATGAGACTCTGGTCCTGGTAGATGACATTACACATGTGCTGTCAAAATTTCATGCTGGGAAAGAGAAACACATCCTTGTAACTCCACAGGAGATGATTCCAGGAAGCTTGTGCCTGGTATCCTCCAGACTTTACCACATACAACTTTTTCCCTTTGCTAATTTTGCTTTGTATCCATTCACTATAATAAATTAAAAATCTGAGTATTACTAAAAAAAAAAAGAGAGAGAGAGAAATCCTGGAAAGGAGAGAATCATAGAAAGTTTGAGAAAACTTCTCCACACATATGGCCAATTGGAAAAGTATGGAAGTGCAGGAAAGACTCAAGAGAGTATGACAAAAAGCAAAAATGAAGTAAGAATTGAGTATTAATTGCAACTTTGAATACATTCACCCACCCACCCACAGATTATTTGGCAGAGAGTGGAAGCCTTACTAGCTTTAATATAATGTCTCTCCAAAATCAAGCTATGCAACAGACACAGAGGAAATCCCTAGAAAGACAGGCTAAAACAACAATAACAGCAACAACACAATATAAAAGACATCAATGCTGAAAACCACTGGGCAGAAGGATTACACAGCACAAGTATAGGCCAATTACCAAAACATAACAACAACAAAGACAATAACAAATAAAAACCAGATCCAGATTTGCTATAATGTGTAATTAAAGTGTTTAGTTTTCAATTAAAAATTATCAGACATGTAAGGAAACAGGAAAATGTGGCTCATACTCTGGAAAAAAAGCAGTGAATAGAAACTGTCTCAATTCAGATATTGGATTTAGAAAGAAAGTTTTCAAAGTATATATTATAAATATGTTCAAATTAAAAGTATGATAATGTGCTGTCCAATAGAAAATATGAATAAGGGGACAGAATATGTTTAAAAATAGAATCTAGAATTGAAAAGTACAACAGTTAAAGTGAAAAAATCACTAGCGAGGTTCAATAGCATATTTGACCTTGTGAAAGAAAGTATCAGTGAACTTGAAGGTAGACCAATAGAGGTTAATCAATCTGAAGAACAAAAAGAAAAAAGAATGAAGGATAATAAACAGATCCTCAGAAATTTATGGGATACCATCAAGAGCACTAACATATGCATAATGGGAATTCCAGGAGAAGAGAGAGATAAGAGGGCAGAAAAATATTTGAAAACATGTCTGAAAACTTCAAAAATGCTATGAAAAACATTAATCTTCAGATATAAGAAGTCCAACAAATCTCTAGTAGGATAAACACAAAGAGATTCACACCTAGAGCCATCCTTGTCAAATTGGTGAAAACCAAGGATAATAAGAAAATCATGAAAGTAGCAAGAGACGACTTATCACATACAGGGGAACAGTAATATTATCAATACTGGCATTTTTATCTGAAAAAAATGGAGGTCTTATGAAGCGACATTTCAAAAGTGGAGGGAAAAATAACTGTCAATTAAGAATTCTGTATCCAGTTAAATGATCCTTCAAAAATGGAGCTGAAATAAAGACATTTCCAGATAAATAAAAATAAAAAGAACTTATCCTTGCTAAAGAAACACTAAAGAAAATGCTTTTAAGATAAAAGGATATGACACCAGATGGCAACTTGAACCTATAAGGAATAAACAGCATGGGAAATGGTAAATAAATTTGTAAGTATAAAAGATTGTATGTGTGTATGTGTGTGTGTGTGTGTATGTGTGTGTGTGTGTGTGTGTATTCTGATTTCATCTCTTTTTTTAAAAAAGCATCTGATTATTATAGGCAATAACTACAACAATACTGCTGAGTTCATAGCATATAAGAGATACATTGGATCAAAGTTGCTATATAACACTGGAATTAAGTAAAAATTATTAAACCAAAGTAGATTGTAAAAAGTGAAGATGATTGATTATTATAATCCCCAAAGGTACTTGGGAGGCTGAGATAGAAGTATTGCTTGAGGCTAGGAGTTTGAGACTAGCCCGATCAACACAATGAAACTCTGTTGATATAGTTTGGATATGTGTCCCTGCCCAAATCTCATGTTGAATTTTAATCCCCAAAGTTGGAGATAGGTCCTGCTGGGAGGTGAATGGATCATGGGGCAGATTTCTCATGAATCGTTAGTGCCGGTTAATTTGGTATTTTTAGTAGAGACAGGGTTTCTCCATGTTGGTCAGGCTGGTCTTGAACTCCTGACCTCAGGTGATCCACCCGCCTCAGCCTCCCAAAGTGCTGGGATTACAGGCATGAGCCATCGTGACTAGCCTAAGCTTTACTTTCTAAAAATTATATTAAAGTTGATAATTCTCTATTATCTAATCATAAATTATATCAAATATGCTGTTTTGAATTTTATTTTTCCCTTTAAACATAAAGACACACATTCAGTTCATTGTGCTAGATAAATTACCAGTGCGATCACAAATTAAGAAATGCAATTCAAAGAATTTTGCATACAAGGAGTCCTGAAAGTGTTAATAACTTTTGATGCAAAGATAATTTTATGAAAGTAATAGAAGACTAAAAAAAGGTACAAAACAGTTATTATGTAAGTATCTTGCTTTTTCTGAATCACCCATGATTACTTTTTCCACCAAGCAAAAACTGACTACATACTTCAGACCTGTCTCAAATCTCTCCAGCCTCTTTTCCTAAACCTCCCCAGCCTCTCAGGACAGACAGGCTGCTCCTGTACTTTGTGCATTCTGCTATTTTTAGCAAGAGGCCTATTTTGTCAGTGTTATCTGAATAGTATTTGCCAACTCTCAGACTTTCAGTCACTTATTTGTTTATGTATTTATTTGTCTCCTTTTCTTGTATTTCCCTTTTCCTTTTCTTTCCTTTCTTTTCCCCTTTCCTCCTCCCTTCCTTTGCTTACTTATTTTTTCCCTTTAATTCCCATTCACTATTTCCATGACTGTCAAATAGTAGGTTGATCCTTTAAAATATTCCTTTTTTAAAATTTATTGTACTTTAAGTTCTGGGATACATGTGCAGAACATGCAGGTTTGTTACATAGGTATACACGTGCCATGTGGTTTGCTGCACCCATCTACAATATATCTTAAGATGAATAAAAGTGGAAACACACAGGAGACAGGGTGTATGGGGTGAGTGGGTTGCCAAGTGGATGGTGGCAGGGTGCTCCAGGGTGGCCAGTGGGGCTAAGTGTTGTGTATTCCAAGCATGGCGGGCTTCCTGCCTTCCTGTGTGGCAGACTGTGGCATCAGGTAAGAGCCACTCAGTGCCCACCCTGGCTCCTCCATTGCCTTGCTCTCAGCCCCTGACATCCAGCCCACACTTGGAGATTGAGCTGCCCCCATTGCTCTGGGTCTCAGCCCTGTGATCACCTCAGTAGATATTCCGAGCTTGGCTATG
This sequence comes from Homo sapiens, assembly GCF_000001405.40. NCBI lineage: Eukaryota > Metazoa > Chordata > Mammalia > Primates > Hominidae > Homo > Homo sapiens. The sequence goes on from NC_000010.11 coordinate 38,696,616, forward strand.
CAGGCAACACTGAGCCTGCATAGTTTACTATTCTTTCATGCATTTCTGTCAGAGAGTCAGCAAAGGTAGTTGACAAAGCCCAAGGGAGAATGTTGAGGGGAGTTGATGAGCTTGACTTTTTCATACAGGATGAAGCCATTGATAAATCTACGTATGCTACAAAGTGGTCAATATGACATGGAGTCACTGAAGACTGGGATATTATGGAAAGGTTCATGGAGCAAGTGGTTTTTAAATATTTTGAGCAGAATCTGAGGACCATTATTTTGCAATGACAGAACTTCCACTGAATACACTAGAAAATACAGAACATTTTTGCAGAAATTATGTTTGAATTATTTAATGTACCAGGATTCTACATTGCAGTTCAGGAGGTACTAGCCTTGGAAGTATCTTGGACATCTCAACAAGTGGGTGAATATATGTTAATGAGTATAGTCATTGACAAAGGAGATGGAGTCACCCTTGTTCTCCCAGTTGTAGAAGGTTATGTAATTGGGAGCTGCATCAATCACATCCTGATTGTAGGTGATACTGTGTATTTCATTCAACAACTACTAAGGGAGAGGGAGGTAGGAATCCCTCTTGAGCAGTCACTGGAGACCACAAAAGCCATTAAGGAGAAATACTGTTACATTTGCCCTGATATAGTCAAGGAATTTGCTAAGTATGATGTGGATCCCTGGAAGTGGATCAAACAGTACACAGGTATCAATGTGATCAACCAGGAGAAGTTCATAATAGATGTTGGTTACAAAAGGTTCCTGCAACCTGAAATATTTTTTTACCCAGAGTTTGCCAACCCAGACTTTATGGAATCCGTCTTGAATGTTGTTGATGAATACAAAACTGTCCCATTGATGTGCATTGTCCACTGTATAAGAATGTTGTTCTTTCAAGGGGTTTGACCATATTCAGGGATTTGAATCTCAACTACAGAGAGATTTGAAGAGTGGTACATGCCAGATTAAAACTCAGTAAGGAGCTCAGTGGCAGGAGAATCAAACCTAAGCTTACAGAGTTTCGGGTGGTAATCCATCACATGCAGCACTATGCCTTATGGTTTGGAAGCTTAATGCTAGCCTCAACTCTGGAGTTATTTCAGGTCTGTCACACCAAGAAGGACTATAAAGAATATGGCCCCAGCATCTGCCACCAGAGCCTTCTCTTTGGAGTAATGTCTTAGTGTCTGCCTTGAAAGCATCATTTAATAGTGTCATGTTGGGGAACAAGTGTCCTTCAGAACCCAGAGAAGACTACCATTTCTAAATGACATTTGGTGTTGACGTCTGAGCAGTATGCTTGCATCACCTAGTGCATGAGGCACAGGGCAGAGTCATTTCAGTAAAAGCCTGTCTTTATGTGTTGACTGCTGTATGCCCACTCCTCCTTCTCTCACTCCCTTTCTTCATGCTTCCCCGGTTTCCCTCCTCCTTTTAACTTCAACTTTTTTGTTGACAAATACCATTCTGAAGGAATTCAAATGTGACTCTGAAAATTGTTAAGAGGAAAAAAAATTACAAAAATGGCCCAAAATAGTTCTCCCCCAGGAAAGAATGCAGTGGTATAAATCCTTTTCCCCCAGCCTATTTTTATAAATAAAACGTTATAAACTTAAAATACAAAAAACCAATAACATAGCAATATTTACAGGATGCAATTAAAGCAGTGTAAAGAGGAAAATGTATAGCTTTAAAAACAGAAAGAAAAAATAATCTAAAATTGATAATTAAAACTTCCATCTTAAGACTCTAGAAAAAGATGAGTAAACCAGGCCGAAATTAAGTAGGATGTATGAAATAAAAATGTCACAGTGGAAAACGATAAATACAGAACAGGATAACATTAAAAACAACCAAAGAAACCCAAAATTGCTTATTTCAGAAAGTCAAGAAGATAAATAATATTTAGTTAAATTGACCAAGAAAAAAGAAAGAAGACACTAATTCCCAAAATCAAGAATCAATGAGAAATATCACCACAGACCCTACCCTTAAAAGGATGTTAAGAAAATAGCATAATAACTTTAAGGCAAAAAATTTGACAACTTAGATAAAACAGAACAATTCCTAGAAAGACACAAATTACCAAAACTGACTCAAGGAAAAAGAAAAAAAACAAATACCAATATCAAGTAAAGAAATTGCATCAGTAATTTCAAATCTTCCTATAGAGAAAAAATATACTTCACTGGTGAATTCTATGAAGCTATTAAGGGAGGAAATAATACCAATGTTACAAAAGCTTTATTCAGCAAATAGAGGATGAAGGAAACTTCCCAACTAACTTTATTTCATTTGATATCAATATTACCCTGATATCAAAACAAGACAAAGACATTACAAGAAAACACAGCTATATACCAATATCCCTTGTGAACCTAGACATAAAAATTCTTAACCAAATATTAGCAAATGTAATTGAGCAACATATGAAAAGGATTTTATACCATAATCAAATGAAGTTTATCTCAGGAATGTGAGGTTGACTTAACATCCAAAAATCAATGTAATAAACTATATTAACAGAATAAAGGACAAAACCATATGATCACCTCAATAGATGCAGAAAAGCATTTGACAGAATTCAACACTCATATATTAAAAAAAATCCCATCAACTTATGAATAGAAGGGAACTTCTTCAAATGATCAAGGCATCTACCAGAAGCCTATAGCCAACATACTTAATGGTAAGAATGTGCTTCCCTCTAGATTAGGAAACATGCAAAGATATCTGTGTTTACCACTTCTATTTAACAATGCACCACAGGTCTTAGTTTGTGCAATAGTCAAGGAAAAAAGGTATGGACAAAAGACAACTCTTTTTATTGTTAGCCTTGTATGCAGAAAATCCTAAGGAACACACCCACACACACACACCCACATACCACACCCCCTCCCAGACTTACTAGAACTAAGAGGGGGGCTTAGTGAGTTTGTAGAGTATATGATCAATATACAAAAATTGGTTATATATATAGTAGCAACAAACAATACAAAGATGAAATAAAGAAAACAATTCCAATCACAATAACATCAAAAATAAATGTCTTAGTTTGTTTTATGTTGTTATAATAGAACACCTGAGACTGTATAAAGAGGTTTATTTAGCTCATGTTTCTCCAGACTGGGAAGTTCAAGAAGCATGGCACCAGTATCTGCTTAGCTTCTGGTGAGGGCTTTAGCAGTGCATCACAACATGGCAGAAGACCAAAGAGGAAGTGGGAATGTGCCAAGAGGCCAAACACAAGGTACAACCATGTACGATGGGTTGCTTTATAACAATCCATTCTCAGGGCAACTAATCTATTCCCACAGGAACCAATCCAGTTTCATGAGAGCAAGAACTCACTCACTATATGAGGACTGCACCAAGCTGCTCAAAATGGCAGAGCCCCCATGACCCAAGCGTCTCCCATTAGGCCTTACCTCTTAAAGGTTCCAACATGATTTTTGACAGAAAGACGGAAACTATGGCATTCCACCCTTGGAACCCCAAACTCATGTCCCTCTTACACTACAAAATGTAATTATTCAATCTCAATGGTCCCCAAAGTCTTAATGTATTCCAGTAACAATTCAAAGGTCAAAGTCCAAAGTCTCATATAAGACTCAAGGCAAGTTCCTTCTAGCTATGAGCCTGTAAAATTAAAAAAAAAAACAAGTTATTTACTTCAAGATACAATGGTGGAATAGTCATATGGCAGACAGTTCCATTCCAAAAGGGAGAAATAGGCCAAAAGAAGAAAGAGGTGACAGGCCTCAAGCAAGTTCAAAACTCAGCAGGGCAGACACTAAATCTTAAAGCTCCAGAATAATTCTCCACTCCATGTGCTACCTCCTGGGCATAATGGGGAGTTTTTATCACTAAAGCCTTGGGCAGCCCCACCTCCATTGCTTTGTTGGGCATAGCCACATGGCTACTCTCACTGGTTGGAGTTGGATACCTGTGGCCTTTCCAGGCTGAGGTTGCATGGTGGCAATGGCTCTATAGTTCTGGAGTCCCAGTGGTGGTCCACTTCATGGATTCACTAGGCATTGCCCTGGTACAGACTCTTTGTGGCAGCTCCAACCCTACATTTCTGCTCAGCATTGCCCTGGGGGAGGTACACTGCAGTGGCTCTGGCCCTGCAACAAGTCTCCACCTGAGCTCCAAGTCTTTTCAGTACATTCCTTAAAATCTAGGTGGCATCCACCATGCCTCCACTTCTCTTGTATTCTGCACATCTGCAAAACTAGTACCACATGGTTGTAAAAACCATCAAGGCTTACCGCTTGCACCCTCCAGAGTGCTGTCATGAGCTGTATCTGAGGCTGCTTGATCCATGACTGCATGTCACCAAGGTTTATGGTTTGTATCCTGTGGAATGGCAGCCTGAGCCACACCTGAGTATGATTGTGCCATGGCTGGGGTGGCTGCTGAGGGCTGTGCCAGAATTTGGGTAGCAGGATCTCAAAACAGCACAGGGCAGTGATGCATGGGTTCTGTCTCTTAAAACCATTCTGTCCTCCTAGACCTCTGGAGAGGCAACCTCAAAAATTTCTGAAATGTCTTCAGGGCCTTTAAAAAAATTGTCTCAATAACTGTCAACTGGCTTTCTTCTCTCAGTGCTAATCTCTTTAGTATTGGTTGTTCTGCTGCACCCTTGGATTCCTCACCTTAAAATGTTCTTTCATTCTCTTCCACATGGCTAGGCTATTAATTTTCAAATTTTTGTGTTTGCTTCCCTTGTCATTTTGCATTTCACTGAATGTAGTAAGGAGTAACTACATAGCTGCTCTATATTTTGCTTAGAAATTTCTTCTGCCAGGTACCCTAGTTCATCACTCTTAAGTTTGGCCTTCCACAAAACCTTAGGGCACAAAGTCTTAGAAACAACACAGCCAAATGTTTGCTATGGTCTAACAAGGATGACTTGGTCTCCAGTTCCTAATACCTTGTTCCTCATTTCTATCTGAGATCTCATTAGAATGGCCTTTGCTGTCCATATTTTTATCAGCATTGTGGTAATGACTACTTAACCAGTCTCTAAGAAATTCTAAACTTTCTCTCATCTTTTTGTTTTCTTTTGAGCCCTCACTGAAATTATCCTTAATGCTCTGTTTATGGCAATACAGTCTTTTTCTAGTCTGCTCCTTCAAACTTTTCCAACTTCTGCCCATTACCCAGTTCCAATGATGCTTCTGCATTTTTGAGAATCTAAATAGCAACATCCCACTCTCAGTACCAATTTTCTGTCTTAGCCCGTTTTGTGTTGCTATAACAGAATACCAGAGACTGAGTAATTTATAAAGAGGTATATTTAGCTTGCAGTTCTGCAGGCTGCAAAGAATGACACTGGCATCTGCTTGGGTTCTGGTGAAAGCTTCAGTGTTGTGTCACAACATGGTAGAAGAAGGTCAAAGGGGAGTAGACATGTACCAGGAGGCCAAGCATGAAGCGTGACCTCACCATATAGCAACTCATTCTCATGGTAACTAATCCATTCCTGAGAGAACTAATCTCACAAGAGTGAGAACTCACTCACCAATGTAAGAATAGTACCAAGCTGCCCACAAAGGAAGAGCTCCCAAGACACAAACACTTTCCATTAGGCCCCACCTCTTAAGCGTTCCAACATGAGTTTTGGTAGAGACACTCAAACTATAGCAATAATAATTAGGAATAAATTTAACAAAATAAGTGTGAAACGTTTGCACTGAAAACTAAAAAACATCACTCAGATAAATGTCTAAATAAATGGAGAGATATATCATGTTAATGGATTAGATTACTCAATATTGTTAGATGTCAATTGATCTACAAATTAACGGCAATTCCTGCCAAAAGTCTAGAAAGATTATTGGAAAAATTGACAAGCTGATTCTAAAATTATATAGAAATACAAAAATACCTAGAATAGCCAAAACAATCTTGCTAAGTAAGAATGAAGTTAAAGTACTTAATACTGCCTTATTTTAAAATTCAGTGTAAAGCAACAGTAGTCAAGACAGTGTAGAATCCACATTAAGAGAGATAGATAGATCAATGGAACTAAGTGGAGTTCAGAATCCAATCACATAAATAGTCAATTAATTTTCATCAAAGATGCTAAGACAATTCAATAGGAAAAAGATGTTCTTTCAACAAATGATTCTATAAGAACTGGTTATTCATTTACAAAAACTAAACCTAGATCCTTAGGTCACATACGAAAATTAACTAAAATGGATCATAGACCTAATTGTATGAGCTAAAACTGTAAAACTTCTAGGAAAAAAAATATAGGAGAAAATATTTATGACCTTGGACTAAGAAAAGTTTTCTTAGATATAATATCAAAAACATGTTCTATAAAAGAAAAACAGATAAATTGGACTTCACCAAAATGATGAAATCTTTGCTTTTCAAATATTTCTTAAATAAATGAAAAGAGAGGATCGTTCCAAGATGGCCGAATAGGAACAGTTCCTGTCTGCAGCTCTCAGCATAATTGATGTAGAAGACAGGTGATTTCTGTATTTCCAACTGAGGTACCTGGTTCATCGCACTGAGACGGGTCGGACAGTGGGTGCAGCCCACAGAGGGTGATCCGAAGCAGGGCAGGGCGTCGCCTCATCTGGGAAGCAGCACAAGTGGTCGGGGGATTTCCCCTTCCTAGCCAAGGGAAGCCGTGACAGACGGTACCTGGAAAATCCGGACACTCCCACCCTAATACTGTGCTTTTCCAATGGTCGTAGCAAATGGCACACCAGGAGATTATATCCCATGCCTGGCTCAGCGTGTCCCATGCCCACACAGCCTTGCTTACTGCTAGTGCAGCAGTCCGAGATCGAACTGGAAGGTGGCAGCCTGGGCTGGGAGAGGGGCATCCACCATTGCTGAGGCTTGAGTAGGTAAACAAAGCAGCTGGGAAGCCTGAACTGTGTGGAGCTCCCTGCAGCTCAACGAGGCCTGGCAGCCTCTGTAGACTCCACCTCTGGGGGCAGGGTATAGCTGAATAAAAGGCAGCAGAAACTTCTGCAGACTTAAACATCCCTGTCTGACAGCTCTGAAGAGAGCAGTGGTTCTCCAGCATGAAGTTTGAACTCTGAGAATGGACAGAGCTGCCAGTAGGGATTTACTGACACCTCATACAGCCAAGTGTCCCTCTGAGATGAAGCTTCCAGAAGAAGGATCAGGCAGCAATATTTGCTGTTCTGCAGCCTCCACTGGTGACACTCAGGCAAACAGGGTCTGGAGTGGAACCCCAGCAAACTCCAACAGACCTGCAGCTGAGGGTCCTGATTGTTAGAAGGAAAACTAGCAAACAGAAAGGAACAGCATCAACAAAAAGGACATCCACACCAAAACCACATCTGTAGGTCACCATCATTAAAGACCAAAGGTAGATAAAACCACAAAGATGGGGGGAAACCAGAGCAGACAAGCTGAAAATTCAAAAAATCAGAGCGCCGCTTCTCCTCCAAAGGATTGCAGCTCCTTGCCAGCAATGGAACACAGCTGGATGGAGAATGACTTTGATGAGTTGACAGAAGTAGGCTTTAGAAGGTCAGTAATAACAAACTTCTCTGGGCTAAAGGAGGATGTTCGAACTCATTGCAAGGAAGCTAAAAACCTTGAACAAAGATTAGATGAATGGCTAACTAGAATAAACAGCATAGAGAAGACCTTAAATGACCTGACGGAGCTGAAAACCATGGCACAAGAACTACATGATGCATGCACAAGCTTCTGTAGCCGATTCAATCAAGTGGAAGAAAGGGTATCAGTGATGGAAGATCAAATGAATGAAATGAAGTGAGAAGTGAAGTTTAGAGAAAAAGAGTAAAAAGAAATGAACAAAGCCTCCAAGAAATATGGGACTATGTGAAAAGACCAAATCTAAGTTTGATTGGTGTACTTGAAAGTGATGGGGAGAATGGTTTAGACATGAAATCCTTGCACATGCCTATGTCCTGAATGGTATTGCCTAGGTTTTCTTCTAGGGTTTTTATGATTTTAGGTCTAACATGTAAGTCTTTAATCCATCTTGAATTAATTTTTGTATAAGGTGTAAGGAAGGGATCCAGTTTCAGCTTTCTACATATGACTAGCCAGTTTTCCCAGCACCATTTATTAAATAGGGAATCCTTTCCCCATTGCTTGTTTTTCTCAGGTTTGTCAAAGATCAGATAGTTGTAAATATGCGGCATTATTTCTGAGGGCTCTGTTCTGTTCCATTGATCTATATCTCTGTTTTGTTACCAGTACCATGCTGTTTTGGTTACTGTAGCATTGTAGCATAGTTTGAAGTCAGGTAGCCTAATGCCACCAGCTTTGTTCTTTTGGCTTAGGATTGACTTGGCGATGTGGGCTCTTTTTTGGTTCCATATGAACTTTAAAGTAGTTTTTTTCCAATATTGATTCTTCCAACCCATGAGCATGGAATGTTCTTCCATTTGTTTGTATCCTCTTTTATTTCATTGAGCAGTGGTTTGTAGTTTTCCTTGAAGAGGTCCTTCACGTCCCTTGTAAGTTGGATTCCTAGGTATTGTATTCTCTTTGAAGCAATTGTGAATGGGGGTTCACCCATGATTTGTCTCTCTGTTGGTCTGTTATTGGTGTACAAGAATGCTTCTGATTTTTGTACGTTGATTTTGTATCCTGAGACTTTGCTGAAGTTGCTTATCAGCTTAAGGAGATTTTGGGCTGAGATGATGGGGTTTTCTAGATATATAATCATGTCATCTGCAAACAGGGATAATTTGACTTCCTCTTTTCCTAATCGAATACCTTTTATTTCCTTCTCCTGTCTAATTGCCCTGGCCAGAACTTTCAACACTATGTTGAATAGGAGTGGTGAGAGAGGGCATCCCTGTCTTGTGCCAGTTTTCAAAGGCAATGCTTCCAGTTTTTGCCCATTCAGTATGATATTGGCTGTGGGTTTGTCATAGATAGCTCTTACTATTTTCAGATATGTCCCATCAATACCTAATTTATTGAGAGTTTTTAGCATGAAGGGTTGCTGAATTTTGTCAAAGACCTTTTCTGCATCTATTGAGATAATCATGTGGTTTTTGTCTTTGGTTCTTTTTGTAAGCTGGATTACGTTTATTGATTTGCATATGTTGAACAAGCCTTGCATCCTAGGGATGAAGCCTACTTGATCATGGAGGATAAGCTTTTTGATGTGCTGCTGGATTCGGTTTGCCAGTATTTTATTGAGGATTTTGCATCAATGTTCATCAAGGATATTGGTCTAAAATTCTCTTTTTTTGCTGTGTCTCTGCCTGGCTTTGGTATCAGAATGTTGCTGGCCTCATAAGATGAGTTAGGGACGATTCTCTCTTTTTCTATTGATTGGAATAGTTTCAGAAGGAATGGTACCAGTTCCTCCTTGTACTTCTGGTAGAATTCGGCTGTGAATCCATCTGGTCCTGGACTGTTTTTGGTTGATAAGCTATTGATTATTGCCACAATTTCAGAGCCTGATATTGGTCTATTCAGAGATTCAACTTCTTCCTGGTTTAGTCTTGGGAGGGTGTATGTGTCGAGGAATTTATCCATTTCTTCTAGATTTTCTAGTTTATTTGTGTAGAGGTGTTTGTAGTGTTCTCTGATTGTAGATTGTATTTCTGTGGCATCAGTGGTGATATCCCCTTTGTCATTTTTTATTGCATCTATTTGATTCTTCTCTCTTTTCTTCTTTATTAGTCTTGCTAGTGGTTTATCAATTTTGTTGATCTTTTCAAAAAACCAGCTCCTGGATTCATTAATTTTTTGAAGGGTTTTTTGTGTCTCTATTTCCTTCAGTTCTGCTCTGATCTTAGTTATTTGTTGCCTTCTGCTAGCTTTTGAATGTGTTTGCTCTTGGTTTTCTGGTTCTTTTAATTGTGATGTTAGGGTCAGAAAACACCAAAAAGATACTCTTCGAGAAGAGCAACACCAAGACACATAATTGTCACACTCACCAAGGTTGAAATGAAAGGAAAAATGTTAAGGGCAGCCAGAGAGAAAGGTCGGGTTAGCCACAAAGGGAAGTGCATCAGACTAACAGCAGATCTCTTGGCAGAAACCCTACAAACCAGAAGAGAGTGGGGGCCAATATTCAACATTCTTAAAAAAAGAATTTTCAACTCAGAATTTCATATCCAGCCAAACTAAGATTCATAAGTGAAGGAGAAATAAACTCCTTTATAGACAAGCAAATGCTGAGAGATTTTGTCACCACCAGGCCTGCCTTACAAGAGATCCTGAAGGAAGCACTAAACATGCAAAGGAACAACTGGTACCAGCCACTGCAAAAACATGCCAAATTGTAAAGACCATTGATCCTAGGAAGAAACTGCATCAACTAATGAGCAAAATAACCAGCTAACATCATAATGACAGGATCAAATTCACACATAACAATATTAACCTTAAATATAAATGGGCTAAATGCCCCAATTAAAAGACACAGACTGGCAAACTGGATAAAGAGTCAAGACCCATCAGTGTGCTGTATTCAGGAGACCCATCTAACATGCAGAGACACACATAGGCTCAAAATAAACGGATGGAAGAAGATCTACCAAGCAAATGGAAAGCAAAAAATAGCAGGGGTTGCAATCCTAGTCTCTGATAAAACAGACTTTAAAACAACAGAGATCAAAGAGACAAAGATGGCCTTTATATAATGGTAAAGGGATCAATGCAACAAGAAGATCTAACTATACTAACTATACATGCACCCAATACAGGAGCACCCAGATTCTTAAAGCAAGTCCTTAGAGACCTACAAAGAGACTTAGACATCCACTCAGTAATAGTGAGAGACTTTAACACCCCACTGTCAATATTAGACAGATCAATGAGACAGAAGGTTAACAAGGATTTCCAGGACTTGAACTCAGCTCTGCAACAAGCAGACCTAATAGACATCTACAGAAGCCTCCACCCCAAATCAACACAATGTACATTCTTCTCAGCACCACGTCTCACTTATTCCAAAATTGACCACATAGTTAGAAGTAAAGCATTCCTCAGCAAATGTAAAAGAACAGAAATCACAACAAACTGTCTCCCAGACCACAGTGCCATCAAATTGGAACTCAGGATTAAGAAATTCACTCAAAACCACACAAATACATGGAAACTGAACAACCTGCTCCTGAATGACTATTGGGTAAATAAGGAAATGAAGGCAGAAGTAAAGATGTTCTTTGAAACCAACGAGAACAAAGACACAACATATCAGAATCTCTGGGACACATTTAAAGCAGTGTGTAGAGGGAAATTTATGGCACTAAATAACCACAAGAGAAAACAGGAAAGATCAAAAATCGACACCCTAACATCACAATTAAAAGAACTAGAGAAGCAGGAGCACACAAATTCAAAATCTAGCAGAAGGCAAGAAATAACTAAGATCAGAGCAGAACTGAAGGAGATAGAGACACAAAAAACCCTTCAAAAATCAATGAACCCAGGAGCTGGTTTTTTGAAGAGATCAACAAAATTGATAGACCACTAGCAAGACTAATAAAGAAGAAAAGAGAGAAGAATCAAATAGATGCAATAAAAAATGATAAAGGGGATTTCACCACTGATCCCATGGAAATACAAACTACTGTCAGAGAATACTACAAACCCCTCTACACAAATAAACTAGAAAATCTAGAAGAAATGGATAAATTCCTGGACAAATACACCATCCCAAGACTAAACCAGGAAGAAGTCGAATCCCTGAATAGACCAATAACAGGCTCTGAAATTGAGGTAATAATTAATTAGCCTACCAACCAAAAAAAGTCCAGGACCAGATGGATTCACAGCTGAATTCTACCAGAGGTACAAAGAGGAGCTGGTACCATTCCTTCTGAAACTATTCCAATGAATTGAAAAAGAGGGAATCCTCCCTAACACATTTTATGAGGCCAGCATCATCCTGATATCAAAGCCTGGCAGAGACACAACAAAAAAAGAGAATTTTAGACCAATATCCCTGATGACCAATATCAATATCAATGCAAAAATCCTCAATAAAATACTGGCAAACCGAATCCAGCAGCATATCAAAAAGCTTATCCACCACTATGAAGTCAGCTTCATCCCTGGGATGAAAGCCTGGCTCAATATACGCAAATCAATAAACGTAATCCGTCACACTTCAGCCTTCGAGTAGCTATCAGGTGCGCCACCATGCCCAGCTAATTTTTGTGTTTTTAGTAGAGATGGGGTTTCACCATGTTGCCTAGGTTAGTCTTGAACTCCTGGGCTCAGGTGATCTGCTCGCCTTGGCCTCCCAAAATGCTAGGATTACAGGCGTGAGCCACTGTGCCCAGTCAATCTATGTAGCTTTTCATGGAAGACAAATCTATAAAGAAAGCAGATCATTTGTTTCTTGGGACTTGGGTAGGTGGGAGTGAGGATTTAATGAAAGTAAGCATGAGGAAACTTTTTGAGATTATGTAAGTATTCAAAAACTGAATTTTTGTAATTGTTGCACAACTCTATAAATTTGTCAAAACTCATCGAAATGTGCATTTAAAATAAATAAATTTTGTGCTCTGTATATTATACCTCAAAAAAGCTGATAAAATATAAATTGGAAGAAAAGTACTGGAAAACAGTAAGTTAGGAGTCAATGAGGGTGATCCAAATTAATTCATCCTTCAAGATGAAACTAGTGATTTTAATTTTACAATTGGTTTTTTAAATTACTTGTTAATTCAAGTACACATATTACATTTCAAGGGTAATTGTGAATAGAATAGAACTAGAATATACAACTTTTAAACAAATAGAGGGGAAAAACTTTGATCAATCTAATAGAATGCATTGGGGAAAAGAATTGGAGAAATAATATGGTTAACATAAAGCACAAAATATGGTGACAGAAGTAAATATAAATTTATCCATAACCACAATAAACTTAAATGGTCTAAATTAGTTAAAGACAGACACTTGAAGACTGGATAAAAATGTGAAAAGCCAGGTATAACCCGTAATAGTTAAAAATATGAAGACACAAAATTCTGAAGTTATGAGATGAGTAAATGATAAATAAAACAAATATTAACCAATATATGGCTGATATAGTTATTTTCATATCAAAAACTATAATTTAAGACAAAAAACATTCTGAGGAATAAAAGTCATTGTGTAAAGACATGTATGCATGTAACAATTCAACCATAAAATATATGAAGCACAAATTGCAGGATTACAAAGAAAAATGTCTAAATCCTCAACCTTGAAGAAACTTAAACCTCTGAGTCAATGATAATCAAAATGTAGTAAGATTACCTCAGATTTTAACCACTTTATTAAAAAAGCTTAATTTAAAGGAAATATATAGACTTCTGTATGCTCAAATTAGAGAATATATATACTTTGAAGCCTGATAAAGTCTTAGGAGAACTGAACCTATGCTAGCCTATGAATCAAATCACAACAAATAAACATTATAACATGCAGCTTATACTCTGTAACCAAAATGCAATTTATAAGAGAAAAAAATGTAAATTTCTTTCATCTTCAAACTAAAGGCACACCTTAAATAATTTTTCAGTCAAAGAAGACATGAAAACAAAAATCAGAAGATATTTGGAAGTGAGATACTACATAAAAAAACTTGTGAGATAGAGCTGAGGCAGTACTGAAAGGGTAATTTATATCTTTAAATGTTTATATTGAAAAATAGGCTGAAAATTAGTTAAATGTCCACTTTAGGAAGTTTGGAAAGAGAAAAAGAGATTGGGCATGGTGGCTCAGGCCTGTAATCCCAGCATTTTTAGAGGTCAAGGAGGGCAGATTACCTGAGGTCGGGAGTTCAAGACCAGCTTGGCCAACATGGTGAAACTCCTGTCTCTACTGAAAATACAAAAATTAGCTGGGTGTGGTGGTGGGTGCCTATAATCCCAGCTACTTGGGAGGCTGAAACAGAAGAATTGCTTGAGCCAGGGAGGCAGAGGTTGCAGTGAGCCGAGATTGGGCCACTGCATTGCAGCCTGGGCAACAGAGCAAGACTCTGTCTAAAAAAAAAAAAAAAAAAAAAAAAATTGGAGTAAACCTAAATAAAATAAATTAAAGGAAATAAGGCTAAAAGTAGAAATAGACATTAATAAACTATAAACAAAGAAACAATAGGCAAGATTCCCAAAACCAAATGCTGATTCTTTGAAAAGAATAATAAAATAGGCACTCTTCTGGTAACATTGATTAATTAAAAAGAGAAGGCATAAATAAGCAATATTAGGAATAAAAAATGAAGTGTAACATAAAATATGAGTGAAAAAATAATAAAGTGAATACTATAAATGACTATATGACAACAGTCTAAAAACATAAGTGAAATGAACAACTTCGTTGGCTACTATAACTTATAAACACTTAGTCAAAAAGAAATGGGACACCCGAATATTCACGTATCTATTTTTAAAAATTCAATCAGTAAATACTTTTTCATAGAAAACACCCACTAGTATGAGATACTTTAATATGAAAGTTCTACCAAACATTCAAAGAACATATAAATAAGCACTATCATATCAAAATAATTTCAGAGAATGGAAAAAGAGGGAACACCTTCAATTCATTTTGTGAGGCTAACATAAATGCAATATAAATATTTAAGATCATTATAATCCAAGAAAATTGGAGGCCAAACTAAGCTTAGATACAAACATCTAAAATAAAATAATAGTAAATCTAGTAATGTATTCTAAAAAAAATTCTGGAGCAGTTGGGTATCTCAGGAATAGAAGCAAACGTTTAACAGTTTGCCCAAGCAGCTTTTATTTTATTTTATTATTTTTAAAGAGACAGGGTCTTGCCCTGTTGCCTGGGTTGGAATAGTGGCACGATCATATATCTCACAGCATCCTTGAACTCCTGGGTTCTAGGGACCCTCTGCCTTAGCCTCCTGAGTAGCTGGGACTACAGGCACACACCACAATGCCTAGCTAATTTTAAAAAAGTTTTTGTTTTGTAGAGATGCAGTCTCACTATGTTGCCCAAGCTAGCCTCAAACCCTTGGCTTCAAATGATTCTTCAACCTTGGTGCCCCAAAGTGTTGGGATTACAGGCGTCAGTCATGGCACCTGGCCTGAGCATATTTTAATAAGTCGCCCCATGTTTGGAGAATTTCTAACATTATTAATATTACTTTCCCAATGCAGAAACCAGGAACACAAGTTTTTAAACTTCCTTTGTCATGAAGGCATAGACACATGATGAACACACTGCTACTGACATTAATTTCTGCTTTTATCTGCATAGCTGGTACCTCCAGGAAAAGGAGAGGAATGAGTTTGGAAAATAGTACACAGGAAGCTTCAACTATATCTATAATGATTATATATATATATATATATATATATATATATATATATATATATATATTTTGAGTCTGGAGTGCAGTGACGCAATCTTGGCTCACTGCGACCTCTGCCTCTGCCTCCTGGGTTCAAGCGATTCTCCTGCCTCAGCCTCTTGAGTAGCTGGGACTACAGGTGCATGCCATGATGTCTGGTTAATTTTGTATTTTTTAGTAGAGATGGGGTTTCACCATGTTGGCCAGGCTGGTTTGAACACCCAACCTCAGGTGATCTGCCCGCCTCAGCCCCCAAAGTGCTGGGATTACAGGCGTGAACTACCGTGCCTGGCCAGATAATGCTTAAATTAGAAGGTTGCATGCATAAATATGATATCTTGGACATTGATGAGACCACATAGACAAACTATATAAAGGGAAAAGAGGAAAAGGCCCAGGTCTAAGTCCTGAGTGATATTTCATATTTAGAAGTTAGGAAAAGAAGAATGGAATATGGAAGACAAGAAAGGAAGAAGCAGTGAGGGAAGAAGAAATCCAGTAAGTGGTGCCTCAGAATTAGAAAAAAAAAAAAAGACAAGTGTTTCAATAAGAGAGTGATCATTGGCGTCAAAAGCTGCAAAGTTCTTGAATACGATGCAGACAGAAACGTTCACTGGATTTGGTTAATACACTTAGTCAGATAACAAAAAACCAGCAATTTCACCAGTTACGCTCCTTTTCATACTTCAGAGATGAAGGATAATATTCACTAGCCTATATAATATTCTAGGTTTTGAATGTCAAATAACATAACATAGGTGATTGTGTTAAATGTCAGAATATTTAAGGAATAATTATGTTGTAATATACAGGCCAGCGTGCATTTGTTGCTTGCTGGAGTAGTCAAGTTTTATTTCTGACAAGTCTGCAGTTCCAGTGAGCCTCTCCCTGGCTGAGTAACTCTCACCCATCCATCTGTCAGGGAGAGTTCGCTGTGCATCCCAAGTATCTTAGAATTGGGTAGAAGTTTAGCTTTAATTAGTTTGACCTTGAGTCTAGCAACAGGAGAGGGAACAGGCAGCGAAGAGGTCGTGAATGATGTCCCAGCAGCAGGAGACAGGGAGTGTCATTATCATTCCTGGTCTTCTCACAGGACTCTGAATACAGAGAGTGAGGAAGATTAGGGGGTCCTGTCTGCTGACTCCCTGATGATCTCAGACCCTCTCTGCTCTTTCTGGATGGTGACTTGTTAATTCTGGCATACTATTACTGATAATATATTTATCCTTTTCACTGTGATTTGCCCAATTGTTGCTTTAGCACTGGACCTTGTCAAGAAGTTGTTGGTAGTGGATCCAAAGGCACGTTTTATGAGAGAAGAAGCCTTAAGACACCGTGGCTTCAGGTGGGTGTGGGACAGTGCCTGCTAGCATAAAATACATGGGAAGCCCTGCTGCCTGAGAGACATGAGACAGAGGATAGAAACATGTTTAGTCTGTTTAATCTAATTGTTTTAGATGTATGGGGGGTATCTTGGAGGATGGGTTGCAACCTGTCTTTTTTTTTCTTTTTTGAGACAGGTTCTCCTTCTGTCACCCTGGCTGGAGTGCAGTGGCACGATCTCAGCTCACTGCAACCTCTGACCCCTGGGTTCAAGTGATTCTCCTGCCTCAACCTCCCAAGTAGCTGGGATTAAAGGTGCATGCTACCAAGCCCAACTACTTTTTGTATTTTTTGTAGAGATGGGGTTTCACCGTGTTGGCCAGGCTACAACCTTTTTGATGTTACTCATGGCTGTTGGATGTACAAGCTCACTTTATGTCCTGTTCTGGTTCCACTTGGCTTCCCTAAGTCTCCAGTCTGGCCTGTGTTCTTTTGAGGGCTTGTTCTGGCTCTACCCCCAGCCATGTCCACTGCTCTTCATAGGTGGGCTGCATTCCAGCCATCTTCAACCTTAAATAAGGGAAGTGGGGGAGGGGGAGGAGGGCAGCCTCCCTGGGGAGAATCCAGCTATTTCTCAAGCCCAAGTGACTGGTATAAAGGGTCCCACTGCTTGTTCATTCAGGTGAGTAAATGTGTCCTTAGTGAAGGCCGTCACCTGCACCTTTCATCTGTGTTAGTGCTGTGCTCCTGCTAGGTGTTGGGGCTGCCATTATTAAATCCTGACCTCATTTAGAACTGCCAAGAGTTGGAAGTACGTTTTGGCTTTGCTGGATTAATCTTTAGTTTTGGAATTAGCTATGCCATTGGGCAGGTTTTCTGATAGATGTCTGGTCTTCTCTAATGAGCAGTTCCATTCAACACAGCCATGTCCCTTTCTATTAATTTTCTTTTGGTCTGGGGATTAGTCTGTTCTCACACTGCTATAAAGAACTGCCCAAGACTGGGTAATTTATAAAGAAAGGAGGTTTAATTGACTCACAGCTCCACATGGCTGGGGAGGCCTCAGGAAACTTACAATCATGGTGGAAGGGGAAGAAGGTATGTCTTAATGGCAGCAGGTGAGAGAGCTTGTGAAGGAAGTGAAGGGCGAAGAGCCTTTTATGAAACTGTCAGATCTTGTGAGAACTCACTATCACGAGAATAGCCTGGGGGAAACTGCCCCCATGAGCCAATCACTTCTCAACAGGTCCCTTTCTCAACTCCTGGGGATTACAATTTGAGATGAGATTTGGGTAGGGACATAAAGCCAAACTGTATCAATCCGTTTTCTGTGGAGATGGGGGACAGAACTGGTAGCTTGAGCGAGAGGCTGTTACTTGAGCTAAATGCTGTTTCTCTGGGGATTACTGGTCCAGGAACTCCTTGGTCAATCCAGCCTCAGCCCCGTACTTCTGGGACTCTAGGAAGACTCTCCCCATTCTCTCTTCTAATACTCTACACCCAACAGTTTTGCTCAGGCCAGCTCAGGTTGAGAACAACAAAAACTTAAAAAAAAAAAGAAAAGACAGATATATGTGTTTTGGATGTTGCCCTGGAAACGACAGTCTCCCCAGAAGAAATCTGTCAGATGATTTAGCATTTAATAGACCACACAGATTTGAAACAGCGGGACCCTGGAGGAAAGGGCTTTGGAAACAAAGGGTGCCTTTGCATGTGAGGATTTTAATTTTGATGAAAAAGAGAAACATGTCTTTTGGCTCTTTTCATGTGTCCTATTAGGGAAACTCTTGGGTCTAAATGTAGAGGTACAGGAGCTGTGTTCATCTCTAGCAAAAAAGCAGAGCTGGCCTGTTGAGCCTGGGAACAGGGTTTGCATCTGCCTGAAATTTATGAGCAAGTGTAGCCCATTTTTCTTGTACTTCTTCGTCTCAAAGAAAACTTATTAACATCCAAGGAGAAGATGAAGTTCAACTCTGTGGCAGGATCTCCCTGGAATACTCTTTTAGCCACCTTTTGTTTTTGCAGTAAAAGGAGGAATGAGCATTGAATGAAGACAAGGATGAAGACTGACCATCTAAAATATCTGTTAGTGATAGTTTGGGTTTTATTTTGGGAAAATTCAGTGTTTTCACAAAAACCAAATGGTTTTGTGGGTCTGGCGCTGGATTGAGTGTTGGGAATGTGGATTCTGGTCTCTGTTTTGTCATTAACAGAGTGCCCAGTTTGGGGAGCATCCCTTACATCTACTGTCTGCCTCATATTTACTGCCTGAAATAGAGGATTTCTTCTGTTTGCTTTCAAGGGATATTATAATTTAGTTTTTATTTTATTTATTGGTGGAGACAAGGTCTTCTTCTGTTGCCTAAACTGGAGTGCACTGGTGCAATTATAGCTCACTGCAGCCTCGATCTCCTGGCCTTAAGGGATCCTCCTGCCTCAGCCTCACAAAGTGCTTGGATAATAGGCACAAGCCACTGTTCCTGGCTAATTTAATATTTTGGAATAATTGTAGACATCATGAAGAAAATCAATGTTTATTTATTTATTTCCTTTTTTGAGATGGAGTCTCGCTTTTGTCTACCAGGCTGGAGTGCAATGGTGTGATCTCAACTCACTGCAACCTCCACCTCTGGGTTCAAGTGATTCTCCTGCATCAGCCTCCCAAGTGGCTGGGATTACAGATGCCTGCCACCATGCCCAGCTCATTTTTGTATTTTTAGTAGAGATGGGGTTTCACCGTGTTGGTCAGACTAGTCTCAAACTCCTAACCTCTGGTGATCCACCCACCTTGGCCTCCCAAAGTGCTGGGATTCCAGGCATGAGCCACTGTGCCTGACCTGATTATTTGTTTTAAATATAGGCCTGATTAGGCTTGTGACCACTCTGTTTGGCCTCACTGAATGGCTGCCAAGAGATGGACTTTTGAGAGTGACACTGCAAGATAATTGAGATCCTAAGTAAGGCTGTGAGAGGGTGCAGAGAGGAATCCAGATGAGCTTGCTGCTGTCAAATGGCAATGGGGAGCTACACTGAGAAACTCAAAACAGAGTGATGTGTCCTGCCTTGGCCTCCCAAAGTGCTGGGATTACAGGCGTGAACCACTGTGCCTGGTCCTCCTTTCCTTCTTTCTTTCTTCCTCCTTCCTTCCCCCTCCCCTCTCCTCCATTTCTTTCCCCTCCCCTCTTTCATCCCCCCTCCCTTTTTCCTTCCTTGCTTCTTTCTTTCCTTCCTTCCTCAGGGTCTTGCTCTCTCACCTAGGCTGGAGTACAGTGGCATGATCACTGCACCATGACTTTCAGGCTCAAGCGATCTTCCTGCCCCAGCCTCCCAAGTAGCTGAGACTGCAGGTGCATGCCATCATGTCTGGCTAATTTAAATTTTTTTTTTTTTTTTTTTTTTGGAGACAGAGTCGTACTCTTTTGCCCAGGCTGGAGTGCAGTGGTGTGATCCTGGCTTACTGCAACCTCCGCCTCTCGAGTTCAAGCGATTCTCCTGCCTCAGCCTCCTGAGTAGCTGGGATTACAGGCATGCACTATCACGCCTGGCTAATTTTGTATTTTTAGTAGAGACGGGGTTTCACCATGTTAGCCAGGCTGATCTCAAACTTCTGACCTCAGGTGATTTTCCCGCCTTGGCCTCCCAAAGTGCTGGGATTACCGGCGTGAGCCTCCGTGCCTGGCCTAATTTTTAAATTTTTTTTGTAGTGACAAAGTCCCACTATATTGCCCAGGCTGGTCTCAAATTCCTGGCCTCAAGCAATTCTCCCACCTTGGCCTCCCAAAGTGCTGGGATTATAGGCATGAGCCACCATGCCCAACCTAGTGTTGTAAAATTTCCATATCCATCAAATTGCCAAATGGTGGAGGACTTTGCTGTATCCTCTCCCTTTCCCCACTGTGGTATGCTTGGCTCAGTGGGAAGAGGGGCTGGAGTTGGGTGGGAAAGTAAATGAGGCATTGGAATCAGATAACTCTGGGTCTGTATTGTGCACATGCCACCTGTGAGTGGCTGAGCTGGGCTTCTGGCCAACACGCAAAGGCCACATTCCTAGTTATAGTTGTTCCTTTCACCTTGCTGAAGATGGGGAGAGCTGCACCAGACCACCTCTCAGGGTTTCCTAATGTAAATCCTTGAACCCTGCAGAAGTAAGAATCCAGAGAGGTGGGAGCTACTCGTATACACACTGTTTGTGCCCTCCTCATCTCCCGCTCCTGCAGCATGAAACACCTGTAATGCTTTGTCCTGTTTATTGTCTCCCTTTCTCATTAGACCTGAGCTCTGGGATATTGTGGGCTTAAGTACTTCTGAAAATTTGTATGGCATCTGCTGGGTGAATTTTCCTAGGGTGCTGGGCTGGTTGTTAGGACAGCCTGGGTGACTGGCCTCATTCATGGCAGAGGCAGCAGGTGGAGAGTGGTCCCGGAAGGATTTGAGGATCTGCACGGAGTCAGGCCCGGCCCCTGGCCCCCTGATTGTCACCTTTCTCAGGATCTGGGATGCTAATTCAGAAACTCTTGACTGCTGGAGGCTGTGATTGACCCACTGAGAGCTTTTAGGCATGTGGATGTGAGTCAGCCAGGATTGATGGAACATTGACTGCTAATTGGACTCCTCTGGGAAGGTAGAGGGGGGCAACACATAATGCCTTCGCTGTGGGAGCTTCATCAAGGGCGTGATTCTTGGACGGACATCTTTTCCTCCCTCTTTCCACAGGGGCATGCTACCCCTGTCATTCTAGGAGTTTGCTGTCCTTCAGACACAGCTACTTATGTTTTTAATTCCCTCACAGGATGAAGACATGAAGAGAAAGTTTCAAGATCTTCTGTCTGAGGAAAATGAGTCCACAGCTCTATCTCAGGTTCTAGCCCAGGTATTCGTATTCCTGATGATCACTAAATGTAGTCTGGGCTTAAGGAGCTGATAAGCAAAGATGATGAAATTCAAGATTTTCCTGAGTAGCAATTGCTTAACATTGTTTCAGTTATAATGTAGTAGAAACTCTGTTTGAACTTGATTCACTCCAGCACCCTTAGATTTAAAAATGCAGGATATGTTTAATGTCTAACACATAATAGACAGATAAACACAGCTAGGGATTGTCATCCAAAAGGTCACCTGTAAGGCAATTTCGAAAGACTCTATTAGAGGCTCAAATATAAATTTGTTGGAAAAATTAAAATTTGGGTCAGTAGTTGATTCCTTGATTACAATTTTATTCTTTAAAGTTCTTTGTGAATATAGGTTAATTCCAGTCCTGCTTTTTTTGTTGTTGTTGTTGTTGAATGGTAGCTGTCCTTTTTCCCCACTGTTTCCTCCCCCCCGATTTTTTTTTCTTGAGACAGAGTCTTAGTCTGTCACTCAGGCCAGAGTGCAGTGGTGCAATCTCAGCTCACTGCAACCTCTGCCTCCTGGGTTCAAGCAGTTCTCCTGCCTCAGTCTCCCGAGTATCTGGGACTACAGGTGTCTGCCACTGTGCCAAGCTAATTTTTGTATTTTTAGGTGAGATGGGGTTTTGCCATGTAGGTCAGGCTTGTCTCGAACTTTTGACCTGAAGCGACCTGCCCACCTCGGCTTCCCAAAGTGCTGGGATTACAGGTGTGAGTCACCACACCCAGCCTTCCTCCCAATTTTGTATATGGGAAAACAACTAAGGCACAAAGGTTGTCTTCCCGCAAAAGACCAAGAGTTGGGGCTTCAACTGAGAGGTATTATAGTCCTTTTAAAGTTGATATTTAGAAGAAGATGATCAAGAGGAAGTTGGTTATGCTACTTGCTTTCAGTATACATCATTCAGAGGTCAGAAGCCATAAGGGAGAGAAATATCTATTAGATAAGCATGTCTGAGTTGTGGGCTGTGGTGAGGACTCAGTTGTCATTTTCCTTTATTTTCAGCCTTCTACTAGTCGAAAGCGGCCTCATGAAGGGGAAGCCGAGGGTGCCGAGACCACAAAGCGCCCGGCTGTGTTGTGAACTCCGTGGTTTGAACATGAAAGAAATGTACCTTCTTTCATTCTGTCATTTTTCTTTTCTTTGAGTCTGTTTTTTATAGTTTGTATTTTAATTATGGGAATAATTGCTTTTTCACAGTCACTGATGTACAATTAAAAACCTAATGGAACCTGGGCTTTGTGCTTCTGCTTGATAATCAGTTCTTTAGTTGAATGGCTTTATTATTTATTTATTTGGGACGGAGTCTCACTCTGTTGCCCAGCCTGAAGTGTAGTGGTGCAAGCTTGGAAGCTTGGCTCACTGCAACCTCTGCTTCCCAGGTTCAAGTGATTCTCGGGCCTCAGCCTCCTGAGTAGCTGGGATTACAGGTATGCACCACCATGCCAAGCTAATTTTTATATTTTTTTGTAGAGACAGGGTTTTGCCATGTTGGCCAGCCTGGTCTTGAACTTCTGACCTCAGGTGATCCGCCTGCCTCGGTCTCTTAAAGTGCTGGGATTACACACGTGAGCCACTGTGCCTAGCCTGAATGGCTTTTTTATATTTAAAGTTGTTGTGTGCCTTTCATCTGGAGCTACACCTTGGCTATCACTAGGCAGGTTTTCCAGGATGTCACCCTGGTCTCAGCCTGTGAGAGCTGAATACAAATTCTAAGGGCCCCTTGGAAAGTTCCAGGGAAAGGAGCATAGTGAGGTTGGGGGTGGAGTTTGTAGAGACTGGCTGGCTGGCTGCTGACATCTTCATGAGAACAGCAGGTACCTTGGTGCATAAAAACAGGCCAGGTTATATTCTCATCCTTGCCCTCATAAAGATACAGGTCTACAGTCTCTGAAACCTTTGGGGGTAGATAAGTTGTGAAATTTAATTACCCAATTTTAGGAAGGTGGTAAGGCATATCTACTATTTGTATGTGTAGCACCCCAGTGGAGTCCTACACATGTGGAGTCCTACCCCAGTGGAGACCAAACATGTTAATATTTCCACAGCAAATATTCACAGTAAGAGGGATAGAGAAAGATTATAGGCAGTTGCATATTGATTCATATCAGTCTTTTCTTCCAAATGAGCTACAGTGACTCATTTTTGAGAACTGTTTGGGTTTTGGAAGTGGAGATAAGGCATGGTTATGTCTTGTTGACCCAATAATGACCGGGGAGGCCCTGTGCAAAGACTTACCCTTGGCTGCTCTTGTCCAGGATGAAAATAACTTTTCTGATGTCGTGCAGCTGGTAAATGGCAGAGCTGGGACCCAACCCAGGTCTTTTTGACTCTAAAACTAATGTTCCTTCTTGTCTACTGAATCTGCTTTTATAACTTTGCTTGGTTGATGCTAGGACACTTTGTAGCTTGCTGGCCATGCCATGAATTGAGTGCCAAGGTTCAAAGGCCACTGGCGATTCAGTCAAGGCAGGGTCAAGGGCACACAGCCATTTCCTTAGGAAATGGGGATGGTGGTTGGAAATTTCTATTAAAGGGTATATATAAGCATTCTGAGACTTGGCTGGCCTGGTGTAGGGGGTTTGTTGGGAATTTAGGTGGTTTGCATGTTTAAAGGAATAAGGCTGAGATTGCCAATTAGATAGGTTTTAGCTCATTTGAATATTTAATGTGGAGGCTGTGGTTTCCTGGGACATTTTTCCCATTGTGGAGAGTTAGCCAGCTTTTCTCTGTTTCTTTTTCTTTTTCTTTTTTTTTTAATCGAGATGAAGTCTCATGCTTGTCACCCAGGCTGGAGTGCAATGGTGCGATCTCAGCTCACTGCAACCTCCGTCTACTGGGTTCAAGCGATTCTCCTGACTCAGCCTCCCGAGTAGCTGGGATTACAGGCACCTGCCACCATGCCCAGCTAATTTTTGTATTTTTAGTAGAGATGGGGTTTCACCATGTTGGTCAGTCTGGTCTTGAACCCCTGACCTCAGGCAATCCCCCCGCCTCCCTTCCAAGGTACTGGGATTAGAGGCATGAGCTACCATGCCCGGCCACCCTTCTCTGTTTCCAGAGCATTTTGTATTAACTCCTTCTCATGATATATTCCATGGCAGGCTGAATAATGGCCCCTCCAAAGTGTCCTCAACTTAATCCCTGGAATCTGTGACTATGTTCCTTTCCATGACAAAAGGGACTTTGCAGATGTGATTAAGCATCTTGAGATGGGAACTTATCCTATGTTGCCTGTGGGCCCAGTGTCCCATCACACTGCTTTTTTTTTTTTTTTTTGAGATGGAGTTTTTTGCTCTTGGTGCCCAGGCTGGAGTGCAATGGCACAATCTTGGCTCGCTGCAACTCCACCTCCCAAGGTTCAAGTGATTCTCTTGCCTCAGCCTTCCGAGTAGCTGGATTACAGGCGCTCGCCAACATGTCCAACTAATTTTTGTTTTTCCAGTAGAGATGGGGTTTCACCATTTTGGCCAGGCTAGTCTCGAACTCCTGACCTCGTGATCTGCCCACCTTGGCCTCCCAAAGTGCTGGGATTACAGGCTTGAGCCACCACATCCAGCCTACTGTGCTCTTTTAAGAGGGACTCAGCAGTCAGGGGAGATGGCAATGCGATGATGACTGAGTGTCTTCGTCTTTTTTGTATTGCTATGCAATATCTGAGACTGGGTAATTTATAAAGAACAGGTTTATTTCTTACAGTTCTGGAGGCTGGGAATGTCAAGATCAAGGGGCCTGCTTCTGGTGAGGGTCTTCTTGCTGTGTCATCCCATGATGGAAGGTATCACATCAAGAGAGAAAAGGGGGCTGAACTCAATCCATTTATTAGCAACCCATCCCCATGATAATTAACCCTCTGCTGAGATAACATCATTACTCTATTAATGAGGGCAGATCTTTCATGACCTAATCTCTTCTTAAAGGTCCCACCTCTCAACACTGTTGCATTGGAGATTAAATTTCCAACACATGAACTTTGGGGGACACATTCAAACCATAGCACTGTGCAGAGATTGGAGTGGTGTGCTTTAAAAATGGAGGAAAGGGCCACAATTCAGGGTATATAGGTAACCACTAAAAGCAGAAAAGGCAAGAAAACGGGTTTTCCCTTCAGAACCTCCTGAAGGAATCAGTCCTTTACAACTTGACTTTAGCCAAGGGAAACTGATTTGAGACTTCTGACCTATAGACAATAAGATATTAAGTCTGTGTTGATGTAAGCCAATCAGTTCGTGGTAATTTGTTACAGCAGCCATAGAAAACTAATTGACTCACAAATGGGAGAAATCAGCTGCTGGTTGAAGGCTACCAAACACCTACTTCCTTTCCTAACGTCACTTTAGTTTTATCTTGGAGGAATTATTTTCCCTATCCCATTAAGTCATGGGAGATGGGGCCAGGCATGGTGGCTTAGCAATCCCAGCACATTGGGAGGCTGAGGCGGGTGGATCACTTGAGGTTTGGAGTTTGAGACTAGCCTGGCCAACATAGTGAAACCCCATCTTTACTAAAAATACAAAAATTAACCAGGTGTGGTGGTTGTCACCTGTAATCCCAGCTACTCCAAAGGCTGTGGCATGAGAATTGCTTGAACCCAGGAGGCAGAGGTTGCAGTGAGCTGAGATCACACCACTGCACTCCAGCCTGGGTGACAGAGTGAGAATCCATCTCAAAAAAAAAAAATTATGGGAGAGGGTGGTAAAGCTAAGTATCTTTTGCACCTACTCCCCAGCCCCACCACTGCAGAAGCTGAAGGGGTTCCTAGAGGCGTCTTCTGCCATGCAGCTGTTCCCACTGACCCCTAGCTAGAGGTGGGTGTAGGACTTTGAAACATGAACAAATGGAGCTTGGATGGCAATGGCGGGAACAATATTGTGCTAATCTGAACTCTGCACTTCCTAACTTTGGTTCTGGGTAAATTACCTCAAATTGCTGAGCCTTTGTTTCCATATTTATAAAATGGGTGCGGTAAGAGTACCAACCTCTTTTATGCTGTCTGGAGGAGGCAGGTCCATAAGGTAACTGGCATGTGGTAAGGGATTCATGAATGTTGGCTTCTATCATTAAGGGTGTGGGAGCCACATAAGTAGCCAGAGGGAGTCATAGAAAGTTCTTGAGCCAGAGAAGTAAGATAATCTTTTCAGCTTTTTGTGCAGCATAAAAGGTGGGTAATTTGCTTGCCTTTGACCAAGCAAATTTGGGATGTGCCAGGCCTGGGGTGAATGGTGGGAACCCAAGTAGAGGGATATTTCTCTTTGACTGAATTAACTGTGACTCCGTTTTGCGGAGCAGCCAGGTTGCTTCATGGTGGACCTGCTGCATGCCTACATGATGGTGCTGTGGATAGCTCTTGTTTGTGCCAGCCCTGTACCTGATACCTCTTGTGGTAATTGCATCCCTATTTTTCAGAAGGAAGCATCCCTCCTCCCACTTTCTGGTTTTCCCCATGTCCTTCTGGAAGGGATATCCCCAACCGCTTCCTGAAGGGGCTTCATGAAAGCCAGGTCTGGCCAGGCTGGATGTGGTGATTGGCTCCGGCATGGGCATGTGGCCCAAACGGTTCCAGTGAAAGTCATTCCTGGGACTTTGGCTGGAACTATTGGGGAACAGCCTCTGCTTTCTTGGGCAGATGTGAGTTAGGAGCTGCTCAGGCCACTATGTGGAAAGAACTGCATGAGAATGAAGTAATCAAAGGGAAGCAAGCACTGAGAGATTAGAGAGACTTATCTTGTATAAATGCCTGTATCCAACTATGCCTGAAGTGAGGTACCACCCCAGGCCTTTTCAGTCATGCTATCAGTTTTGTTCCTTTTTTCTGTTTTACTCTTGGTGGAGTTATTTTTTTTTCCTTTTTACTTGAATAAGAAAAATACCAAACTAGAAGGCTGGGTGCGGTGGCTCATGCCTGTAATCCCAGTACTTTGGGAGGCCAGGGCAGGTGGATCACGAGGTCAGGAGTTTGAGATCAGCCTGACCAACATGGTGAAATCCCATCTCTATTAAAAATACAAAAAAATTAGCCGGGCATAGTGGTGTGTGCCTTTAATCCCAGCTACTCAGGAGGCTGAGACAGGAGAATCGCTTGCATCTGGGAGGCGGAGGTTGCAGTGAGCCGAGACCCTGCCACTGCACTCCAGCCTAGGTGACAGAGCAAGACTCCATCTCAAAAAAAACAAAACATCCAAAATTGACACCCTAACATCACAATTAAAAGAACTAGAAAAGCAAGAGCAAACACATTCAAAAGCTAGCAGAAGGCAAGAAATAACTAAAATCAGAGCAGAACTGAAGGAAATAGAGACATAAAAAAACCCTTCAAAAAATTAATGAATCCAGGAGCTGGTTTTTTGAAAGGATCAACAAAATAGATAGACCGCTAGCAAGACTAATAAAGAAAAAAGAGAGAAGAATCAAATAGATGCAATAAAAAATGATAAAGGGGATATCATCACCGATCCCACAGAAATACAAACTATCATCAGAGAATACTACAAACACCTCTATGCAAATAAACTAGAAAATCTAGAAGAAATGGATAAATTCCTCGACACATACACTCTCCCAAGACTAAACCAGAATGAAGTTGAATCTCTGAATAGACCAATAACAGGAGCTGAAATTGTGGCAATAATCAATAGCTTACCAACCAAAAAGAGTCCAGGACCAGATGGATTCACAGCCGAATTCTACTAGAGGTATAAGGAGGAACTGGTACCATTCCTTCTGAAACTATTCCAATCAATAGAAAAAGAGGGAGTCTTCCCTAACTCATTTTATGAGGCCAGTGTCATTCTCATACCAAAGCTGGGCAGAGACACAACCAAAAAAGATAATTTTAGACCAACATCCTTGATGAACATTGATGCAAAAATCCTCAATAAAATACTGGCAAACCGAATCCAGCAGCACATCAAAAAGCTTATCCACCATGATCAGGTGGGCTTCATCCCTGGGATGCAAGCCTGGTTCAACATATGCGAATCAATAAATGTAATCCAGCTTATAAACAGAACCAAAGACGAAAACCACATGATTATCTCAATAGATGCAGAAAAGGCATTTGACAAAATTCAACAACACTTCATGCTAAAAAGTCTCAATAAATTATGTATTGATGGGAAGTATTTCAAAATAATAAGAGCTATCTATGACAAACCCACAGCCAATATCATACTGAATGGGCAAAACTGGAAGCATTCCCTTTGAAAACTGGCACAAGACAGGGATGCCTTCTCTCACCACTCCTATTCAACATAGTGTTGGAAGTTCTGGCCAGGGCAATTAGGCAGGAGAAGGAAATAAAGGGTATTCAATTAGGAAAAGAGGAAGTCAAATTATCCCTGTTTGCAGATGACATGATTGTATATCTAGAAAACCCCATCATCTCAGCCCAAAATCTCCTTAAGCTGATAAGCAACTTCAGCAAAGTCTCAGGATACAAAATCAATGTACAAAAATTTCAAGCATTCTTATACACCAACAACAGACAAACAGAGAGCCAAATCATGAGGGAACTCCCATTCACAATTGCTTCAAAGAGAATAAAATACCTAGGAATCCAACTCACAAGGGATGTGAAGGACCTCTTCAAGGAGAACTACAATCCACTGCTCAAGGAAATAAAAGAGGATACAAACAAATGGAAGAACATTCCATGCTCATGGGTAAGAAGAATCAATATCATGAAAATGGCCATACTGCCCAAGGTAATTTATAGATTCAATGCCATCCCCATCAAGCTACCAATGACTTTCTTCATAGAATTGGAAAAACTACTTTAAAGTTCTTATGGAACCAAAAAAGAGCCCGCATCGCCAAGTCAATCCTAAGCCAAAAGAACAAAGCCGGAGGCATAACACTACCTGACTTGAAACTATACTACAAGAATACAGTAACCAAAACAGCATGGCACTGGTACCAAAACAGAGATATAGATCAATGGAACAGAACAGAGCCCTCAGAAATAATGCCACATATCTACAACTATCTGATCTTTGACAAAC
Organism: Homo sapiens; assembly: GCF_000001405.40. Taxonomy (NCBI): domain Eukaryota; kingdom Metazoa; phylum Chordata; class Mammalia; order Primates; family Hominidae; genus Homo; species Homo sapiens. Next base: position 38,726,147 of record NC_000010.11, read on the forward strand.
CTGAGAAAAACAAGCAATGGGGAAAGGACTCCCTATTTAATAAATGGTGCTGGGAAAACTGGCTGGCCATACGTAGAAAGCTGAAACTGGATCCCTTCCTTACACCTTATACAAAAATCAATTCAAGATGGATTAAAGACTTAAACGTTAGACCTAAAACCATAAAAACCCTAGAAGAAAACCTAGGCATTACCATTCAGGACATAGGCATGGGCAAGGACTTCATGTCTAAAACACCAAAAGCAATGGCAACAAAAGCCAAAATTGACAAATGGGATCTAATTAAACTAAAGAGCTTCTGCACAGCAAAAGAAACTACCATCAGAGTGAACAGGCAACCTACAAAATGGGAGAAAATTTTCACAATCTACTCATCTGACAAAGGGCTAATATCCAGAATCTACAATGAACTCCAATAAATTTACAAGAAAAAAACAAACAAACCCATCAAAAAGTGGGCGAAGGACATGAACAGACACTTCTCAAAAGAAGACATTTATGCAGCCAAAAAACACATGAAAAAATGTTCATCATCACTGGCCATCAGAGAAATCAAATCAAAACCACAATGAGATACCATCTCACACCAGTTAGAATGGCGATCATTAAAAAGTCAGGAAACAACAGGTGCTGGAGAGGATGTGGAGAAATAGGAACACTTTTACACTGTTGGTGGGACTGTAAACTAGTTCAACCATTGTGGAAGTCAGTGTGGCAATTCCTCAGGGATCTAGAAGTAGAAATACCATTTGACCGAGCCATCCCATTACTGGGTATATACCCAAAGGATTATAAATCATGCTGCTATAAAGACACATGCACACGTATGTTTATTGTGGCATTATTCACAATAGCAAAGACTTGGAACCAACCGAAAAGTCCAACAATGATAGACTGGATTAAGAAAATGTGGCACATATACACCATGAAATACTATGCAGCCATAAAAAATGATGAGTTCACGTCCTTTGTAGGGACATGGATGAAATTGGAAATCATCATTCTCAGTAAACCATGGCAAGAACAAAAAACCAAACACCGCACATTCTCACTCATAGGTGGGAATTGAACAATGAGATCACGTGGACACAGGAAGGGGAACATCACACTCTGGGGACTGTTGTGGGGTGGGGGGAGGGGTGAGGGATAGTACTGGGAGATATACCTAATGCTAGATGACGAGTTAGTGGGTGCAGCGCACCAGCATGGCACATATATACATATGTAACTAACCTGCACAATGTGCATATGTACCCCAAAACTTAAAGTATAATAGTAATAAAAAATTAAATTAAATTAAATTAAAAAAACATAAAAAAAGACTAGTAAATGCACCCATTTACAAATTCCAAGAGACTCTTGAAGATTCTTTTTGTTAGTAGGGAAAACATTCTCCATTTTTCTGCCAACTTTAGGGTTTTCAGAGAAGGTTGGCAGAGAGAAAGGAAAGTAAAGATGTGGGAAGAAAGAGTCCTTGCAGCCCCAAGTTGGGCGAACTCCTCCCACCTACTTATACCACAGGGTTTTGGGAGCAGAGCCCCTTTTATTAAACTTTTTAGGAGTCTTGGATGGATAGGGTGGGAATTACACCAGTGAAACTCATCTTTGTGTGTGCCAGGCATTGTGCCCTGGGATATGCAGTCATGTGTTGTATAATGACATTTTAGTCAATGACAAACCACATGTAAGTCAGTGGACCATAAGACGATTATGGAGCTGAAAAATTCCTATTGCTTAGTGACATAGCCATTGTATGTTAGGGTAATGCATTTGTGTGTTTCTGGTGATGCTGGTGTAAACAAATCTGTGCTGCCAGTTCTATAAAAGCCTAGCATGTACAATTACATACAATATGTAATACTTGATAATGAACAACTATGTTACTGGTTTATTTTTTTGAGACAGAGTCTTGTTCTGTCGCACAGCCTGGAGTGCAGTGGCGCGATCTTGGCTCACTGCAACTTCTGCCTCACAGGTTGAAGCGATTCTTCTGCCTCAGCCTCCTGAGTAGCAGGGAATACAGGCACCCACGACCACAGCCAGCTAATCTTTGTATTTTTAGCAGAGATGGGGTTTCACCACACTGCCCAGGCTGGTCTCAAACTCCTGACCTCAAATGATCTGCCCTCCTCAGCCTCCTGAAGTGCTGGGATTACCCACATGAGACACTGTGCCCAGCCCTGGTGTATTTAGTGTTTTTCATAATTTTAGAATGTATGTTTTCTACTTACATTAAAAAATAGTTAACTATAAAACAGCCTCAGGCAGGTCCTTCAGGAAGTGTTCTGGAAGAAGAAGGCATTGTTATCACAGGAGATGACAGCTCCATGCGTGTAATTGCCCAGGCTGGAGTGCAGTGGCACGATCTCGGCTCACTGCAAACTCCGCCTCCTGGGTTCAAGCGATTCTCCTCCGTCAGTCTCCTGAGTAGCTGGGATTACAGGTGCACACCACCATGCCTGGCTAAGTTTTGTATTTTTAGTAGAGATGAGGGTTTCACCACATTGGCGAGGATGGTCTCGAACTCCTGACCTCAAATGATCTGCCTGCCTTGGCCTCCCAAAGTGCTGGGATTACAGGTGTGAGACAACACGACTGGCAAAATATTTTAAGATACATTTCAGTAAGCTAAGGTTAATTTATTGAAGAAAAGCCTTAAAAAATTTTGGTGTAGCCTAAGCATATGGTGTTTATAAAGTCTACAGTAGTGTACAGTAAGGTCCTATGCCTTCACACTCACTGACTCACCACAGCATCTTCCAGTCCTGCAAGCTCCTTTCATGGTAAGTGCCCTATACAGGAGTACCATTTTAAAATATCTTATACTCTATTCTTACTGTACCTTCTCTATGTTCAGGTACACAAGTACTTACATTGTGTTACAACTGCTTATGGTATATTCAGTAAAGTATCAGGCTGTACAGGTATGTAGCCTAGGAGCAATAGGCTACGCCATACAGCCTAGGTGTTTATAGGCTATACAAGGCTATACAAGGTTTGTGTAAATGCACTTTGCTGTTTGCACAATGCTGCAATCACCTAAGGAGGCATTTCTCAGAACCATCCCGTGATTAAGAGAGGCATGATCGTACAGTCATCATCTCCCTGAAAGCTCAGTCAACCCTGTGCAGTGCTACTGCCACACTCCCCTTTTGCACATGTAGAAATGAAGGATCTTTGGCTCCTCTGAGTGACTTGTTCAAGGTTTCTCAGTTTCCAAGAGATGGAGGCAGGACTTGAATTGAGATTTCCCTATCTTGAGAACCTGTGGTCCTTAACCATTAAAACCACTTAAGAGGTCTTCTCTCTTGATCACTACCTACTAAGTGCTAGGCGCGGTGCTGAGGCGTTCTCTTGATTATCATATTGAGTCTTTAGATTTAGGAGAAACAGGCCGAGTGCACTGGCTCATGCCTGTAATCTCAGCACTTTGGGAAGCCGAGGCAGGAGGATCACGAGGTCAGGAGATGGAGACCATCCTGGCTAACACGGTGAAGCCCCACCTCTACTAAAAATACAAAAATTAGCAGGCGGTGGCGGGCACCTGTAGTCTCAGCTGCTCGGGAGGCTGAGGCAGAAGAATGGCATGAACCCGGGAGGCGGAGCTTGCAGTGAGCCGAGATCGCGCCACAGCACTCCAGCCTGGGTGACAGAGCGAGACTGTCTCAAAAAAAAAAAAAAAAAAAGATTTAGGAGAAACAAGTCCCGAAGCCCTGACCATAACACGCAAGGGTTAGTGGAGTTGTGGGACTTGAACTCAGCTTCTCCGTTGAGTCTGTCTGTCTCTGGGATGCAGGCACGTGCTTGCACACTTCCACGGTGGCGATCCCGCCCCCTTAGTAGCGTCCTTAGCTCGGCACTTCTTGCAGGGAAGTTCCTGTTGGCCCAGACCCTCGTCCTAGGCTCCGCGTTGTGGGGGAAGCGAAAGGGGCAGTGTGGGGAAGTGGCCGAGGGGTCCGGTCCGGGGTGGTCTGCAGAGATGCAGGCGGCAGTTCGGAGCCGGGAACCACGCGTTCACCCGCCAAGTCGGACAGGCCTGGCGGGGTGGGCGAGACACTGGGAACAGCAGCCAGCTCCAGAGGGCGCGAGGCGGGGTGCGCGGGGAGCGGGGGGGCGCACGCGGTTGGGGGGCAGTGAGGGTCGCCGCGGCGGCACGCAGCACGGCGGGAACATGGCGCATGGAACTGGTGCACGCGCCTAGTTGGCGGGACCATTAGCTCGAGGCGGACGCGGCCCGGACCCCGTGGATATGGGGCAGTCGCCGCCTCCGGCGCCCGAGCCGACCCAAGGGCCGACCCCCGCAAGGAGCTGAAGGCAGCGGGAGCCCGAGTCGCCGCCGACGTCGGCGCCGGTGAGTGCTTGAGGGGCTCGGGCCAGGAGACTTTCTTTGTGAAACTCCGGCGGTGGGAGCCGGGCCAGGCCTCAGCGGCTGAGGAGTGCCTGTGAGGCAGAAGGCGTCTCGCAGTCCGGGTTCGATCCCAGCTGCGAGCCGTCAGGCGGCAGGACCTGGTCTGCTGCCTGCCTGCCTCAGTTTCCACGGGAGTGTGTGTGGGTGTGTGTGGGTGTGTGAGGGTGTGTATGGGTGTTGGCCTGCGCACACCGGAGGGGGGGTCGGTATACAGTCGGCGCCTAATGCGCGCAGCGCCTCCCCCCTCCCCCCAGTCCCCGTGGGGCAGAACCTGGGGACTGGAGTCCACCAGAGCAGTAGGCGGCACCTGCGGGGAGACAGGTGTCGGCGCAGCCTCGGAGGCTCAGGTGCTACTTTTCCCGGGTGGGGTTTGTGAGGGGTGAGCTCTTCGTCCCCGGAGGCGAGCAAGTCTGTCAGTGGCTCATCACAGAGAGCTGTTTTGGAAAGCGTTCCACCCACCTCAGCTTCGTGCTGTGTTTGGGCCACTAGTCAGGGGGAAGGATGCTGAGCGACATGGACTTTAGAGGTGGGGCTCCCGCTGGACAGAATGGCTCTGGGCTCTCCAGCTTACCCCTACCCTTGCCTCCCAAACCCGTTAGAGTGTAGGAATCATTGGGAGCACCTGATAAAAATGCCACGGATTGTGGCTCACCAAAGCAGGGAAGCCGATTTGGAACTTAAGCTCCCAAGTTGTGATCAGTCGAGCTTGGCAAGCACTGTTTTAGAGAGTAGGCTTCCTGCATGCAAGAGCCGGTTTTGTGTATACCTCACCATGGCATCTTGGTACCTGGCATGGTGCCTGGCACACGGTAGATGATCATAAAATATCTGTAGAAAGTCTAAATTATTAGGGAGAGTGCAGCATAGGAGTTCTTGAGACATTTTCAGGAGCTTCTTGAGACTAATATCTGTCAGGTTTGTTTTACAGTATATGATTTTTCTCAGCTCCCAACTTTTGTGATTGTTTTTAATGCCATGTTTTCAGTATGTTCTAGGCAAAAGCAGGGTATATGTTGCTTAGTATACACTATCCACTAGGCCGGTTGAGGTGGCTCACTCCTGTAATCTCAGCACTTTGGGAGGCAGATTGCTTGAGGCCAGGGGCTTGAGGCTGTAGTGAGCCAAGGAGTTAGAGGCCAGTGTGGGAAATATAGCGAGGCTCGTCTCCGCAAAAATTAGCTGAGTGTGGTAGCGTGCATTTGCAGTCCCAGCTACTCTGGAGGCTGTGGTGGGAGGATCGCTTGAGCTCAGGAAGTACAAGTTGCAGTGAGCCAAAGTTGTGCCACTGCATTCCAGCCTGGATAACACAGCGAAACCCAGTCTCTTAAATAAGTAAATAAATACATAAATGATTATGTATACTCCAGCTAGGTTAAAATTAATTCTGAATCAAAATTCTAAATTAAAATATGCATGTTTCTTTCTCTTCATCATTTGAGAACACTAGGCTTTTAGGATTTCATTCCGTTGGGGCACGTAAATATCTACATTTTTGACAAAGCAAATATGAATTACTGTTAATTCAAGAAAGGTGGGAATTTGCTTAAACCTGAGTATTTGTAGTCTTTGTGATTTTTTTAAACTTTAAATATAAGTTTTCTTTTTTTTTCTTTTTTTTTTTGAGATGGAGTCTCACTCTGTCATCCAGGCTGTAGTGCAGTAGCACAATCTCAGGTCACTACAACCTCCACCTCCCGAATTCAAGCAATTCCCCAGCCTCAGCCACTGGTGTAGCTGGCATTACAAGTGTGTGCCACCACGCCCAGCTAATTTATGTATTTTTAGTAGAGAGGAGGTTTCTCTGTGTTGCCCAGGCTGGTCCCAAACTCCTTGACCTCAAGTGATCTGCCCACCTTGGCCTCCCAAAGTGCTGGGATTACAGGCGTGAGCCACGGCACCTGGCCTTATTTTTATTTTTTTGAGACAGAGTCTCAGTCTGTCGCCCAGGTTGGAGTGCTGTGGCATGATCTCCACTCACTGCAACCTCCACCTCCCAGATTCCAGCGATTCTAATGCCTCAGCCTCCTGAGTAGCTGGGGTTACTAGACCCGGCTAATTTTTGTTGTATTTTTTTAGTAGAGACTGGGTTTCCCTATGTTGGCCAGGCTGCTCTGGAACTCCTGGCCTCTAGTGATCCACCTGCCTTGTCCTCCCAAAGTGCTGGAATTACAGGCATGAGCCACTGCCCCTAGCCAATCTTTGTGATATTTTGAAATTGAGGTTTATATTTTGTTCAGAGTCAAAGCTAAAATAGAATTGTTTGAAAATTAATATTTCAGGAACTATTTTTTAATTAAGTTGAATTTTATTTTATTAGTTTCATTTCAGTAGGGTTTTAACTTAAAAAAATATATGTGTATATATATACATATATGTGTATATATATATATGTATATATATACACATATATATATATACACATATATATATACGTATATATATATATATACGTATATATATATATATATATTTTTTTTTTCCTGAGATGGAGTCTTGCTCTGTCACCCAGGCTGGAGTGCAATGGCATGATCTTGGCCTCACTGCAGCCTCCACCCTCCCGGCTCAAGCAATTCTCCTGCCTTAGCCTCCCAAGTAGCTGTGACTACAGGTGCCCACCACCACACCTGGCTAATTTTTATATTTTTAGTAGAGATGGGGTTTCACCATGTTATCCAGGCTGGTTTTGAACTCCTGATCTCAAATGATCTGCCCTCCTTGGCCTCCCAAAGTGCTGGGATTACAGGCATGAGCCACAGTGCCTGGCCTAAAAAATATTTTTAAAGACAGGATCTAGCTATGTTGCCTCAGCTTGTCTTGAACTCCCAGTCTTGGCCTCAAGTGATCCTTCTGCCTCGGCATTCAGAGTAGCTGGAAGCACAGCTGTGAGCCAGCACACCTGGTTTTTTTTTATTTCTAATAAAAAATTAATAGAGTTTCTTGTTTCACTGGACAAAATATGCATATATAGGAAGGAAAGACTTTTGGACTTGAGATTGTGCTGAAGAAGAAAAATGGAAAAATTAAGCATTTTAGTCTCTCAGTGTGTTATTTTTGTAGCTTATACAGATATGTCTTTTTAAAGTGTCTTTAAAAGCTTTATTGAGATAAAGATAAATGAGCTAAATTCACCTACCATGAAATCAACCCCTTGAGTGCAGAATTTTGTGGTTTATAATATGTTCACAGAATCACACAAACAAGACAGGTATCTAGATACTTTCAGACCATTTTCATCAGTCCACAAGAAACCTCATACCCATTAGCAGTCATCCTTGTTCCCTTTTCCCCTAGTCCCTGGCAATAACTAGCCTACTTTCTGTCTCTGAGTTTAGCTCTTCTGGAGGTTTCACAGAATGAAATCTTACTACATATGGTCTTTTGTGATTGACTTATTTCACTTGGCACAGTGTTTTCAAGGTTTATCCATGCTGTAGCGTATATCAGCACTTCATTTTTTTAATGCTGAGTAATCTTTTGAATGGATGTACCATATTTTATCAGTTCCTCTGTTGATAAGCACTTGAGCTTTTTTTCCAATTTTTGGCTATTATGCACAATGCTGCTGTGAACATTTGTGTACAAATTTTAGTGTGGATGTATATTTTCATTTCCCTTGGTTGTATCACTAAGGAATACACTATCTGGGTCATATGATAATTGTTTAAAACTACAGGCACGTGCCACCACACCTGGCAAATATTTAAAATTTTTTTTGTAGATAAAGGGTCTCACTATGTTGCCCAGGCTGACCTTGAACTCCTGGCCTCAAAAGATCCTCTCACCTCAGCCTCCCAGAAAGTGTTGGGATTACAGTTGTGAGTCACTGCACCTATAAAAGAGGCTCATACCTCTTTTTACGTATTTTTTTTTTTTGAGACAGTGTTTCACTCTGTTGCCCAGGCTGGAGTGCAGTGGTGGGATCACAACTCAATGCAGCCTGGACCTCACTCCATATGATTCTAGTTGTGGGTGTCTTTCCTGTAGTTTTTATTATGTTGTGGTATGTTTCTTCTGTACCTGTTTCTTTAAGGATTAATAGCATGAAGGGATGTTGAATTTTATCAAATACTTTTTCAGTTTCAGTTGACATGATCATACTGTTTTTGTCATTTATTTGGTTGATATGATGTATCACATTGTATGTTAAGTGACCCATGCATCCCAGGGATACATCCCATTTGATCATGATGAATTATCTTTTTAATGTATTACTGAATTTGATTCACTGGTATTTTGTTGAGGATTTTTGCATCAATATTAGAGATACTGGCCTGTAGTTTCCTTCTTTGATGCCTTTGTCTGATTTTGGTATCAAAGTAATAATGGTCTCATAGAATAAGTTTGGAAGTATTCCCTCCTGTTTTTCAAAATAGTTGCAGTAGGATTCGTACTAGGTCTTTAAACTGTTTGGTGTGAAGCCATCAGCAGTGAAGACATCAGTTCCTGGGCTTTTCTTTACTGGGAGACTTTTTCTGATGGCTTCAATCTCATTACTTGTTACCGATCTGTTCTGGTCTTGGATGTTTTCATTGTTCAACCTAAGTAGGTTGTATGCATCTAGGAATTTGCCAATTTCTACTAGGCTTTCCAATTTATTGGCATATAATAGCCAGTTATGATCCTTTGAATTTCTGAACTATTAGTTGTAATGTCTCTTTTTTATCTGTTGATTTTATTTATTTGAATCTTGTCTCTTTTTTCTTAGTTAGCCTGGTTAAAAGTTTGTCAATTTTGTTTTGCTTTCCAGAAAACCAACTTTTCATTTAATCTTGTGTGTTTTTTCTTTCAATTTTATTTCTGCTACGATCTTATTTATTTTCTTATTTTCGGTTTAGTTTGTTCTTATTTTACTAGTTCTTTAAGATGTATTGTTTACTTGAAGTTTTTCTTTTGTTTGGATGGTATGCACTTATAGCTGTAAATCTCCGCCTTTGTACTGCTTTCTGCGTAACAAGTTTTGGTATACTGTGTTTTCTTTACCCTTTGTTTCATGAAATTTTTGAATTTCTGTCTTAATATCTTCATTGACCCGCTAGTCATTTATTCAGGAGGGTAGTGTTTAACTTCCATGTGATTGTATTGTTTCCAAAATTACTCTTCTTATTGATACCTAGTTTTATTCCTTTGTAGTCAAAGAAGATGGCCACAGAGACAGCAGCGTGGTCAGAGTGGTAGGAGCCAGCCATCGGCGAGAGCTGCTTCGTGCCTGGCCTGCTGGGTGCTAGAGCCTGTGGCCCACTGGCTTGCCTCACTGTGGTTGGTGGTGGCAGTGACAGAGACTGCAGCACGACCAGAGTGGTAGGACAGGGGCTATCCAGGGCTGCACCTTTCGCAGTGTGGGGTGGGTTGGGGGCGCTATCCAGGGTGTCATTGCCTGCATTATGGCTACTGGTTGGTAGCACTGTACAGGGCTGCACTGCCTATGGCAGGGAGGGTGGGTTATGGGCACTTTCTGGGGCTGCAATGCCCATAGAGTAGGACAGGTTAGGGCACTATTGGGTATACGCTATTTGTGGCATTGGGGGACGGAGGTGGGGGGCGCTATTGAGGGCAGGACTAGCCGTGAAGGGCGGGCGAGTTCGTTGCTATCAGGGACTGCACTGCTGGCGGCGGTCAGCAGAGTTGGCATCCAAGGAAGGAGTGGTTCTCCTCTCCCTGACTCCACACTCCAGAGGGCGACCAACTCTTGGTCATACTGGAGTGTGGCAGGCGTGCAGTGTTTGCGTGGGAATCCTGAGCATGACAGAGCCCCCACACCCACCATGGTTCCTGGGCCTGTGCACTCTGGGTCTGTGCCTCAGAGGCTGCCAGGCACCCCTGGAGACACCATGGGGGACAGGGCCCTGTGTGTGGAGGCATCCGGAACAGGAATTGGCACCTGGGTGCGGAGGGCTGGCTGGGTGTGAATTTTTCTGCTTCTCCTGCTCCCTGAGGAGTGCAGCCCTGGTGGGCCCAATGGTTCCTGTGGAGTGGGGAGCTGGGTGCTGTGGTGTCTCCAGCACCCACCCCAGACCCCAGTTCCCGGAGAGCTTGGGCCAAAAGGAGAGGCTGGACTTTGGAGGGTGGGTGTGAGTGCCTTTGTTGAAACTGGCCCCTGCCACCCAGTGGCCAGCATGACAAGTTGAGGCTCTAACCCTTCCACCCCTCACATCTTCCTCTAGGCTTTTCTGGCTTTGCCCGCCCAGCTGCTCCATGCCAGGAGGAGGAGGAGACACCTAGAGCCTGCGACACCACGACTCGCCTCGCTGCGGGAGGGTGGCAGCGATGGAGACTGCAGTGCGCCAGAGCGGTAGGAGAGCGGTCGTGCTAGGAGGGCAGGCGGCTGCAGCCAGGGTTGGGGATCAGGCTTACAGTGATGGACGAGCTGCAACAGTGGCCAGGTGGTAGGAGCCTTGTAGGGAGGGCTGGTGCATTGGCAATGGGCCTGGCTTTGTCCTTTCTTGCGCTGTAACTGCCCTACTGTTACCTGGACTGTCTTGGCCCTGTCCTGCTCTGGTCCCATCCTGACCCTGTCTTGGCCCTGTGCTACCGTGTCCCTGCCCTGGTCTTGCCCTGGCAGTGGCCCTGCCCTGAACCTGCACTGGCCTGACCTTGGCTCTGGCCCTGGCTCTGGCCCTGCCCCTTGTCCTGACCCTGGTCATGTCATGGCACTGGCCCTGCCAGTGGTCATGGTCCTACTCCTGTTCTGGCCCTGACCTGGTCTTGGACATGTCCTGGTCTTGCTTTGGCCCATCCCTGCCCTGGCCCCACCATAGGCCTGCCTGTTCTGCCCTCTCCTGGCACTGACCTTGCCCTGTCATGGCCCAGTGGTGCCATTGCCCTGCCTTACGCTGCGATGGTTGTGCCTTGGCCCCGCTTGGTGCTGGCCGCTCCCTGGACCTGCCCAGACCCTGCCTCGACTTTTGCCCTGCCCTCACTTTGGCCTGGCCCTGGCCCTAGCCCTGGTCCTGCCATATCCCTGGCCCTGCCCTTATCCAGGCCCTGCCCCTGCTGCTGCCCTGGCCCTGGCCTGGAACCTGGTCCTGTCAAGGACCTGCCCTGACTCTGCCATGGCCCTGGCCCTGCTCTGCCTTGTTCCTGGCCCTGACCCTTTCCTGGCTCTGCACTGGCCTTTCCCTGGCCCTGAGCTGGCAGTGGTCTGCCCCTGGTCTTGCCATCACCCTGCCCTGCTGTTCTCTGCATGTGTCATCACCCTGCCCTGGCCCTACTCTGTCTTTGACCCTGCCCTGGCCTTACCTTGGCCCTCACCCTAGTCTTCACTAGGCCCTGCTCTGGAGCTGGCCCTAGCACAGACCTGGCCCTGACCCTGGCCCTGGTCTTTGTCCTGCCATAGCTCTGGCCCTGAAGTGGACTTGGAGGTGTCCTGGCCCCGGCATAACATGGCTCTGCATTGGCCTGTCCCTGCCCTGCCCCTACCATCGCCTTGCCCTGCTCTGCCCTGTCCCAGTACTGACCCGGCCATGTAATTTCCCTGCCCTACCCTGCCTTGGCTGTGCCCTGGCTCAGTTCTGGCCCTGGCCCCAGCCCTGCCCCGGACATGCTCTGACTCTGTCTCAGCCTTGGCACTAGCCTGGCTCTTTCTTGGCATCAGCCCTGCTCTCTGTGGACCGGCTCTTGTCCTGTCCTGCACTGGCCATACCATGCCCTGCCCTGCCCTGCCCTGACTCAGCCCTGGCCCAGCCCTGGCCCAGCCTTGGCCTTGGCATTACCCCTGGTCATGCCATATTTCTTGCCCTGTCCCTACCCTGGCCTTGGCCCTGACCCATACCTTGCTCTGGCCCTGCCCTTGCCCTAACGCAGCCCCTGGCCCTGTCATGGCCCTGCCCTGGACCTGTCCTGGCCCTGGCCCTTCCCTGCTTGAGACAATGCCCTGGTTCTCCCCTGGCCCTGACCCTGAAATGCCTGGCCCTACCCTGGCCTTGCACTGCTCTGGCCCTTGCCCTGACTCTGGTCCTGTCACTGGCCTAGCCCCAGCCCTGTTGCTGGTCTTACCATGCCCCTGACCCTGCCTTGGCCCTGCCCTGACACTGTCCTGGACCCTGGCTGTGCCAAGATCCTGCACTGTCCTTGTCCTTGTTTTGCTCCTGCCCCAAACCTGGTCCTGCCCAGGCCCTGGCCCTGGCCCTGCCCTGGCTGTTCCCTGGCCCTGCCCAGGTCTTGGCACTGGCCTGGCCCTTCCCTGCCTTGGCCCTATGCTTTCCTGGCCCTGCCTTGCCGGCCCTGGTCCTGCCTTGGCCCTAGCCTGGCTTTGACCCTGCCCTGGCCCTACCTTGGCCTTCACCCTAGCCTTACCTGGGCACTGTGTTGGACCTGGCCATAGCACAGACCTGGTTGTGGCCCTGGCCCTGCCATGGCCCTGTCCCAGACCCTAGCCCTGCCAGGTACCTGTCCTGGCCCTGCTCTGGGCCTGGCTTTGTCCCTGGTTCTTAGATGACCCTGGCCCTGTCCCTGCCCTTGTCCTTGCCCTGGCACTGGCCTTGGACATATCCGTGGTCCTAACCCTGGCCCTGCCCTGGAGCTGCCACTGTCTTTGCCCTGCCCTGGCTCTGGCCCTGCCCCAGCCCTTGCCCTGCCCCGGCCCCAGCCATAGACCTGCCCTGGTTGGTCGTGCCCTACCTTAACCCTGTTCTACCCTGGGCCTGCTCCACCCTGCCCTTGCCCTGCCCTCCGTTTGGCCCTGCCCTGATCCCACCTTGGCCCTCACACTGGCCCTAGCACAGAACTGGTCCTATCTGTGGTTTGGCCTGGCATTGACCCCTGCTCCTGACCCTGGTCCTGCCATGGCCCTGGCCCTGCCAATGACCCTGACAGCCCTGGCCCTGGCCCTGTCTTAGTCCTGGCCCTGAACTGGCCCTGCCCTGACCCTGGCCCTGAAGTGGATTTGCAGGTGTCTTGTCCCTGATTTAACCTGGCCCTACCATGGCCCTGTCCCTCCCCTGGCTCTGTCCTGGTCTTGTGCTGACCCTGACCCAGACCTTGGCCCTGCCCCAGCCTTGTCCTTGGCCTGGCCATGGCCCTGCCTCTGCCCTGGACCGGTGCTGGCACTGGCATGGACCCTGGCCCTGGCCCTTCACTACTTAAGGCCATACCCTGACCCAGCCCTGGTCCTCACCCTGTCCTGGCCCTAATTTGGCCTGGCTCTACCCTGGCATGCTATTCTGGCCCTAGCCCTGACCCTGTCCCTGTCCCTGTCCCTGTCCTGGCCCTAGCCTGGTTGCTGGTTCGGCCATGGCTCTTATCCTGACATTGCCCTTTCCTGGTCCTGGCCCTGGCGCTGTCACAGCCCTGCTCTGGCCCTGGTCTCAACCCTGGCCCTGCAATGGACCCTCCTTGGTCCTGCCCAGACCCTGGTTCTGGCCCTACCTCTGTCCTGGCCATACCCTTGCCCTGGCCTGGACCCCGGTCCTGGTCCTTGTCCTGCCCCAGGCGTGGCCCTGGCCCTGCCCTGCCTGTGCCCTGTTCTATCCTGGGCTGGCCCTGCCATGGCCTGGTCTTGCCATTGCCCTGCCCTAACCTGCCCTGCTTGTGCCCTAGATCTGCCCCGGCCTTTGCCCTGTCTTTGTTCCAGCCTTGACTCAGCCCTGGACATTCCCTGACCTTGCCTCAGCCCTGGCACTACACTGGCCTTGCCTTGGCATTTGCCCTACTCTCTCTATGGCCTGGCTCTGGTCCTGCCCTGCTCTGCTCTTGTTCTGTCCTGACACAGCCCTGGCCCTGGCCCTGGCCCTGGCCCTGCCATATCACTGGCTCTCGTCCAGCCCTTATGCAGGCCTGACCCTGCCCCTGCCTTCGCTTTGGCCTGGACCTAGGCCATACAGTGACCCTGCCATGACCCTTTCCTGGCCCTGGCCTGGAACCTGGACCTGCCAAGGACTCGCCCTGGCTCTGTCATGTCCCTGGCCTTTTCCTGGATTTGGATGTGTCGTGTCCCTTATTTGCCCCGACCCTTCCCTGGCTCTGCCATACCCCTTCTCTGGGGTAGGGCCAGGGTCAGGACCAGGGTAGGGCCATGGTAAGGCCTGAAGATGGGAAGGGCCAGGGCAGCGGCAGGACCAGGGAAGGGTCAGGGCCAGGGATGTGGTAGGACTAGGGGCGGAGCCGGCACTAGGGCTGAGCCGGGCAGAGCAGGGGAGCTTACATTAGGCTATTACGTAAAATTTTTATTTTTGATTTTTAAGATAACTATAGTAGTGGTAATAATGTCTCTACTATGTTGTTTGTAATAGTAATAATATTTACAGTAAATAATCACTAAATTTTAACTAATACTATCTCTGCTTCCAGTACTGTTCTATGAGTATAATTTTATCAATATGTAAATATGTGAGGCATTGATTCTCACAATAATTCTATGTGCTAGGTACTTAAAGCATCCCCATTTTCCAAATGTAGGAAACAGCCATAAAGAAGTTAAATACTTGGCCAGATTACTCCTGTAATCCCAGCACTTTGGGAGGCCAAGGCAGGCAGATGGCTTGAGCTCAGGAGTTTGGAACCAGCCTGGGCAACATTGTGAAACCCCATCTCTACTAAAAATGCACAAAAAGAGCTGATTTAAGTTTCTTGTAGGATTCTGGTTATAAAACACTGGTCAAACACATAGGGCATGGATAGGGCAGGGCCAGGGACAAGGTCAGGTCAGGAAGGGGCCAGGGCCAAGGCAGGGCTAGAGCTGGACTTGGAGGTGTCCTGGTCTGATTTGCCCTGCCTCTACATTGGCCCAGCCCTGGTCTGGCACTTCCTGTCATGCCCTGTCCCTGGCCTGAGCATTGACTCTGGCCCTGTCCTGCTTCTGGCCCTGCCCCGGAGTTGACCAGACACTGCCATGGCCCAGCCCTGCATTGCCCTGCCCTCCCCTGCCCTGGTGCTGCCATGGCCCTGCTTGGGCCGTAGCTCTGCCTCAATTCTGAACCCGCCCTGACTCTGCTCAGCTCTGGATCTACCCTGACTCTGCCTTGGAGTTGCCCTCCCATCTCTATGGCCTGGCTCTGGCCCTGCCTTGCACAGGCCATGCTCTGCCCTGTGTGTCCCAGCCAGGGCCCAGCCCTTGCCCTACCATATTCCTGACCCCAGTCGTACCCTTGTTCTGGCCTTGACCCTGCTGTGGCACTCTCCTGGCCCTTCCTTGGTCCTGCCCTGCCCTTCCATGCCCTGGCCTTGCCCTCACCCTGCACTGGTCCTGCCCTGCCCTGGCAGTGCCTTGACCCCGGCCCTGCCTTCTCCCTGGCCTTGCCCTTTCCCTGCCCTGGCCTGACCCCAGGCCTATCGAGTCCATGAAATGACCTTGGACCTGCCTTGCCATCATCTGTCTTGGCCCTGTATTGTCCCCACCATTCTCTGGTCCAGCGCTTACCCTGGCCCTGTTGCTAGTTTTGCCACTGCTATGGCCCTGCCTTGTTTTTGGCCATGCCCTGTGCTATCTTAGCCCTGCCCCGCCTTGGCCTTGGCCCTACCATGGCCTTTTCCTACCCTGGCCTGGCTGTACACTGGCCTTTTCTACCCTGGCCTTGCCCTTCCCTGGTCTTGCCCTGCCCTGGCCTTGCCCTGCCCTGGCCTCGGCTTTGCCTTATCCTGGTCCTGGTTCTGCCCTGGCCCTGCTGTTTCTCTAGATCCTCTCTGGTTCTGCCTTCTCCCTGGCCCTGTCCTTGCTCTGGCCCTGTCCCTGGCTCAGCCTTGACCCTGGCCCTGGCCCTGACAATCCCTAGGACCCACACTGGCCATGCTTGTCCCTGGCCCCTCCTTTGGCCCTGCCCTGGCCCTGTGCTATCTTAGTACAGGGCCTTGGCCTTGGCCCTGTGCTATCTTAGTCCTGCCCTGGCCCTGAACTCACCCTGGCCCTACCCTCACCCTACACTGGCCCTGCCCTACCATGGCGTTGCCCTGCCCTGGCCCTGCCTTTGGCCTGCCCTGGCTCTGGTTCTGCCCTGGCCTTGCCCTTGCCCTGGACCCTCCCTGACCATGTTTTTACCGTGGTCCTTCTCTGGCCTTGTCCTTTCCCTGTCCCCTTTCTGGTTCTGCCATATTTCTGGCCCTGCCCTGTCCATGTTCTGGACCTGACTCTGGCCCTGGACCTCCCTGTCCCTGCCCTGCCGTACCCTGGCCCATTCCTTGCTCTACACTGACCCTGCCCTGCCTTGGCCCTGTGCTACCCTAGCCCTGCCCTGGCCTTCTGCTGGCCCTGATCCTGCCATGGCCCTGGCCCTGTCATGTCCCTGCCCTGGCCCTGGTTCTGCCCTACTTCTGGCCCTGGCCTTTGTCCTCTCATGTCCCTGGCTGTGACCCTGCCCCTGGTTTTTCTCTGGCCATGACCCTGCCCCGGTTCTGTTCTATCCCTGGCCCTGTCTCAGTTCTGTCCTAGCCCTGGCCTTTCACAGTACTTTGTTCTTAGTAAAGGCTTCATAGTGTCTGTGAGTTTAATGTTGTGTTCATAGTATCTGCCAAAACAGAAAGAAAAAAAACAAAATCTGATCATGAGAAGTTAAAGCTTTGTATATAATATGCCTTGAATTGTAAGTGCTTGTTATTAGTTGTATTACATATAGGTCATGGTTTTGTACACATAACTCTAAACCATTGATACTGTTAAAAGAATATATGAATATATGAAAGAATGTATAAACGTAAGAATGTATGAGTATCTAATGACCTCTCCAAATTAATTTTTATTTTTAGCTCTATTAGATTTTTCTCAGTATAACAAATGTTTATTCCTATGTAATTAAGGGCATATTTCCTGTACAGAATATTCATATTACCTAATTGAAAATTATATAATGTAAAAATATAATACTATTTTTAGGCCAGGCATGGTGGCTCATACCTGTAATCCCAACATTTTGAGAGGCCAAGTTTGAAGAATCATTTGAGTCCAGGAATTGACCAGCGTGGGCAACATAGTGAGACCTTTTCTTTATTAAATAAATAAATAAATAAATAAATAAATAAATAAATAAATAGGTTGGGCACTGTGGCTCATATCTGTAATCCCAGCATTTTGGGTTGCCAGGGCAGGAGGATTGCTTGAGCCCAGGATTTTGAGACCAGCCTGGGCAGCATAGCAAGACTCCGTCTCTACTAATAATAAAATATTAGCCAGCTGTGGTGGTGCGCACCTGGGGTCCCAGCTACCTGGGAGGCTAAGGTGGGAGGTTTGCTCGAGGTTGCAATGAACTGTGAATGCACCACTGCATTCCAGCCTAGGCCACAGAACAGGACCTTGTCTATAAATAAATAAGTAAAAAATATAATTAAAAATAAGTAAAAAGAAATATAAGTAAATATAAATATAAATACATATAAATATAAAAATGAATACATGAAAACAAACAATTTTTAAATTTAACATCACTGAGGGCTTCCTATCCATTTCATTTCATGATTCCATTACATCATTTCACTTAGATGAAATGATAAGATGACTTGAGATGAGATGAAATGATGAGATGAAATGATGAAATGATGAAATGATGAGATGAAATTTTGAGATGAAATGGTGAGTAGAAATGACGAGATGAAATGATGAGATAAAATGACAAAATTGAAAGGAGATGAGATGAGATGATGGATGAAATGATGAGATGAAACTAGATGAAATGATGAGAAGAAATGATGAGATGAAATAAAATGAAATAATGAAATGAAATGATATGAAATAATGAAATTGAAATGAGATAAGATGAGATGATATAATGAGATAAAATGATGAGATGAAATGAGATGAACAATAAGATGAAATGATGAAATGAGATGAGATGATAAGATGAAATGATGAGATGAAATGAGATAAAAATGATGAGATGAAAAATGAGATGAAATGAGATGAAATAATGAAATGAGATGAAATGAAATAATGAAAGGAAATTATGAAATGTAATGATGAAATTGAAATGAGATGAGATGAAATGATGAAATGAGATGAGATGAAATGAGATGAAATGATGAGATGAAATGAGATGAGATGAGATGAAATGATGAGATGAAATGAGATGAAATGAAATGAGATGAAATGAGATGTAATGAAATGAGATGAAATGAAATGACATAATGAAATGCAATAATGAAATGAGATGAAATGCAATAATGAAATGATGAAATGAAATGATGACATAATGAAATGGCAATGATGGGATGAGAAGAAATGATGAGATGAAACGATGAAATGATGAGATGAGATGAAATGAGATTAAATGATGAGTTTAAATGATGAGATGAGATGTGATGAAATGATGACATGATATGATGACATGAAATCAGTTGAAATAATGAGATGAAATGAGATGAAATGATGAGATGAGATGAAATGTGTTGAGATGAAATGACATAATGAAATAAAATAATGAAATGAAATGATGAAATGGAATAATGAAATGGAAATGATGAGATGAGATGCAATGAGTTGAAATGATGAGATGAAAAGATGAGATGAGACGAGATGTGATGAAATGATGACATGAAATGACATAAGATGAGATGAAATAAGATGTAATTATGAAACGAGATGAGATGAAATGAGATGAAATGATGAGATGAGATGAAATGAAATGGTGACATAAAATGATGATATGAAATGATGATATGAAATGATATGAATGATGAGATGAAATGATGAGATGAGATGACGAAATGATGAGATGAAATGATGAGATGAAATGAAATGAAATGAAATAATGAAATAATGAGATGAAATGAAATGAAATAATGAAATGAAATGAAATGAAATTGAAATAAAATTGAAATGAGATGAGATGAAATGATGAGATGAAATGATAAGATGAAATGAGATGAAATGATAAGATGAAATGATGAAATAAAATGATGAAATGATGAGATGTGATGAGATGAAATGATGAGATGACATGACATGAAATAATGAAATGAAATAATGAAATGAAATTGAAATGAGATGAGAAGATATGAGGAGATGAAATGATGAGATGAAATGAAATGATGCGATAAGATGAAATGAGTTGATGAAATGATGAGATGAAAAGATGAGATGAAATGATGACAAGAAATGAAATGAAATGATGAGATGAAATGAAATTAGATGCAATGTAATGAGATGAAATGAAATGACATAATGAAATGAAAAAATGAAATGAGGTGAAATTAAAAGAGATGATGAAATTAAATGATGAAATGATGAAATGGAAATGAAATGGAAATGATGAGATGAGATGAAATGACGAGATGAAATGACGAGATGAAAAATGATGAGATGAAATGATGAGATGAATTGAAATGAGATGAAATGAAATAATGAAATAATGAAATGAGATGAAATGAAATGATGAAATGAAATGATATTGAAATGAAATTGAAAGATGAGATGAGATGAAATGATAAGATGAAATGATGAAATGTTGAAATGAAATGATGAAATGAAGAGATGTGGTGAGATGAAATGATGAGCTGAAATGATGAGACAAAATGAAATGAGATTAAATGAGTTGAAAAATGATGAGATGAAATGATGAGATGAAATGAGATGAATTGAGATGAGATGAGATGAAATAATGAAATTAGGTGAAATAATGAAATGAGATGAAATGAAATAATGAAATGAAATTGAAATGAGATGAGAAGAAATGATGAGATGAAATGTTGAAATGAAAGGAGGAAATGATGAGATGAAATGAATTGAGATGAAATGATGAGATGAAAAATGATATGAAAAATGATGAGATGAAATGAAATGAGATGATATGAAGTGACGTAATGAAATAAATGAAATTAGATGAAATGAAATGAAATAGTGAAATGAAATGATGCAATGAAATAATGAAAATGAAATGGAAATGAGATGAGATTTGATGAAATGATGAGATGAAATGATGAGATGATATGATGAGATGAGATAAAATGAGATGAAATGATGAAATGAGATGAAATGATGAGATGAAATGATGAGGTGAAGTGATGCACTGTCACGTGTGTGTCTATTCTTTTTCCCAACCAACAAAAATTATAATTCATTTTAATTTTATTATTTAAGAATATTCTTAAGAGTTGAAGGAAAAATAATATCTACATTATTGGTTACAATCTAAGTATAAATAATACATAAATATATTAAAACTTACTAAGAATATGTTTTGGAATCGAATATACCATGCTTCTGTGATGACAGTTATTTCATGCTGGTTGTCACAATTTTACATGAAAAACTAGTGAAAAAATGTTTTTAACTGTTTCTAAAAATAACAGTTTCCAAAAGAGTTTTACATTCGAAATATGAAAAAGATGTCTTTGTGTTCCTTAATCTGATGAGATTTTCACACTCTGCACATGATAATTGTTAGATTTTTATTGTGTTGATAAATTGTATATCAAATAAAAAATGTTATTACCTCTTAAATTAGGATTTTTAGGTGATATAGGCAGAAAGGAAGGCAAGTTTTTATAACTTTGTCTAAATGAACTTTCTAAATGCCTGAGTATTAAAAGGCAGCATGTCTATAAATCAAACTGTATATATTACTGTATGACCTAGGACCAATCAAAACCATTACCTCTGATAACATTATATTGTGCCCAATATAAAATAGATATAATAATACCTCAAACTTAAATCCAGGCATTGTCATTGAATATCTTAAGAATATGTAGCAAAGGTGCTTTTAAAAATACAAGCTAGTGATTGTACTAAATTTGTAAATCACATAGGATAGTGGGTCATTTTAAGAATATTAGTTATTTCAATCTATAAACATGGATGTCTTTCCTTTTTTGTGTTTTCTTTAATTTCTTTCATTAATATTTGTCATTTTTGTTGTAGAAATCTTTTACTTCCTTGCTTAAATTTATTTCTAAGTACATTTTTGTAGCTATTGTAAAAGGAATTGCTTTCTTAATTTCTTGTTTCAGCTAGTTTACTATCAATATATAGAAATGCTACTGATTTTTGTATGTTTATTTATATCCTGCAACTTTATTAATTTCATGTATCACCCTAAGAAGCTTTTGGTAGCATCTTATTTTTTTCCGTGTATAAGATCACATTGTCTTTAAACAGGGACAATTTGACTGTCTCCTTTCCAAATCAGATGTCCTTTATTTCTTTCTCTCACCTAATTGTCCTGGCTAAGACTTTCACTATGTGAAATATGATTGATGAAAATAGGCATCCTTTTCTTGTTACAATAAAATCTTTTTCTTGTTCACAGTAAAATCTTTCACCTTTTCCACACTCAGTATGATCTTAGCTGTAGATTAGTCCTTTATGTCCTTTGTGTTAAGGCATATATTTTCTATACTAAATTGTTGAGAGGTTTTTTGTCATGTAAGGATATTTAATTTTGCCAAACGCTTTTATTGTGTTTATTAATTTAATCATATGATTTTCAGTATATATCCAAAGGAAACAAAATCAGTATATCAAAGAGTTACCTGCACCTGCATGTTTATTACAACACTATTCACAATAGCCAAGATATGGAATCAACAAAAGTGTCCATCAACAGATGAATGGATAAAGAAATGTGACATACATATATAATGGAATATTATTTAGTCATAATAAAGAACAAAATCCTGTTATTTGTGGCAACAAGAATGCAAGTGGAGGGCATTATGTTAGGTGAAATAAGCCTGGCATAGAAACATAAACACCACATAACTACGTGTTCTCACTTATGTATAGAAGCTAAAATTTTTAAACTCGTAGAAGTAGATAGTAGAGTTTTGGTTACCATATCCTGGAAAGAGTAGGAGAAAGAAGAGTATAAGAAAAATGTGGTTAATACATACAAAATTACAGCTGGAGAGAAGGAAGAAGTTCTAGTTCTCTACAGCACTGTTGGGTGACTGTAGTTAATGGGAATTTATTGTGTGTTTTCAAATAACTAAAATAAAAGATTTTGAATATTCTCACTGCAAAGAAATAATACATGATTTAAGTAGTGGATATGATAATGACTGTGACTTGATCTTTATGCATTGCATAAATATATCAAAATATCACTCTGTACCCCATAGCATGTACATTTATTATATGTCAATTAAAGTAAATTTAAAAGAGAAAAAAATGAAGTAAAGGTAAATGTACAGAATTTAATTATTTTTTCTTCTATAAAACCCAAGAGTCAGTACCAAGAAGAGTCAGTTTATTAGTTTTCTAAAATAAAAAAAAAATCAGTCACCAAAAAAGAGCAATATCCAAGAAAACATTGAAAATGAAACACAACATTTAGTAAGAATAGAAAACTTGGGCACTGTATCACCCTGTTCCTAGATACCGATTTACTGATGGCCATTTAAATAGAATTTTATTCTATCTAATTCATTTATACTCCCAGAGTTTGAAATTACATTTTACCTACAATAAATGAGATAACACTTGTAAATTATATGATACTCTGCCTAACACACGTTAATAACTCAGTAGATGTTAGCAATAAACTTTTAGTATAGTAGTCAAAGTATTAATTTCTCACATTGCAATTTCCTTCAAAGACATGAATACAACCTTTCTAATGACTCCTTGTTCATCAAGATACCTCTTCAAATTATTCTATTTGTTTCATTCAGTATATTATCTGTGTATACCGATATGATATTACACTCTTTTTTTTTTTGAGATGGAATCTCATTCTGTAACTGATGCTGGAGTGAGGTGGCATGATCTGGGTTCACTGCAACCTCCACCTCCCAGGTTCAAGCGATTCTCCTGTCTCAGCCCCCCAAGTAGCTAAAACTACAGGTGCACACCACCATGCCTGTCTAATTTTTGTATTTTTAGTACAGTCAGAGTTTCACCCTGTTGTCCAGGCTGGTCTCGAACTCCTGACCTCAGGTGATCCACCCACCATGGCCTCCCAAAGTGCTGGGATTACAGGCATAAGCCACCGCACCCAGCCTGATATTGCACTCTTGGATTTTGAACACTGAATATCTTTTTGAAAGATTACACCTCTTATCTCTTTGTGCTTCAGAAATTATTTTCCTTCAAGTGTTCTAAGAGTCTAATGAAGAATGAAGTCATGTTTTATCACTTTTGTCCTTAAAGATTTCAGACATGCTGAAACTGATTGAAGTATCATTTGCTACCAGATAGATTAATTATCTCTAGTTGTAGGAGTGGATACATCTTTAATGGTATATTTTGGGTTATTGTCTTATTTTTGATGCAGTATTCTATAAATAATTTATTAAACCTGGCATCCTTGGGTGAGCATGGATTTTTCAACTTTGGTGTTATATTTTATTTGCTTTTAAAACTGCTTTTGAGGCCGGGTATGGTGGCTCTTGCCCATACCCTGCACTTTGGGAGGCCAAGGTGGGCGGATTACCCCAGGTCAGGAGTTCAAGACCAGCCTAGTCAACATGGCAAAACCATGTCTCTACTAAAAACACAAAATTAGCCAGGCATGGTGGTACATGCTTGTTGTCCTAACCACTCGGGAGGCTGAGGCAAGAGAATCACCTGAACCTGGGAGGCAAAAGTTGCTAGGTTGCTGTGAGCCAAGTTCACACCATTGCACTCCAGCCTGGGTGAAAAGAGCAAACCTCTGTCTCAAAAAAAGAAAACCCACCAAAAACTGCTTTTGAATGGAGTTGTACATACAATCTTTATGAAAAAAATTATCAAGTGCATAATAAGTTCATAATAGAAAAACCAATAATACTCCAGGCACAAGTTAGTACTAAAAAAGTTATGTTGAATATTCTCTAATACAACATGCTTTTTCCCTTCATGAACAATTTGTGTTTTACTGAGAAGAGTCATTGTTTATGGTAGACATTAGACTACAGATGAATATGTACTTTAAACACTCTTAGTTGCTTTCTTAATTTTATATCTGCTGCTTTATGCTTCTGTTTATTTTCATTCTTTCCAATGTCCACATTCTAGTAAATTTGAATATTTTAATCCAAGTTTATATACTATTTAATATTGCTTGTATAGTTTAGTATTGTTAAGACTCAAAAAGGTTTACAGAAAGAAGAAAAAGATCAACATGTTATTAATCATTTAAAGATCATTTTGAAATCTTTGACCTTTATATTTTAATGAATAAAATATTAGTAGTTATTAGTATAAAATAATTTATGTCTTTTGGACTTAGCATCCAGTATTTCTTTTTTAATAAAGAAAATAATTATTCTCTTGCAATATACTATGTTTATCTGGGTTTTGAAAAATGATGTTTCCTAATATGCGAAAGCCATTTACATTTTTAAATCTACAAAGGCAAATGGAATGGTACTAAATTATTTACATAATAATGTTTAGATGGTGGCCCTTATAACATTCTTTCTATACTTCCTACAGAGTTGGGGATATGCAATCCTAGAATATTTCTGGGAGCTAATCCTTTAGCTTGATGAATGAAACAAGACTTTTAAATAAAATTAAACTTTCAAATTATCCAGGTAATGGGCCTGTCTTTTAATTCAATGGATATGGAGCATAATGAATTATCCCCTGTTCATTGGGTAATAAGTTCTCATTCTTAACTTATAATACTCAAAATGTCCTTTAATTTTTAATTTTTGATAGTCATATCATTATCCCTAGGTATTTTAGCTTCTATCTTAAATTCTAAAATAATTTTGAAATAGGAGAAAGTATTCTTTATTACTATATGTATTAACCATCATGGTTTTCAAATTTAACTGCAAATGTATCTTTTCATTGCTTCTTGGTGACGCCCTTCACCCTATCCATATTGTCACTACCAAGTGGTGATTACTTTTCAGGTTCACATACTTATTCTTCAGAAAAATCTTCTCTGTGCCTTATAAAGAATATGATTGTTGGCAATCAAAAGCCAGCGAAGTATACATTATTAGCCTGTTGCCTAACTCATTTCTTTAAGAAACTACACTAATTACCCACATACTTATGTTTTTATTTCCTCATTATTTCTGGAGAAAACAAATGCTGCTAACATGATATTTGTAAGAGAGAAAAAAGTATTTTCTTGAAAAGTGCTGTCATTGTAGTACTAACTTACAGTATCAACTTCTTTATCAACTCCTTATACACTTTTTATTCTGAGAGAAATAAAAAAGCTAAAAGTGAAATGACTTTTTTTACTCTCCATATTATAAGCACCCATCTTGGTAATTTAGGGTCTTTATAGTTAGGGTACGTTTTGTCATACTGAGGTTACAAATTAAAAAGTATTTTGTCCCTTTGGGCCTTTCCTTATTCAGTAATACTGTCAGTTTGGCTTTTTTTGTAGGTCAACTTATTGAACTCAGTATTCTGAAATAATGTGTTTACTATCTTTTGATAAGCATTTAAAATATTAGATTTATTGTTACTCTTCTGCCTTCATTGGGCTGGAAGAATAATTGTTTCACTCCACAAAAGTCAAGTTGCAGAGAAAAACACATAGACATTCAACTGCAAAGCAGAGAAACTTGACTATTTTCTGCAATTTTAAAGTGTATATTGAATAAAACCATCTTTTTATTTTCTTTTTTGCTCACTGGCAAATAGTAACAATGTCAAGTATGTTATTATAATGTTATCAAGTTAAAAATCTCAAAAAGTTTTCATAATTACCATTTTAAAATATATAAATAGGTGACCTGATGTTAATTTTTATTGTCTGAGACCATGTCTGTTATTTCAGTCTTTAAAGTCAGTTAGTAATGCAGAGCCTAGCACTTAGCAGATACTCAAAAATTATTTGCTGGATAAAAAAAGGTTAAACATGTAATATACACAAAATGTACTGGAAAAAATGCACCAAACGATTTTGTTATACCAGTTTAATGTAAATATTGCCTTTAAAAGATAATATAGTTTTCAGGTGTCTACAGTGATTTTGTAATATTTGTGCACATATAAAATAATATTTCCAAAAATGTAATCCAGTGGGGAAATATACTTTCTAAATTCTAGATTTATAATTTAGGGTTTAAATTATAAAATCATTAAATAAGACACAAGTGAAATATAGTCAAATATCCCCTTGGAAAAAAATTAAGTGGCCTCTAAAGTGAGGTATTCATATATGTAATTTTACAACCCTCTAGTGATAGAATTAATTAAATATGCCACCAAATTGATTAATTCCAACAGTGTTAAAAGAGAAGCCCTAACAATGCCAGTGACCATGTAACATGGATTTAAGCTACAAGTCATAGAAATGTGATGAGAAGCCTCAGCGCTGTAAAACAGAGGGTGGAGGAAAGCTTTTCCTCTCTCAAATGAGCTTTGCGAGGTATATTTCTTGAAGGATAGAAAGTTGAAGTGTTTAGGACTTTTATGTCTATTCTACTTTGGCTTAGTTTACATGATTCTTAGTTTATTAGCCTAGAAATGGCCAAGAAAACTTAAGGCTCAATAATTAGTTATAAATATGAAATATCCCCAATTTTTAAGATAAAAACAACTTATAAATGTATTTGTCTGTAAAAATTGTGTATATTTTTACAGAACATCTATTTCTTTCTTTTTTTATTTTTTTTATACTTTAAATTCTGGGGTACACATGCACAATGTGCAGGTTTGTTGCATATGTATACATGTGCCATGTTGGTGTGCTGCACCCATTAACTCATCATTTATATTAGGCATATCTCCTAATGATATCCCTCCCCCCTCCCCCCACCCCACAACAGGCCCTGGTGTGTGATGTTCTCCTTCCTGTGTCCAAGTGTTCTCATTGTTCAATTCCCACCTATGAGTGAGAACATGTGGTGTTTGGTTTTTTTGTCCTTGCAATAGTTTGCTGAGAATGATGGTTTCCAGCTTCATCCATGTCCCTACAAAGGACATGAACTCATCATTTTTTATGGATGCATAGTATTCCATGGTGTATATGAGCCACATTTTCTTAATCCAGTCTATCATTTTTGGACATTTGGGTTGGTTCCAAGTCGTTGCTATTGTGAATAGTGCCACAATAAACATACATGTGCATGTGTCTTTATAGCAGCATGATTTATAATCCTTTGGGTATATAACCAGTAGTGGGATGGCTGGGTCAAATGGTATTTCTAGTTCTAGATCCCTGAGGAATGGCCACACTGACTTCCACAATGGTTGAACTAGTTTACAGTCCCACCAACAGTGTGAAAATGTTCCTATTTCTCCACATCCTCCCCAGCACCTGTTGTTTCCTGACTTTTTAATGATCGCCATTCTAACTGGTGTGAGATGGTATCTCATTGTGGTTTTGATTTGCATTTCTCTGATGGGTCCATTTCTTTAAAACAAAGGGAGGGGAGTCTCTCATTTACATTAGTTTTTTTCATAGCCTTTTGGACTTGGCAATTTCTATGTCTTGGAACCTATTTCTTACAGTTTTTCTATGCTAAACTCTGTCCTGGTCAGTTCCAGAGTGTATGAAGAACCAAATGATGTAATTGTATGTGACCTGGCTGTAGTGGAACAAATTTGACTCTTAAGTATGCAGGCTCTAATTTTCCTGTCTGGTTTTGGTAAGTATTCCTTACATAGGTTTTTTCTTTGAAAATCTGGGATTGAGAGGTTGATGAATGAAAATTAATCCTTTCACTTTGTTGTATATAGGTTTGGAATAATTAGGTCAGGGTGGAGTTTTAAGGTCATGAAGGGGGCTGATGACTTACAAATAATGGGCTCTGATTGGGCAACTACTCATCTGAGTTCCTTCCATTTGACCTAATTAAGCTTGTGAAATATACACTAAGCCATGAGCTCATCTTTAAAAAGTTTTATTAAAAGATTTTCAGCTGTTCCAAATGTGACTCATTAGTGGAATGTGTTTTAAAGGATCATATCAGATGAATGAAAGGTATTTGATCCTTTCTTTCCTTAATAATAAAATGATGATTTGGAAAAATAGGCTACAGTCTAACCACAGTGTTATTATTAGGCTTTCTTGTTAAACATAGGTCTAAGCCTAAGTATGTCAATACAACAAATACTGTTTCATTTCTAGTAAAAAAAAAAAAAAAAACAACAAGTCTTTCTGGCATAAGGATGATTTTCATCTGGTTATTTTGAAACATTTTTGTAAAATAAATTTCCATCTATAAAGAACATTTTTATTTGTAAGGAGGGGTATGTCTCTGTGCACTGGAAGAGAGGGAGGACTAAATCACTGGGAAGTCTTATGATAAAGAAGCCATTGGCTTAAATCAGCAAAGCAAGCCATCCCTTGCTTTAAGGTGTTTTTCCTGGCCATCCTGTCCTGACTAGAACTTTACCTACACCTTCCTTTTTGGTTTAGGCAAATTATAGTATCTAAACCTGAAGTCTCAGCTCTGTGTCTTTGAGATATAAATGTTCTACCATGTCTTCTCTGGAACCTGATAACTATCTATCTCTTTAAAATGCAAGTCTAAGGAGATGACTCATCAGAAAAAGAAGAAAAAAGAGGTATTTGGAAATTGTGCAAATTAAAGAAGCCCCTGATGCCAAAGTCTACACATTCCTGAGTGAGTCAGTTCTGGCCAGTTCTAGCTGGATCAAGAGAGCTCTGCTGGGCAGGCCTGAAGAGCAGCTGGATGGCAGACACCTGAGGAGCCAGGTGCCTGAAACTTCCTCCACCTGCTTGAGGAGCACCAAAGCCCAGGTGCTGGCTGGACAACCCCTTCTGGCTGCCTAAGCAGGTGGCAGAGGAAGGAAAAAAGGTCAGAGGCAGAGTGTTGAACCCTGCCTCCCAGGTGGGCGGGAGATTCCTGACGCCAAACTAGGGCCCAGCTTGCCAGGTGAGGTGGGTGAACTGGTGATCCCCCGAGAGAGTGGACGTCAGAACTACATGGCCCCGGACTTCACCTCAGCCAGCGAAGGAGAGAGAGGGTTAATGTTAACTGCAGGAGGCCCACTCTTGCCTTAAATTCTGTAATTCAAACCCTTCCCTTGGAGACAAAACAAACATGACAAGGAATTCTGAGGTCAGGGGACAAGAATCACAAGTTCCCTAGTGGGAGACTGAGGAGGCAGTGTCCTTTCTGCCCTTGGTCTACTGGCTAAGAACCTTCCTCAGCCTGAGCTTTCCACATTGCACTTTCAGCTCTGTTTGAAATTTTACTCCTTTAGTGCTGAGGGAATCGCAGTGTTCGATCCTGAAATCTATACATTCCTAATGGGTGGTTAAAAAAAACCTCAGCAAGAGAAGCAGAAAATGTTTCCTCTTTCTGAAAAACTGTAGAAAGGCAGGCACCATTCTGGGTGGGACATGGTCCTTGCAAAAGTCTTTATTTTATTTTTTTTTTTATTTTGAGATGAAGTTTTGCTCTTGTTGCCCAGACTGGAGTGCAGTGGTGTGATCTCTGCTCATTGCAACCTCCGCCTCCTGGGTTCAAGCAATTCTCTGACCTCAGCCTCCCAAGTAGCTGGAATTACAGGCACCTGTTACCACACCTGGCTAATTTTTTGTATCTTCAGTAGAGATGGAGTTTTGCCATGTTGGCCATGTTGGTCTCGAACTGCTGACCTCAAGTGAGCCACCCGCTTCTGCCTCCCAAAGTGCTGGGATTACAGGCGTGAGTCACTGTGCCCGGCCAAGATTCTGTTTTGATAGAACACTTGTGTCTCTCTCACCTTGTATTTAGAAAAGTTAGAAAGTAAAGGATAATGTATATAGAAAGCTTTTTGAAGACTCTTAAGAAGTTCATAAATATGGGGCACTATACTATGCATATGAAAATATTTCCTATCAGTTGGCAGTTACCACCTCTTATAGTGGCATGGAACCTCTTGAGTTAAACCAAGGCTCAGTGAGATTTGGTGATTTAGGTAGTGTCATTTTATGAACAAGGGGGACCCTACTCACGTCTTTTATTTTATTATACTTCTCTTTGACATTCACTCCAGTTAAAGAACTCTTTCAAAAGACCTCATGCCTGGTCTCACGGAGATTCAAAGGTGTTTGAGTCCTTCCTTATTATGCCCTTGGAAGATGCTTTGAGGACTCCAGTGATGAATCCCAAGTACTCTGTCTCCATTGTCCCTGGTATAGGGCACCTCATCACTCTGGTGTTATCCCTGAAGGGCCTTCATAATAATGTGCTTAAAGAGTCCCTTATTATGTCCTTCAGGATGGAGCTTGACTTACCCAAATTACTATGTACATGTTAAAGAGAGGCTGGAACTGAAGTTGGTAATTTCTCACTGGATCAGTCAACAAGATTTGAGTACTTTCTGTGTGCTCTGCATCATTCTGAGTACTCTGAGGGACAGAATAAGGCATGACTCCTGCCTTCAAGGAGTATGGAATTTAATAGAAGATGACAACATACATGATTGTAAATCTATCTACAGTAGAGTGCCTAATTGTGAGATTCCTAATAAACGGCAAGATATGTTCTGAAAACTTGAAAAGTAAATGAGGTTGAAGAAATTGTGAAAAGTTTAGCAGAGGAGGAATAATTCGTCAGGTTCTTTAAATACAAGTAAAGGGGAAAAGAAGGACCATTTTTAAGTTTAGATATTCCAAGGGTTAGTGGTGAGGTTGATTATGGTATGTCTTCTCGTTGATGAGGGAGGAGACTGGCGAATAGTGGAAAATAAAGTTAAATAGCTAGGGTGGGGCCAAATTACGGGTTTTAATAAAAGCCAGGCATAGAAATTTAGATTGGGGTAGTAGAAAAAGGAAGGCTTTAAAAGTTTTTGAGCCAATGAATGACATCATACAAGTTCTATATAAAGAGCAGTGATTTCAGGATGGGAGACAATGGCATCAGGGAGACCCACTTGAATGCTGGTAAGTAATATTACTAACAGTGCCATTAGTAACATTAATGTTACTAGGGCCTGGACTGATATGCTGATGGAAGTGAGAATGAAGAATAAGGTGGGATGAAAGAGAGTTTGACAAGAGTTTTTTAATGAACCTGAAACTGGAAAGGGCGAGATTAACTAAGCCTGCTTGCCATGGACAGCAATGGGGTTGCTAGAAGATTAGCTGTGCGGAAAAAGTTACGCATTTACCTTTGGGCATTATGAAATGAAATTGACTCTCCATATTCATGGGTTCTGCATCCACCGATTCAAACAACTGTGGAACAAAATTGTCAGAAAAAACAATACAATGATAAAAAATGATGCAAATAAAAAACAACATGGTATACCAACTATTTACATAGCATTTACATCATATTAAGTGTTATTAAGTAATCTAGAGATGATTTAAAGTATATAGGAGGATGTGTGTAGGTTATATGCAAATACTACACTATTTTATACCAGTAACTTGAGCATCCATGGATTTTGGTATACAAGGGGGATCCTGGAACCAATTCCCCATGCGTATCAAAAGATGACTGTATGAGTTATCTGTAAAATGGTTTGGTTGAAATGTTTAGAAAACAGCTAGAAATACAAGACTGGCTGTTGGATGAAAAAACATAGGACTAGGAAATTCAGGTATGCTGGTCTTTTTGAGTATTGCTTAAAGTCATGGGAAAAGAGCTCTCTGTGAGTTCCAGGACAGATGCAAGGACTGGCATTCATGCACAGCTTCTAATAGATAAATCTGAAGAGTTTTTAGTATGCATGTTGACTGAAATTACCTTAGAAGTAATTTTTCTCCTGGTGATAAAAGGCATGTAAGGCTATTTTAGGAAATTGAAAAATGCAAAAAGGTATAAAGAAAAAGAAAAGATAATCATTAATAGTACATTAGTAAACAAGATTTGACTAAAGATATGACTTTCCTCCCGCTTGTTTTCTTATGCATATAAAGGGATAGGAAATATGTATGTATGTATGTGTGTGTATAGGATCATGCACTATATATAGCTTGCTTCTTTTTCCATTATGATAATTTTCCCATGTCATGAATTATGGCTTGCAAGTGCTTATTCTTAAAGGGCTGCATTATTTTTCATTATTTGGATTTATTGTCATTTAATTGGAGCTCTATTATTGAACATTTAGATTGCTTCCAAAATTTTTTGCTCTTGTTAATATATTGTAATAACCTTCTGTGAAACACATACTCTTCACCTGCTACTTACATATGACTTCTGTAAGCAGAGAACTCTGTATCCCCAGGACCTAGAAGGTTACCTGGACATAGTAGTTGCTTAATTAAAAAAAATTATTGATTGAATGAAAGAAGACTATTAAATGTTCAGTTCTTTTTTTATTCTGATTTCCTGTGTATCCAGGGGCCTCTTATTTGGCTGCATGTATGAGTTTGGCTGTAATGAAAGTATTGGCCGTATATGACCATAAACAGGCATTCCTATTTCTGTCACATTTATATTGGTCATTCTGTATTAATACATCTATATCCTGATTTCTATTGAAGCATGGTTATTTTTGTTTGCTTCTAAGCAATGTAGCTACCCTATTGACGCTGATAAAAATAAATTTCTGAACCTATAAGACCGAGGATTGGGCCTAGGTTGTGGTAAATTGGCAAGATAATGGACGCTACCCTGTCAAGAGCCCTCTGAAGAGAAAAGTCTGCCACCCTTCACCAGGTAGAAACTCCTGGCAGTGCCACATTTTCCAGTTTGACGCCCTGTGATACCCTGAAAAGACAGATGTTTGACTCTTTTCAAATAATATTTTAACATATTTTAAGATGCAAAGGCATTGTGTCAGACTTTTTTCTTAAGAATATATTTCATTACCACTCAGAAGTTAGCTTCCAAAAGAAATAAGTGTGTGCAAAGGTTTATGATAGTGGTGTAGAGAAGTTTTTAAAATAAATGTGCATCTTTTATGGTAATAAAAGCACATTATGAAGAATTTTTTAGGTCCAGTTCACAGATTCCTTGTGCCTGGGGAAAACTTTATTAGAAAATTAGATAATTTCTAATTTGATTAGGGGAAGTCTAATGGGAAAACATTTTAACTGAGCGGTCCAATTCGAAACATGAATATCTGTGCTGGAAGCTTCTATTGAACTTTACTTAAGTGACATCTAAGACCCTCTGCCTGTCAGTCCACCATTACCCTAACAGTGGTAGAAATTCTTTATATGACACCTAGATCTTTTTTTGTTGCACTTTTAAGTTATATAGGAAACACACTGCCCACATGTTCATACAACACAGAGTGATTATCTACTTAGTTCCTAAAAAGTTGTATTTGGTTATGGGGTTTGATCCCACTTGTCCAGGGTTTAGGTCAGCTACTGAAGATTAGGATATCTGGGTACCTCTTACTGGAGAATCCATTCCTGTTTTCATTTCATTCCTGGGGACAATATTCGATCTGGTGTGGCCCTCTGTATTATAAAATGTTTCCCAGATTGTGTTTATCTGAAATACAAATCCAAGAAGAAGCATGGTGTTAATTGCCGTGTAAAAAAGATTCCAGAGTCAAGAGCTTGAGAAGTTCTATTCCTTCCTTCATAGGTTCAGTTGTTTAACCCAGCATTTTTCAAACATATTTTACTCCTAGAACCTGTTTTTCCTCAGACATATTTAAGAAAAAAGCGTTTTGTAGAACACATTTGGACAAATGATACTTTATATCATTGCTTTGTTTTTTAAATTTTAGTTTGACTCAATTTTACAGTTTCAGGATTTTGTTTCTGTTTCAGGTTTTAAGCTTTTCTTTTATAAATAGTTACTTTCCTAGTCTGAAATCTATACATTGTTTCAGTGATGAATTCATTATGTAAATTTGCCCATCATTCATCTAAAGGGAATAAACGTTAAATTGTTTTTTTAAATTTTGACTTGTGTCACATATGAGAATATAAAGTATATCTGTACAATAAAGGAAAATGAAACATCAAAGTATCTACCTCAAGTAAAGAAGCAGAACTTGGCCGGGCATGGTGGCTCACACCTGTAATCCCAGCACTTTGGGAGGCAGAAGTGGGAAGATCACTTGAAGCCAGGAGTTGGAGACCAGATTGTTCAATAAAGGAAGACATCATCTCTAACAACAACAACAACAGCAAAAAATTAGCCAGGCATGGTGACACATGCTTATAGTCCCAGCTACTGGTGCAGCCTCGAACTCCTGGTCTCAAGCCATCTTCCCACCTCAGCCTCATGTTCTAGTGAACTTTGTTATGCAGTGTCTCCTATTCTACATGTGCAGGAGTATTTTTACAGTATGTACCTGGAGTGGAATTGCTTGGTCATTGGGCATGTATGTGTTCAGCTCTATTGAGTGGCATCAATCTGTTCTCCAAAGCAGTTGTACCAATCTACACCCTCACCAGCAGTGAATAGTCTTCCCATTGTTCTTCCTCAATGAAACTAGATATTCACAGCCTTTTAGGTTTTTCCTAGAGTATGAAGTGGTATCTCTTTGGGGTTTTAATGTTTATTTCCCTGATTAAAATTGTAGTTGAGCATCTTTTATTATGTTTATGGGCCATTTATGTTTTCTGTTCTGTGAAATTCCTATTCGGGTTTTTTTGCTGATTTTAAATGTTGTTGTTTGTGTTTTTCTTATATAGGACTTCTTCATGCATTCAAGATGCACGTATGTTGTTCAGAATAGTACCTGAGACATAGAAACAACTTTGTAAGAATAGCTATCATTATATTACCATTGTATTTAAGTCTTTGTTTTTATGTGTTACAATTATCTTCTGCTAGTTTGTGGCTTATTTTTCATTCTGTGATGTTAATTTTTTAACCTAGTATTCTATTATTTTAAAAATACACAATCTTGAGTAGTCTACATGGTCATAACCATGGCATATTCATGTTGCGTATGTTCTGTGTCATAACCCAGAATTTTCTTTTTTTTTTTTTTTGAGATGGAGTTTTGCTTTCGTCACCCAGGCTGCAGTGCAATGGCGTGATCTTGGCTCACTGCAACCTCGCCTCCTGGGTTCAAGTGATTCTCCTGCCTCAGCCTCCCGAGTAGCTGGGATTACAGGTAGCTGCCACCACGCCCAGCTAATTTTTGTATTTTTAGTAATGACGTTTCACCATGTTGGCCAGGCTGGTCTCGAAATCCTGACCTCAGGTTATCCGCCGACCTTGGCCTCCCAAAGTGTTGAGATTACAGGCATGAGCAGCTGCACCCAGCCAACTTTCAGTCTTAAGTACCATTTTTTGCTGCTGTTTCTTTTTTTGAACCCCAGGAAAAAATTAACTCATTTAATCCCTTATTCAAACTGCTACAATTTTATTTTCAGTGTTGTCGCCTGGTTGTAGATGCATTTGTCTCTCCAAATGCACTGTGATTATTTTGAAGACAAAACATTTTTAGCATTGTGATATATATATATATATATATATATATATATACACATATATATGTATGTATGTATGTATATATGTATATAATATATATTGTATAAATATTTATATTTTATATATCATATAAAATTTATATATAAAAATATATATATATATAAATGCCTCTTATCCCTAATATAGGGACTCGATTCGTTTCTTCTAGTGTGGAGACAAGTCATATCATGGCTAGGGGCCATGATGGTAGGAGCAGTCAGAGGATTTCTTGCATTGTGATGAGTGCATATAAGTTAAATGAGCCACTTATCAGTAGATTTGATAGCAGGATAACAATTATATCACTGATGCCTAGGCAGTACATGACACTCGGTAAAGAATAGATTAATCCTCATGCTCTTCATCTTCCTCCTAATCTCTTTACCTGTGCTGCCCTCCAACTTTCAAAGTGCTCTGAGTCATCACTTACACAGTGTTCCTTAGCTGCCCCTTCAGTGGGCCAGTGTTTCTGTGCCCCAGTGTTCCTGAGAGTTAGAACACAGAAAACAGAGCAGCCTCTTGCCCACATCACAGAACATCTTTGTCTCCCTGTGGATCCTGCACATTTGTTCATTAGAGCTCAGGAATTGCCAGAGACTGGCTTTTGTGGCAATGGACACTAGATTCTTCAGAAGAATATTGATTGAAATCTCCCTGCTGTGACAGTTCCCTGCATGCAGGGCAGGAGTGTGTGCTTCTTCCCAGCAAAGGCAGAGGCAGGGCCTACAGAAACTGTGCCCGCAGCCTATAGTGATGGGGTCTATGAGGTAATTCAGGCAGATGAGGCAGTTGAGTTCTTTCTGGAAGGCTTGGGGGAAGTCTAAGTCCATTTTCCTGATGGAAGAAAACCAGAAGAATTTATTCTTATGCCATAGACAGACAAAGATCTACGCAAAGTTTGAATCAGGTTTTGAGTAGGATCCACTCACAGGTTTAAATCTATAGCAGGCTACGATTTTATTTTGCACATAACAAAAATGAAAAACTGAGGCACAGAATTCAAGCTTTGCAGAAAAATGTGTTGGCTCCCTAACCAACACACACACACACACACACACACCTACTTTCCCAAATTCTTTCCTCCTGTATGAAAAAAACTTAAGGCTGGGCACAGTGGTTCATGCTTGTAATCCAGCTCTTTGGGAGGCTGAGGCAGCAGGATTGCTTGATCCAAGGAGTCCAAGACCAGCCTGGGCAACATGATGAGACCCTGTCTCTACAAAAAGAAAAGGAGGAAAAAATTAGCTGAGCATGCCAATAGTCCCATCTACTAGGGAGGCTGAAGGGAGAGGATTGCTTGAGCCCAGGAGGTCAAGGCAGCAGTGAGCCGTAATCCAGCCACTACACTCTAGCCTGAATGACAGAGCAAGACTCTGTCTCAAAAATGAACAAAGAAAGAAAAGAAAGAAAGAGAGAGAGAGAGGGAGGGAAGGAGGGAGGAAGGAAGGAAGGAAGGAAGGAATGAAGGAAGGAAAGAAGGAAGGAAAAAAGGAAGGAAGGAAGTTTACAGAGTTTTTTGAGGTGTTAGTGTTCCCTAAATTGTATGGTCTTCAGAGGTTTACCCTCCTATAGCTTCAAGGGGTGAGTCCTGACTGGTAGGAAAATCAATCACACTCTTACTTGTCAGTGATTCATTTAGGGAAGACAGCTAACTAAGCTCTTCCAATTTGATTATTTCATTTAATTGTAACAACCATCTTATCATGACTTCTTCAAAATTACCCTGCCAGTAAGTGTTGGAGGACTCCCCAGAAACAGAAACCACCATGCTTCCTATATAGTCTATGGAACCATGAGCCAACTAAAGGTGTTTCTCAGGTATTTCTTTATATCTTTGGCCAAAATTAAAGAGTTAGGCTTTACTCTCCAAGATACTGCAACAGACAAAAAAAAGCCACCACTGTTTTCTAATGTTGTTTTCTTGTTAATTCAATCAACAAGTATTTTCTGGTAAGTTTAGTGTTCCAGAGACTGTTAACCTGGTGATGCACCGGTTAATAAAACATCCTTAAGAGAAATAAAAGTTTAAAAATAAACCTGATGATAAAATGCAGTAGTGTACACAATGCCACTTATCAGCATGTTTTCTGTCGGTCACCCATGATCCAGAAAATGTCTTTAGTATAAGCCATTGATAAAGATGCCTGAAAAATTTACGTATAGAAGACATAGTCACAAAATTATTTTTTTCTTTGATATCCCTTGTTACCTCA
Source organism: Homo sapiens (assembly GCF_000001405.40). Lineage (NCBI taxonomy): Eukaryota > Metazoa > Chordata > Mammalia > Primates > Hominidae > Homo > Homo sapiens. The sequence goes on from NC_000010.11 coordinate 38,763,875, forward strand.
AACAGAATTTACCACTCCAATTCAATTTCTGAATACATGGGAGTTAATAGAATACTCCTAATCCATTTATAGGATCTACACTAAGTAAAAAAATTAAAGACATCTGAAAATTATTTTGTGAGTCCTTATAATCCATATCAACAATCATGGAATATATTATGTAATAGACCAAAAATTAATCATCATATTAACCAAAAACACATAGCAAGGCAAGATAACTAAATATTTTCATTTGGAAATTGGGAAATTTAGTCAATTTTAAAACTCAGCAAATGAGATCATTTCACAGAAGCAACCTAGGTTTGTTGGTAAATTAAAATTATAACATTTTCTTTTGGTTTGGGAGGGTAGTTGCTCTTCTGTAAATTGTGTACTCACATAAGAAATATATCTATGTTCTCAGAGACACTTGCTGTAGAGGTAATAATATGAAGTTAGCTCAGGGATCAGGGCCTCACAGTGCAGTGCTGGTAGCTTTTTTTTTTTTTTTTTTTTTTTTTTTTTTTTGCCCTGCACCTTGAGTAAAAGTTTCCTGAGGCCTCCCCGGAAGCAGAAACCACCATGCTTCCTGCATAGCCTATGGAACCGTGAGCCAACTAAAGGTATTTCTCACGTATTTCTTTATAGCAATGCAAGAACGTACTAATACAGCTAAGCAGAGGCCATCAGGACCAGCAACAGTCTGAGCTGGATGAGAGACAAAGCTAAACTTTGAGCAGCGGCAGGAGCTGCCAAGGAGACAGAAAGGAAGGATGGACTCCTAAATTCCAGGATGTCTCCTTTAAGTCTGTAAGAAGCTCAGCCACCGTCTCCTTACCTGACTCCTCTGGGAAAGAGTTTCCCTAGGTTAATCCATACAGGGATAGGGTAGGAGATGCCATTTGGATCTAGGAGCAGAGGGCAGAGACTCAGCAGGAAAAGTGTCTCTATGAGAAGGAGACACAGTGGAACAGGTGTGTAGGTTCACAGGGCCAGCTATGGGTAGAGTCGGGTGTACATTTTTAGAAGCCACAATTCCCAAAAATCTCCTGACTATAACATCAGTGCACAGAGCCAGTCAAATGGAGGAGGAGTGGGTCCAGGCAATTCAGGAAGAAGGAAAGTAACAAATGAGTTGTTGCAGGAGGACACCTTTTCTGTCGAGGTCACTAAACAAAACATTGTCTCCTCCCCTTAACTTCAGAAACAAGCAATGGAGGGTAAAAGTGTTGCCTGGGCCCTGGGGGCAAAGGCAGTAGATAACTTCTCTGTCGTGTTCTCCAGAAGGGCCCATTCCAGCCTCACAGGCCGAGAAGTCTGTTCGGTTCCCAAGTACTAGAGATGCTGCTATACGGGACTCCCGAATTTCCTTCCTGAAGCAGAGGCTGCCCAGCCTTTTCTTCCTGTTTTATTTTTTCCCAGGAAGAAACTTTCTTGTACAATTACAAGGTTCTACGGTTCTAAATTCCAATCTAGTCTTCCACATCATTTTGAAGGTATAATATTACTTGTCAAAATGGGATGATAGAAGATATGTGTGGACATAAATTGTTGACAAGGAAAAAACTAAAATAAGAAAATAAGAGAGAAAAATATATGTATGTACAGTGGTTAGCTAGAAATATGCCTTTTAAATATTTGGCATGTGGTATGTGGGCCTCAATATGTACTATTGCACTAGCTTCCCCAATATTAAGGGATGTCTTTTAAAAGAAAAACCTCTTCCTAAAAGGTTAACAGTTAAAATAACCAGAGTGGCACAGGTACCAGTCATTAAGTGAAACCTTTCATCTTCCCAGAATAGTACCTGTTCCCAAGCCAGCTTCTTTGAAAATCTCTTTTCTCTCCTTTACTATTTAGTTTACAGATTGTATAGTAACATTACAGAAACCACAATAGTAGCAAAAAAATAAATAATATTTTTAAATGAAAACTCACATCCTAACTCTACCAAAACATGAAAATTAAACCTGAATGCCTCCCATTCCTGATATATTTTTCACCTAAATATTCAGCTCTGGGATTGCATTGTTTTTGGATTGAGTGGAAATTATTGCCTGGTCTTGAAATCTTCCATAATGTGTGTGTGTGTGTGTGTGTGCATGTGTGTATGTGTATGTATGTATGTGTGGTGAATATATTTCTTTTTGTTCAGAGCAAACATTTTTTCAATATGTATATTTATTTTAGGCAGATTATGCTAGTAATTTTCTACAAATGTGCTTTTTAAAAAATAACCTTTAACTAAAAAAAAAATTATTCTTACTCAGTGGCCCACAATTGTTAAAAATGCTACTAATGGAGCTGGGTATGGTGACACACACCTGTCATCCCAGCTACTTGGGAGACTGAGGCAGGGGTATTGCTTAAATTTGGGAATGTGAAACCAGCCTGGGCAACATAGTGAGATCTCAATCTCAAAAATCAATCAATCATTAAAAAATAAAATAAAATAAAACACTACTAATAGCTTTTTAAAAAATAGTTCTTAACCAATTTTCCTAGCACCTTCCTTTCCTCAGTGAAGTATAGAAATATGTGGTCAGGCACTGTGGCTCACACCTATAATCCCAATAATTTGGGAAGCCAAGGTATGAGGATCAGTTGATTCCAGGAGTTCAAGACTAGCCAGGGTGATATAATGAGACTTGGTCTCTAACAAAAATTTTTTTTTCTTTAATTACCAGGGCATGATGGTGCATGCCTGTAGCCCAGCTACTTGGAAGGCTGAGGTAGGAGAATCACTTGAGCCCAGGAGGTCAAGGCTGCAGTGAGCCATGGTTGCACCACTGCACTCCATACCTGGGTGACAGAGTGAGACACAGTATCAAACACAAACAAACAACAACAAAAAGTATTTGTTTTAGAAAAAACATTTGGTGAGGTTTGGGCTTAAAAATATATTATTCTAAAATATTCATAAATATTCTCTAGTAATGATAAGATTAAAGTGACAAAGACAAACTTTTTTCCTGTGCAGTTCCATCTCTCACCTTCCTGTAATTTGTCTGTCCCATCCAGCTTCCAAAGGAAATTATTTACAAAATAATGTCTGCATCCTGGGTCTATATATCTATTGCCTATGAGGAGAGCGTTTAAGATCTGAGCCATCTTCAAGTCTTATTCTTTGTGTATAGCTCTCATGTTTTTGCAGGTTAAGTAAGTTTGTATACCCTTTATTTTATTAATCTGTGTATGGTCAGTTCATTTCAGGTAATCTTCAGAGGGTGAAAGGGGAAGCTTTTCACTTCACTCCTACTGTGACAACTAACTACTTTCTTAATTATTCAATTTTTTAGTCTATATCAACACTTTCATATACATTTACTTTTAAACAAAATTTTGCATCATTACACTTAAAATTTTATTTACCTTTTAAAAAGGAAATTAAAAATAAAATTAAAAATTATAAAATTTTACATAATAAAAATAAAATAAATGATTTATATAAAAATTAATCTGACCTGTGAAAAACACTATCCAGAGGCCAGGCGTGGTGGCTAACGCTTTTAATCCCAGCACTTTGGGAGACCGAGGTGGGTGGATCACGAGGTCAGGCGATCTAGACCACGATGAAACCCCTCTCTACCAAAAATACAAAAAATTAGCTGGGCGTAGTGGCGGGCGCCTGTAGTCCCAGCCACTTGGAGAGGCTGAGGCAGGAGAATGGCATGAACCCGGGAAGTGGAGCTTGCAGTGAGCCGAGATCATGCCACTGGAATCCAGCCTGGGTGACAGAGCCAGACTCTGTCAAAAAAAAAAAAAAAAAAAAAAAAAGAAAAAGAAAAAGAAAAACACTATCGAGAGAATAAAAAGACAAATCACAGACTGGGAGTAAAAATTTACAAAAGCTATATCTGGTGAAGATACATTTGTTATCCAAAATATACAAAGAACTCTCAGGACTCAATAATAGGAAAACAAATAGTCTAACACAAATGTAGAGATCTGAACAGACATTGCACCATAGAATACAGATGGATGATATGTAAGAACATTGAAAGATGTTCAACATCATTCATCATTAGGGAAATGTAAATTAAAACCACAATGAGATACTGCTACATGCCTATTAGAATAGCTAAAATTTAAAAGACTGACCATACTAAACATTGGTGAGAACACAAAGGAAAAGGAATGCTCATACACTGCTGCTGGAAATATAGCCACTTTTTCAGTTTCTTTAAAAGTTAAAGTGGCTGGGAGCAGTGGCTCACGCCTGTAATCCCAGCACTTTGGGAGGCCAAGGCGGGCAGATCACGAGGTCGGGAAATCAAGACCATCCTAGCTAACACGATGAAACCCCATACCTACTAAAAATACAAAAAATTAGCCGGGCGTGGTGGCTAGCACCTGTAATCCCAGCTACTCCAGAGGCTGAGGCAGGAGAATGGCGTGGACCCGGGAGGCGGAGCTTTCAGTGAGCCGCGATGCACCACTGCACTCCAGCCTGGGCAACAGAGCGAGACTCCGTCTCAAAAAAAAAAAAAAAGGTGAACATATCACACCACCTAGTCATTCAAATCCTGCTTATTTGCCCAAGACAAATGAAAGCGTATGTCCAAATGATTGGACAAACATTCGTAGCAACTTTATTAGAAATAGCAAAAACAACTGGAAGCAAACCAAATGTCCATCAAGAGGTGAATAGATACTCTAACTGTAGAATATCCATACAATAAAACTATTTTTTTTAAACTACGGGACAAAAAACAAAAAACCAAAGATAGAATCTAACTTCTTGGTAAATACATTCACTACTAGGATTTTTATAACAGAGAAGTCATTCTTTATTAACACTCTTTTGACTATGAAAATATTTTGACATCAAAAATCTGCAAAATTTGAAGAAACAAAGGACACACAGCTTTTTCTATTTTTTATTTTTATTTTATTTTTATTTTTTTGAGGAGTCTCTTTCTGTCACCCAGGCTGGAGTGCAGTGGCGCGATCTTAGCTCACTGCAAGCTGCGCCTCCCGGTTCACGCCATTCTCCTGCCTCAGTCTCCCGAATAGCTGGGACTACAGGCGCCCGCCACCAATCCCGGCTAATTTTTTGTATTTTTAGTAGAGACGGGGTTTCACCGTTATCCAGGATGGTCTCAATCTCATGACCTCGTGATCTGCCCGCCTCGGCCTCTCAAAGTGCTGGGATTACAGGCGTGAGCCACCGCCCCCGGCCCCAGGACACACAGCTTTAAAATTTCTTCTTGGTCTCACCCAGTGCCAACCACCTAAAACCTCTCATTTTCCCACAGACATTTCTTCTGCCTCCAGGACGGAGGTAGAGAATCTTGGCCTTGGGCCACGCACTGGGGACCATGCTGGGCTGCCATGGTCAGTGACGGACTCAGGTTCTCACCAGGGTCCCCAAAATAGGCCCCTGAAAAAAATGTTACCATCAGGGTGTGCTCCCTGATTCTTGTGTCTGCTGGAAGGAGGAAATCAAGTCAGGAACATTGTCAGGATAGAGATGAAAATGGGGCTCACTTTTCTGTCTCTTGTGATGTCAGACAAGCCTTTCAGCTCTGTCTCCTCAGCCCTCATGGAATTGTTTGGTGTGGACGCACCGAGATTCTGAACTGGGTCCCCTTTCCCTCTGCCCTTCTCTGGGGCCACATTCTGAGCTCTCCATTCCAATTTTTCCCCTAATTTGCCCTTGCATTTATTTATCTGGATTACTGTCTGCCTGTCCCAAAGAATAAAAGCTTTATCACAGTGGGGATTTTGTTTAAAAAATAATAATAACAGCTATATTTTTAGGAACCATAACACTGTCCAGCATATCGGTGGTGTCTGATAAAAAATGTTCGTTGACTGAATGAACAAATATATTATTCACAATTCACATTATCATGAACTGGCTAGGAAATTAAATACCTGATATCAGTATTGGCAACATTATGAAGTAAATATAATTCTGATACAGTGCTCGTGAAAGTCTAATATGAAATGCTCATTTTAGAAAACATTTTCTTGTAGATTTGAAAATGTTTCATCTCCATGAACTAGTTGTACATCTGCAAGTTGTGTATCTTTGGGTTAGGCAGAATAATTGCCCCCCACCAAAGACAGCCACATCCCAGTCTTCAGATAAGGTGAACATGCTAACGTAAGTTAGCATGTTCAAAGGGACTTGGCAGATGTGATTACCATTAAGGGAAATTACCTTGAATTACCTTGGTGAGCCAATCTAATCTCATAATTCCTTGAGAGCAGAGAATATTTTCTGGATGCTGAGATTCAGACAGATGGCAGTATGAGAAAGATGTGGCCTGCTATTACTGGCTTTTAAAACAGTGGTAGGGGGCCACAAGCCAAGGAAAGCCAGTGACCTTAGAAGCTGGGAATGACCCAAAGTTTACAACCAGGAAGAAACTGAGGATCTACAACAAGGAACTGAATTCTGCCAACAACCCAGATGCTCTTTTAGAGCCTTCAGAAAGAAATGCAGCCTGCCAACATCTTGATGTTAGTTCAGTGAGAGCCATGCCAGATTTCCAACCAAAACAATTCTAAGACAATAAGTTTGTGTGTGTTTTTTAAAACTGACTCAAATCTTACAAAAATGTGTTCTTTTAAGCCACTGAATTTGTGGTAAATTGTTACAGCAGGAATAGAAAACTGATACAACCCTAGAGAAAGTCTTTTACCTGTGCCCTGTAAACACACAGCAGAATTTTTTTTAACTTTTTATTGAGTTAAAAATACATATATAATTTACCTTCTGTACATTTTTAGAGGACAGTTTAGTGGTGATAAATACATTTATATTTTCTTCTCTTAATCTCCTCTTCCCACTCCCCTTGCTGGCCTCTAGCAACCACCGATTTACTTTCTATCTTCATGAGATCCACTTTTTTACTGCCCACATATGAGTGACAACATGTGGTATTTGCCTTTCTGTGCTTGGCTCATTCCACTTAACACAATGGCCTATGTTCATTAGGTTAAACCAAATGGCCAGCGCCACCTGTGTTGCTGCGAATGACAGAATTTCATTCTTCTTTGTATCTGAGTGGTATTCCATTATGTGTATATATGACTTTTAAAATCTATTCATTTGTTGGTGAGCACTTACGTTGATTCCATATTTTGTCTATTGTGAATAGCGCTGCAGTACACATCGGCATGTAGATATGTCTTTGATACATTAATTTCCTTTATTTTGGATATATATCCAGTAAAGAAATTGCTGGACCACATGGTAGTTCTATTTTTACTTTTTTGAGGAACCTCCATACTGTTCTCCATAGTGGCTTTATTAATGTAGATTCCCACCAACAGTGTGGTAGTATTTCCCTTTCTCCACATCCTTGCCAGCATCTGTTATTGCCTGTCTTTTTGAAACAAGTCATTTCAACCAAGGTGAGATGATATTGCATTGTGATTTTGATCTGCATTTCTTTGACGAATAGTGATATTTAACATTTTTTCATCTTCCTATTGGCCATTTGTATGTCTTCTTTTGAGAAAATATCTGTTCAGATCTTTTGCCCATTTTTAAATTGTATTTATTTATATATTTTTAACTATTGTTTTTTTTAGAAGCAAGGTCTTGCTTTGTCACCCAAGCTAAAGGGCAGTAGCATAATCATAGCTCACTGTAACCTCAAACTCCTGGGATTAAGAAATCCTCCTGACCAGGCGCGGTGGCTCACGCCTGTATTCCCAGCACTTTGGGAGGCCGAGGCGGGCAGATCACGAGGTCAGGAGATCGAGACCATCCTGGCTAACAAGGTGAAACCCCGTCTCTACTAAAAATACAAAAAATTAGCAGGACTTGGTGCCGGGCGCCTGTAGTCCCAGCTACTCAGGAGGCTGAGGCAGGAGAATGGCGTGAACCCCGGGGGAGCAGAGCCTGCAGTGAGCCGAGATCGTGCCACTGCACTCCAGCCTGGGCGACAGCGAGACTCCATCTCACAAAAAAAAAAAAAAAAAAAAAAAGAAATCCTCCTACCTCAGCCTCTTCAGTAGCCCATTTTTCAATCAGATTTTTTGTTTGTGTATTATTGAGTTGTTTGAGCTCCTTATATATTCTACTTGTTAATCCTTTATCAGATAGATAGTTTGAAAATATTTTGTCCCATTCTCTGGTTAGCTCTTCACTTTGTTGATTGTTTCCTTTGCTTGAGGCTTTTTAGTTTGATATAATCCCATTGTCTATTTTTGATTTTGTTGCCTGTGTTTCCGAGGTCTTACGCAAAAAAATCTTTGCCCAGACTAATGTCCTGGAGCATTTCTCCTATGCTTTCTTTTTTTCTTTCTTTTTTTGTTTTCACGCCATTCTCCTGCCTCAGCCTCCTGAGTAGCTGGGACTACAGGCGCCCACCATCATGCCCCGCTAATATATTTTTTTTTTGTATTTTTAGTAGAGACAGAGTTTCACCATGTTAGCCAGGGTGGTCTCGATCTCCTGACCTTGTGATCTGGCTGCCTTGGCCTCCCAAAGTGCTGAGATTACAGATGAGAGCCACCGCACCCAGCCTTTCCTATGCTTTTTTTTTTTTTTACTAGCTTCACAGTTTCAGGTCTCAGATTCAAGTCTTTAATCCATTTTTATTTGATTTGATTTTTGTGTATGGTAAGATGGGTTTCATTTTATCCTTCTGCATATGGTTATTCAGTTTTCCCAGGATCATTTATTGAAAAGACTGTTGTTTTCCCAGTGTATGTTCTTGATGCCTTTGTCAGAGATGAGTTGTTAGTAAATGTGTATATTTGTCTGTGATCTCTATTCTGTTCCACTGTCCTATGTGTCTGTTTTTATGCCAGAAGAAATATATTGGCAATAATTAGTACAGAAAAGCTGAAACAATGAAATGACAAAACTGAACTATACTGATATAATTCATTATGCTCACTAAATGCAATAGCATACAGCTAGGAAAACAATGTAGTGCACACGGTATTAAAATACAACACAATTCAATATACACAGTGCTCATAGTGGCCATCGTTAGAGTGTTGAAGAAGGGGATGTAGTCAGCAATAGTTGTACAGGTGACTTCAAAAGTAATAATAAGCACTTATGATTACTTTTGGCTTAATTTCTTAAACCAAGACTGGAGACACAGGTGTTCATTATGTGCTTATTATATATATAAAATAAATATTTTATAAATATATTGTTTCTATTCAGTATTTAATAAAGTAAATCAATAGAAAAGGTTAAAAAGCAAAGCACACATATTTCAAATGTTTTTTGCTCCAAATTATATAAACATTGCATAGTTATTGCCCTGGGCCTGGCAAGGTGACTCACACCTCTCATCCTAGCACTTTAGGAGACTGAGGCAGGAGGATAGCTTCAGCCCCAGAGGTCAAGGCTGCAGTGAGCCTTAATTGCACTACTGCACTCCAGCCTAGGTGACAGAGCAAGATGCTGTCTGAAGATAAAAATAAAAATAAGTTAATAAATAAATAAATATATGTTTATATATTAACTGATTTTATTAACTATATATATATATAGTTGTTGTCTTGGTCTATATGCAATCTTACAGTGCTTAAGACTTTGATACTGAGAACAGATCTCCTAGGTATATGCTGTGTTTCTGGGGTGACATGATGCTCTCATCTGGCCTCCGTGAGCCTAATTCTATCTTACATTTACCCCACTCTTCAACAACAACTTGGGGAGGTGTCCCTAAACATTCCTAGGTGAACCCAAACCTGTGGCCCTCAACACATTTCTAGGTAAAGCAAGCTCCTGACATATCCGTGGATATCCTCTCATTGGAAGAAGGGGGAAGAGGCCATCTCAAAATAATTCATTTAATATAGCTTTTCAGCATTAATTTTATTTTGATAAAGAGACACACAGCAAATAAAATTTCTAAAAAACTATAAACTTTCAAGCATTCTCACGCTAAATCTAGCCCTGCTCACATGCCAGGGAAATATAAAGGTAATCTGTTTCTCAACCTGACCAGGATGCTACAGTAATTAAAAATAAACTCAATCCCTGGATCCCTACCAAAGGGTCATTTCATATGGATCAAAGTTCTGGAAAAATTATTTGTCTGGAAATAGACTAATTTTCCAAAATATAATTGAAATAACAGCCTCTGGAAAGGGCCAAATACGACTCTTAATGATACAACAGCTAAATATAGGTCTGATGCTCATTCCGTGTGGACAACAATAGCAGCCGTCCCCACAAATGGCTGATTTGTGGGAAGTAAACACTACTTTTGCAGAATCTTACATGATTTCAGTAGAAGGGCAAGGATATTTCAGTTGGGAACAGATTGCTCCATGGTAATGTGATCACTATGTACCCAACAATGGCTCTTTCTTCCTAGCATCAATGCAGATGTTATTTTCACCTTAACTATTATCATTGCCTTTTCTAACCACATAAAAGTGTATCCTTTATATATCTGAAGTAAATTCATACTAGTGGTGTAACATCTCCAGCCATTTAAGTGTAAAAACAGAAAATGTATGATGTGTTTACTTACTGTTTTATACTCCTAACGCATGAAGAGAAGATCCTTTTATTCATTGCCTATACTTTTATTTCAAAACTTTCTGTAACACTTTATCTTATATCCAGCATAGAATTAAGATTTGCTTTTTGATTTAATCTGACAATATTTTTTCCTCTAGTAAGAGTCAAGCCCGCTTACTTTTAATGATAAATTGTGTTTGGTTATATTTTGTTTACAGTATATTATGCTATGATTTATATGCACATATCTGTCTTTTGCTGTCTTGTTTGTTTTTATTGCTTTTGTTTTGATGTTGTGATATTTGGAAGAGTTAAACTTTTATTCTGATGGCTACCTTATGTAATTTCAGAAAATCATCTCTTTCTTTAGACAGTAGCTAATGTCTCTAAACTAAGAACAATGGTATTAGCTGTATTCTCTTTCTTGTCCTCCCTATGTGATTTTTCATCACACAATTTGATTTAATCATATTAACTTTGATTCCCCTGATGCCATTAAGTGTGTTTACATTTCTATAAACAATATCCTTTGACTCCCAGGCATTACAGTTGAGCAGTCAGTAAAATCATTCTGAGGAATACTTTCTCTTTCCTTTTCTTCCATTTTTCTTAGTTGTATCATTTCTATATTGCCAGAGCACCTACAGTTGCATTTCTTTCTGTCAGCTTTATCCAGCATTTGTTTTTGTCTTTTATTTGAAGTTAAATATATTCCTTGCTCACTACAACACTGGGGGAAGGAAGGTTTCTGTTGTCATTGTTGTGCTTGTACAGTTGTTTATTTAAAAACATTGGCAAAAACAAAAACTGTATGTAGATGGAATGGAGATAAGACAGAAAATGAGAGAGACTGATTATGAGTGTGCCTATTCTAGACTGGGAGGCGTGCTACACTGAGTAGTGTCTGAAGGCCGCAGGAAAGGATGGATGATTGTGAGCAGGTAGACTTTCCACTGGAGGAGAGAAGTCCTGCTCTCAACAACCTGTGCAGAACCAGAAACTGGTAATGCTTCAAATCAACTTACAGACCTTTAGGTAGAAATTTAAGAAAACTCGTTTAACACCTAGTTTCCTAGAAAATATTAGCTACTATTTGCTGAGCATCTGTCAGTCTGTCTGTAGCATGGAAGATCTGAGTACAGGGGAAACTGAATTAGTAACAGTGGGTCAGAAAATTATATAATATTCAACCAAAATTCCTGCTTTACATACATAGCACCTGGTATTTCCAGAACTAGAAGGTAAAGAAATTATTTGTGCTTGAACTTGCAGAAAACTGCCTTTTCCCTTCTTCTCTTGCATCTTAACCTGGAGCTTTCCTTTTCTTGGGCCTCAGTGTGCTTCCCAACTCAATTTATAATTGACTTTCTGCAGTTTCTCCTTAGGACAGGGCTTTGTTTTGGGGGTGGTTAATTTGTAGGGTTCATAGGAAACAGACCACTCGCAGCACCTGCTTTTTGCCATCCTCACTCTCAGCTATGAGTTGAGGCCCAGGAAGCCTTCTGCCAGTCTCAGCTGCTGTTCTCAGATTAATCTGCTGAGTTCTTTTTGCCTAGTAAGAATCTCTGAATTTAGGAACATAGATGTTAGCGCTTCTATTTCTAGGTTTTCCAGTTCCCAGGGCCATTAAACATTTTTTTCCTTTCCTTTCCTTCTTCCAAAAAAATTGGTGATTCCCCTGGATCCCTGTGGTTTAACCTCACAAAAGGTCCATGATGACACCCTGTTACATTGTTTTGTCATAGTTAATACCTTGTTATCCCAGTTGCTCAGTCAGTTTTTGTGAGAGATTCAGGGATATTAATAAAACTGTGCTGCTGCTGCTACTAACATCTTGCATAAAATCCTATTAATTAAAATGTTTATTTTGCATGTGATTTGAACTTGTAATTTTTATTCAAAGTTTTTCAACAGAGATCCAGAAAAGACCCTCCTTATATTTTTAGTTGTGTGCATTGCAACACTTTTTAGTGAAAAAAAAAAAAAACATGAGAACAACACAAGTGATTTTAAAAGAATAAACCTACAATCCATTAATTATAAAATGAAATACTATGGAGATGTTAAGAATGAGGGAATCAATAAGAACTTGTGTGGGGTAACTACAAACTTTTAAAAAATTAATTTAATGCTCATGTGACCATATTATCGTTAAAAAATACTAGCATACTTGCACACACCTTCAAGCAAAATGGGTACACGCATTTAAAAATGTTTAAATTAAGTAAATGGCCCAATAATTTAACTATGTACAATTCTATGTTCTCTGATTATTTTATATGCTAGAAACAGACATTTCTGTTTTGTTTATTTCATTTGAAATAATTGTAGTCACATGAGGTTTAAGTTATAATACAGAGAGGTCACATATGCCTATTTTCTAATTGAATACCTTATTTATTACTATTGAGTTTTGAGAATTTTTTACATATGCTAGATGTAAGTTCTTTGTCAGATGTATGGTATGCAAATTATTTCTCCCAGTCTGTAATTCATTTTTTCAACCTCTTTACAGGGTTTTTCTAAGTAAAAAAAAAAAAAAAAAAAAAAAAGTATTATTTTAATGAAGTCCAGTTTTATCACTTTTTCCTTTTGTAGATTTTGTTTTTGATATCAAGCCTAAAAATTATTTGCCTAACCCAAGGTCTCAAGAGTTTTCTTCTATTTTAAAAGTTTAATGTATTTATTTATTAATTATTTTTGAGACGAGGTTTCGCCCAAGCTGTAGTGCAGTGGTGCCATCATTGCTCACTGCATCCACTAACTGCTGGATTGAAGTGATGCTTCCACCTCAGCCACTTCAGTAGTAGCTGGGATTACAGGCACGAGCTACCATACACAACTTTAAGTTTTATAATATTACATTTTACATTTAAGCCTGTGATTTATGTGAGCTAAATTTTATATAAAGTATAAATTTAGGTCAGTCTTAGTTTTTGTACCTGTGAATGTCCAATTGCTCTAGCACCATTTGTTGAAAAAGATATCTTTCCTTTAAACTGATTTTACATCCTTGTAAAAAAAAATCAGTTGAATATAGTGTGGTCTGTCATCTTTTAATAAGATAAAAACATTGGCACTCACCAGATATCAAAGTTTAGATATTTTTTTAAAGCTGAACTTCTGAAAATAGAATAAAAACACCTTCACATGTCAAATTAGTCAATTTATATAGGACTAATTCATTTAAATATATTAAAATACAAAATAATTCAAACCAGTAAAGTGATAATACAAGCCTATAAATTTAAAGGCTAATTATTAAGTCAAATTGCTGTATTCTACGTGTTAGAGTGAGTTCAAAAGATCCATTGTATTACTGAATAGGCAAAAGTTTTAATTTCAGAGGATGAAACTGATATATTACTGTCACCTTGTGGATATTCTGTTATTACAGGCTCTTATAAAAAGCAATGAGGGTATGTAATCTGTTCTAACAAGAAGCGTTTCCTTTTTTTTGTTGTTTTTATTATTGTTATTATTACATTTTAAGTTCTGAGATACATGTACAGAACGTGGAGGTTTGTTACATAGGTATACACATGCCATGGTGGTTTACTGCACCCATCAACCCATCATCTACATTAGGTATTTCTCCTAATGCTATCACTCCCCCTGCCTCCCACCCCCCTGACAGGCCTCGGTATATGATGTTCCCCTCCCTGTGTCCATGTGTTCTCATTGTTCAACTCAAAAGAAAATCAGAAGCATTTTCTGCTTTCCCAATTTCTTAAATACAATGCAACTTTATGTTTAATTTAACTAACTTAATTTTTTGAGACAAGGTCTAGCTCTGTTGCCCAGGCTGGAGTGGAGTGGCGTGAATATGGTTCAGTGAAACCTCCACCTCCCTGGCTCAAGTGATCCTCCTTCCTCAGCCTCTCGAGTAGCTAGGACCACAGGCACACACCACCATGGCCAGCTAATCTCTTTTTTATTTTTTGTAGAGATGAGGTCTCACTTTGTTGTCCACGCTGGTCTCAAACTCCTGGGCTCAAAGGATCCTCTTGACATGGCCTCCCACAGGGCTGGGATTTATAGGTGTGTGCCATGGCACCAGGCCTAAGCAACTGTAGAGAAGCCTTTTTTTCTTTCATAAAAACAGTTGTAGATATTTTCCTTATGGAATTTATTTGTGGTGAAATATTTTAATAGACGGATTAATTTGTTAAATAATTTGTCTCAGATAAAAATAATTGATTAATATTAAAACTACAAAACAAGTAGGGTCTTCTTTTTCTATGAAAAATGAAAGTTGATTCTGACATTTATGTAAACATTTTAAATATTCAAAGTATATAAATGTGAAGTCCTATCAAGGGTAATTAGACAAGAGAAAGAAATAAAGGGCATTCGAATCGGAAAGGAGGACATCAAATTGTTCCTATTGGCAGATGACATGATCTTATATATAGGAAAACCTGAAGACTCTACCAGAAAACTTTTAGAACAAACAAATTCAGTGAAGTTGCAAGACACAAAACTAATACACAAAGATTGGTTGCATTTATATATATGAACAACAAACTCGCTGAAAAAGAAATTAAGAAGGCAAACCCATTTACAATAGTTACCAAAAAAAACCCAGACATAAATGTAACCAAGGAGGTAAAATGAAAACTACAAAACACTAATGAAAGAAATTGAAGAGGATACAAACAAATGAGAAGACATTCACACTCATGGATCAGAAATATGAATGTTGTTAAAGTGACAGTACTACTCAAACGTAACCTACAGATTCAATGCAATCTCTATCAAAATACCTATGAACATTCCTCACAAAATTAAAAAAAAAATCCAAAGAGATTTTATGGAATCAAAAAATATTCTGAATAACCAAAGCCATCCTAAGCAAAAAGAACAAAGCTGGATGTATCATGCTACCAGACCTCAGAATATACTACAAAACTGTAGTAACCCAAAACATCATGGTATTGGCATAAAAACAGACACATAGACCTATGGAATAGAATAAAGAACCCAGAAAATCCACATATCTCAGCCAACGGATTTTTTACAAAGATGCCAAGAACAGTCATTGGGGAAAGGATAGTCTCTTCAATAAATGGTGCTGGAAAAACTGGATATCCATATGCCGAAGAATGAAACTAAACCTCTGCCTCTCACCCTATACAAAAATCAACTCAAAGTATCTCAAATACCCAAATATAAGACCCAAAATGGTAAAGCTACTAGAAGAGAACATAGGGAAGATCCTTCAGGACATTGCTCTGGGAAAATATTTTATGAATAAGGCATCAAAAGCACAGGCAACAAAAGAAAAAATAAACAAATGGGATCACATCAAGCTAAAAATCTTCTGCACAGCAAAGGAAATAATAAAGTGAGTGAAAACACAACCTACAGAATGGGAGAAAATATAAACTCATCTGGCAGGAAATTAATATCAAGAATATACAAGGAATTCAAACATATCAACAGCAAAGAAGCACAACAATCTAATTAAATATAAACAAATGCTCTGAACAGACATTTCTCAAAAGAAGACATACAAATTACCAACAAATATATGTAAAAATGTTCAACACCACTAATCAGCAAGGAAATGCTAATCAAAGCCACAGTGAGGCATCATCTTACTCCAGTTAGGATGGCTATAATAGAAGAGACAAAAATAACAAATGCTGACAACGACGTGAAGAAAAGGGACCTTTTTTTGACAGAATCTCACTCTCCGTCCAGGCTGGAGTGCAGTGGTGGTGTAATCTGGCTCCCTCTGCTTCTAGGGTTCAAATAGTTCTCCTCCCTCAGCCTCCTGGGTAACCGGAGAAAAAGGAACTCTTATGAACTGTTGGTAGGAATGTAAATTAGTGCAGCCAGTATGGAGAACTTTATTGAAACCCCTCAAGCAATCCCACTACTGGGAATTTATCCAAAGGAAAGAAAAGCATTATATTGCAGAGACATCTGCATCCCCATGTTTATTGCAACAGTGTTCACAATAGCCAAGATATGGAATCAACCTAGGTTTCCAACAACAGATGAATGGATTTTTAAAATATGGTATATATACACCAAGGAATGCTATTTAGCCATAAAAAAGAATAAATAAAATCCTGTCATTCTCAGCAACATGGATGGATCTGGAGGATATTATGTTAAGCAAAATAAGCCAGGAATAGAAATTTCAACACCACATGTTCTCACTCACGCAGAAGCTAAAAAATAGTTGATCTCATAGAAGTAAAAAGTAGAACAGAGGATACTGCAGGCTGAAAAGGGTAGGGAGAAAGGAGGAATAGTAAGAGATTTGTTAATGGATACAAAATTACAGCTAGGTAGAAGTAATAAGTTCTAGTGTTCTATAGTACTGTAGATGACTATAGTTAACAATACTATATTATGTAGTTTAAAATACCTAGGAGTAGTTTGAATGTTCCCAACACAAAGAAATAATAAATGTTTGAGACGATAGATATGCTAATTACCCTGATCTGATCACCATCTACATGTACTGAAACATCCCTGTATAGCCATGAATATGTATAATTTTTGTCAATTTAAAAAGTAAAAAAAAAAAATTAATCTTGGAGAATGCATTTGAAGGACTTGTACTTGAGAAATCAACTTAAGAACCTCTGTCTCCTTGGAATTTGTGTTTTCTAGACCAGCACTTCTCCAAATTAAAGCAAATTTAGGCTGGGCATGGTGGCCCATGTCTATAATCTCAGCACTTTGGAAGGCCGAGGCGGACAGATCACTTGAGGTCAGGAGTTCCAGACCAGCTCACCCAACATTGTGAAACCCTGTCTCTACTAAAAATACCAAAATTATCCGGGCATGATGGCATGTGCTGTAATCCCAGTTACTTTGGAGGCCGTGGCAAGATAATCGCTTGAACTGGAGAGGTGGAAGTTGCAGTGAGCCGAGATTGCACCACTTTGCTCCAGCCTGGGCAACAGAGCAAGACTCTGTCTCAAAAAAAAAAAAAAAAAAAAGCGAATTTAGTTCACTTTGGTATTGTGTCAAAATGCTGATTCTTTTAAAGTAAATCTAAAGAATTTAGATGTAGTTGAAGCTTGTCATCTGTTCTTAATTTTTTAATAAAAATATAATATTTCGATTCAGAGTAAATCTAAAGTGAGACCTGAAGCTGCTCCCAGGTGATACTGATGCTGCTTATTTTTGCACAGATTTTGAGTCACAAGGTTCTAAATTATTGGTTTGAAGTCCCACATGAGTAATTACTTGGGGAGCTCAATTAACACCCAGCAACAGACTAATTATTAATAAATCAGAATCTTCAGTATTAGGCTTCAATCATTGGCAATTTTTTTTTTGACACTCAGTCTCCCACTGTCGCCCGGGCTGAAGTCCTGAGGCCAGAATGAGACTAGCACATGGTTCCTTTGCCTACGTAAAGTGTGGCACACAATGGAATACTTCAGACTTCAAATTAGTATGGTAAGTGCTATGAAGAGTATGATTCGAGTCCATTATTTACCCAGAAAAGGGTCACTCAGCCCAGCCTGGGAGTTAGAGAAGGTTTCCTGAAGTCTTGACATGTGAGTCATGAAAGGACATAAGGAGTTAACCACGTGACAAAATAAGCTAAGAGAATTCTCAACAAAAGACAAAATATTGGCAAAGGCTTTTAGGCATATACTAGCTTAGTATTATTGGGAGAATGTAATGATTTTCTGTATTTCAAAAGTGTAAAATACAAACTGGGCCATGATATGAGATAAACCAGTAAATATGTTCTGGGAACAGATCATAGAAGGGCGTGTATGCTGTCCTAAGGAGCTTAAACTTCAACTTCAGTTCATGGGAGCCAATGACAAGATCTGAGCAGGGGAAGGATGTGGCTAGAGGGGCGTTTTAGGCAGACAAGATCCTCTGTGGATTACACCTAGGCTAAGCAACGGGTTAAAGTTGTTGTCTTAAGACAATAGTCCAGGTAAAAGATAATAAAGTTTTAAATTAGGATGTTAGTAGGAATGAGGAAGAGGGATGGATTTCAGAAATAGCAAGGAAATGTATTAGCAGGACTTGATTAGTGATTGACTTGGGGAAGGAGGGGAAGATAGAGTTCAGGATGACTCCGAGACTGTCTGGTGTCGGTGGCTAATGACTGAAGCTATTAATAGAGGTAGGAAATGCAAAACAAAAGCAGGCCCGGGGTGAGAGATGATAAATTTGAATTTTAACATTTTGAGTTTGGACATCCAGGATGAAATAACCACAAAATATTTAAATATACGAATCTGAAAAGGTAAGCATCATAAGCATATGAGCTATTGGTAAAATTCTGATACTTAATGAAGTCTCGCAGAGAGGCAGTACAGAAGCAAGCAATGGGCTGGGTATAAAACATAGGGAAATATTATTTAAATGAAGATGAAAGAAAAGGAGCCCACAAAGGAAGCTGAAAAGTCATAGTCAAAAAAAGAGGCTTGCCAAAGTGCCACCTTTGAAGCTCTGCTGTTACACTTTATAAGGAAACTTTTGGTTACCTGGGATTGCATGCATTTATAAAAGTTTCTATCATTAGGAAGACAATAATAATGATAAGGCTCTTTCTCATTGTTGTCAGTGTAATTTATCTATTTAATTATAGAACCTAGTTCCAGGATGCTTAATCTGAAGTATATACTTGGGGCAAAATGAATTATATCTTAATAATAATCTGGAATTTTTCTCTCTAACTTGACATATTTTAATTCTTGTTAGATTTTCAAAACGTCATACCTCGAACCACCACCAGATGGCTATGAGAATGTTACAAATATTGTGCCACCATATAAAGCTTTCTCAGCCCAAGGCATGCCAGAGATAAAATAAAATACATTTGTAACCCAAGTCTTTAAATGGTTCTTTTGCTATATAAAACCTTTATAGAGGACTAAAACCAAGGAAATTAGGTGAATCATTCATGCGGATTCATTGTTTGATATTCAGTACTATGAAAATCTCATCCCTCAAATTTAAAAAATTATAATAAAATAGAAAAGAACACCAGACAGAGAAAAAAGAAACAAAACAAATACATTAAAAACTGACCCTGCTGAAGCAGATGCCACTCTTTGAAATAACAAAGAAACTGCTGAACACGCCTTTAATTCAGTGAGGCAGTAGGTGTTTTTTTTTCTTTATTTTTGAGTATTGCCATTTGAATACATTCCACTCTCTTCCATTCGAGTCCATTCCACTCCATTCCATTCCATTCCATGCCATTCTATTCCATACGAATCATTTTGATGCCATTCCATTTGATTATATTCCTTTCGACTCCATTCCTTTCCATTCCGTTCCATTCCATTCCATTCCATTCCATTCCATTCCATTCCATTCCTTTCTATTCGATTCCAGTCCATTCCATTCAATTTGTATCCATTCCAATCGAGTCCATTTCACTCCCGTCCATTCCATTCGATGCCATTCCATTCGAGTCCATTCTATTCGAGTCCATACCTTTCAATTCCCTTCGATGCCATTCCATTTGATTCTATTCCATTCGACTCAATTCCCTTCCTTTACATTCCATTTGATTCCATTCCATACTATCCCTTTCCATTCCATTCCGTTGCATTCCATTTCATTCCATTCGTTTCCATTCCATTCGAGTCCATTCCATTCCAGTCCATTCAATTCGAGTCCATTTCATTTCAATCCATTCCATTTGATTCCATTCCATTCCATTCCATTTGATATCTTTCCATTGCACTCCATTCCATTCTATTCTTTTCGTTTCCATTCAATTCCATTCCTTTCGATTCCATTCCTTTCGATTCCATTCCATTAGACTCCATTCAATTCGAGTCCATTCCATTCCATTCCATTCCTTTCGAATCCGTTCGATTCCAATTTGCTCCAATCTATTCAATTTGAGTCCATTCCATTCCACTCCATTCCATTCCAGTATATTCCATTTGATTTCATTCCATTTGATTCCACTCCATACTATTGCAAATCCATTTCTTTCCATTCTATTTGAATAAATTTCATTCGAGACCATACCTTTCGGGTACATTCTATTTGAGTGGATTCCATTCGAGTCCAGTATAATTGGATCCATTCCATTCCATTCAATTCGATGCCATTCCATTCGATTCATTCCATTCGAGTCCATTCCATTCCATTCTATTCCATTCCATTCCATTCGTTTCCACTCCAGTCGGGTCCATTCCACTCCAGTCCTTTCCATTTGAGTTCATTGCATTCCAGTCCATTCCATTTGAGTCCATTCCATTCCATTGCATTCCATTCGATATCTTTCCATTACAATCCATTCCATTATTTTCCTTTCCATTCCATTCAAATCCATTTCATTCGATTCCATTCAATTCGACTCCATTCTATTCAAGTCCATCCCATTCCATTCCATTCCACTCCCTTCCTTTCAATTCCAATACGTTTGATTCCATTATGTTCCAGGCCATTCCATTCGACTCCATTTCATTCCAGTCCATTCCATTCTATTCCATTCCTTTTGATTCCATTCCACTCGATTCCACTGCATTCCATTCCATTGCATTCCGTTCTATTTCATGGCATTGCATTCCATTCCATTCCATTTGATTACATTCTATTTGATTCCATTCCATTCGAATCGATCACATTGCAATCCATTACATTCATGTCCGCTATATTCCAGTCCATTCCTTTCCCGTCCATTCCATTCAATTCCATTCTATTCGAATCAATTCCATACTACTGCATTCCATTCGATTCCATTCTATTCGAATAAATTCCATTCGAGACCATTTCTTTCGTGTCCATTCTATTTGAGTCCATTCGTTTCTAGTCCATTACATTTGGGTAAATTCCATTCCATGACATTCCATTCCATTCCATTCCATGTCATTCCATTCGATTATTTTCCATTCGAATCCATTCCTTTAAAGTCCATTCCATTCCATTAAATTCCAGTCCATTCCATTTGATGCCATTCCATTAGATTGTATTACATTCAACTCCATTCCATTCCATTCCGTTCCATCTGATTCCTTCCCATTCTATTCCTTTCCATTCCATTCCACTGCATTCCATTCCATTCATTTCCATTCCATTCGAGTCCATTCCATCTGAGTCCATTCCATTCCAGTCCATTCCACTCCAGACCATTCCATTTGAGTCCTTTTCATTCAATTCATTTCATTTCATTTGATATCTTTCCATTACACTCCTTTCCATTCCATTCCTTTTGATTCATTTCAATTCCATTCCTTTCGATTCCAATCCGTTTGATTCCATTCCATTCCTGTCCATTCCATTCTATTCCATTCCATCCCGTACCATTCGATTCCAGTCTTGTCGATTCAATTTTATTGCAGTCCAATCTTTCGATTCCACTCCTTTTAATTCCATTTGGAATCCTTTGGATTCCATTCCACTCGATTCCACTCTGTTCCATTCCATTGCATTCCATTCTATTCCATTCTATTGCATTCCATTCCATTCCATTTGATTACACTCCATTCGATTCCATTCCATTCAAATCTATTAGATTGCAATCCATTGCATTCAAGTCAGTTCTATTCCAGCCCATTGCATTCTGATCCATTCAATTCGATGCCATTCCATTCGATTCCATTCCGTGTTATTGCATTCCATTTGATTCCATCCTATTCGAATAAATTCCATTCGAGACCATTCCTTTCGAGTCCATTCTATTTGACTCCATTCCATTCGAGTCCATTACATTTGCGTCCATTCCATTCCATTCCATTCCATTCCATGACATTCCATTCGTTTCTATTCCATTCGTTTCCATTCCATTCGAGTCCATTTCATTCGAGTTCATTCCATTCCATTCCATTCCATTCCATTCGATGCCATTCCATTCGATTCTATTCCATTCGACTCCATTCCATTCCATTCCATTCCATTCCATTCCATGACATTCCATTCGTTTCTATTCCATTCGTTTCCATTCCATTCGAGTCCATTTCATTCGAGTTCATTCCATTCCATTCCATTCCATTCCATTCGATGCCATTCCATTCGATTCTATTCCATTCGACTCCATTGCATTCCATTCCATTCCATTCCATTCGTTTCCATTCCATTCGAGTCCATTCCACTCCAGTCTATTCCATTCGAGTCCATTCCATTCCAGTTCATTCCATTCGAGTCCATTCCATTCCATTCCATTCGATATCGTTCAGTTACACTCACTTCCATTCTATTCCTTTCGTTTCCATTCAATTCCATTCTATTCTATTCCATTCCATTCGATTCCATTCCATTCTATTCCATTCCTTTCGATTAAATTCCACTGGATTCCACACCATTCCATTCCATTGCATTCCATTCTATTCCATTCCATTGCATTCCATTACTTTCCATTTTATTACATTCCATTCGATTAAATTCGGTTCCATTCCTTTCGACTCCATTCCATTCGAGTCAATTCCCTTGCAATCCATTCAATTCCATTCCTTTCAGTTCGACTCCAATCCGTTGAATTCCAATATGTTCCAGTCCATACCATTCGAGTTCATTCCTTTCCAGTCCATTCCATTCGATTCCCTTCCATTTGATTCCATTTCTTTCGACTCCATTGCACTGGATTCCACTCCATTCCATTCCTGTGCATTCCATTCTATTCCATTCCATTGCATACCACTCCGTTCCATTTGAGTACATTTCATTCGTTTCCATTCCATTCAAATCAATAGCATTGGATACCATTACATTCGAGTCCATTCTATTCCAGTCCATTCCATTCCGGTCCATTCCATTCGTGTCCATTCCATTCCATGCCATTCCATTTCATTTGATTCATTTCCATTCGATTATATTCCATTCGACTCCATTCCATTCCATTCCTTTCCATTCCATTCTATTCCAATCCATTCCATTCGTTTCCATTCCATTTGAGTCCGTTTCACTACCGTCCATTTCATTCGATTTAATTCATTCCAGTCCATTCCATTCGAGTCCATTCCATTTCATTCCATTTCATTCGATATCTTTCCATTACACTCCATTCCATTCTATTCTTTCCATTACATTCAACTCCTTTTCATTCGATTCAATGCCATTCAATTCCATTCCATTTGATTCCAGTCCATTCTAATCCATTCCATTCCATTCCGTTCCATTCAAATCCAATCCGTTCGATTGCATTATGTTCCAATCCATTCCATTCTATTCCATTCCATTCCAGTACATTCCATTTGATTCCATTCCATTCAATTCCATTCCATTCGATTCCACTGCATTCCATTCCATTGCATTCCGTTCTATTCCATTCCACTGCATTCCATTCCATTACATTTGATTACATTCTACTCGATTCCATACCATTTGAATCATTCACATTTCAATACATTACATTCGTGTCCGTTCTATTCCAGTCCATTCCTTTCCAGTCCATTCCATTTGATTCCATTCCATTCGATTCCATTCAATTCGATTCCATGCCATACCACTCTTTTCCATTTGATTCCATGACATTTGGGTCCATTCCATTCCATGACATTCCGTTCCATTACATTCGATGCCATTCCATTCGATTATATTCCATTCAAGTGCATTCCATTCGAGTCCATTCCATTCCATTTCATTCCATTCCATTTGATGCCATTCCATTCGATTCTATTCCATTCTACTCCATTCCATTCCATTCCATCCGACTCCATTCCATTCTATACTTTTCCATTCCATTCCATTGCATTCCATTCAATTCGTTTCTATTCCATTCGAGTCCATTCCACTCCTGTCAATTTCTTTCGAGTCCATTCCATTCCAGTCCATTTGATTCGAGTGCATTCCATTCCAGTCCATTCCACTCGAGTCCATTCCATTAAATTCCATTCCTTTTGACATCTTTCCATTACACTCCATTCCATTTTTTTCCAATCGATTCCATTCCATTCGAATCTATTACATTGCAATCCATTACATTCCTGTCCGTTCTATTCCAGTCCACTCCATTCCAGTCCACTCCATTCGATTCCATTCCATTTGATACCATTCCATACTATTGCATTCCATTCCATTCTAATTGAATAAATTCCATTCGAGACCCTTCCTTTTGAGTCCATTCTATTTGAGTCCAGTCCGTTCGAGTTCATTACAATTTGGTCCATTCCATTCCATTAAATTCCATTTGATGCCATTCCCCTCTATTCTATTGCATTCGAGTCCATTCCATTCCATTCCATTCGATGCCATTCCATTTGATTCTATTCCATTCGACTCCATTCCATTCCATTGCCTTCCATCCAATTCCATTCCATTCTATTCCTTTCCATTCCATTCGTTTCATTTCCATTCCCATCCATTCCACTCCAATCCATTCCATTCGAGCCATTTCAATTCCAGTACATTACATTCGAGTCCATTCCATTCCATTCGATTTGATTTCTGTCCATTCCACTCCATTCCACTCTA
Source organism: Homo sapiens (assembly GCF_000001405.40). NCBI lineage: Eukaryota > Metazoa > Chordata > Mammalia > Primates > Hominidae > Homo > Homo sapiens. The sequence goes on from NC_000010.11 coordinate 38,788,677, forward strand.
TTCCTTTCAATTCTCTTCAATTCCATTCTATTCCTTTCCATTCCATTCGGGTCCATTCCACTTGACTCCATTCCATTCGAGTCCATTCCATTCAATTCCATTCCATTCAGTTCAATTCCAATCTGTACAATTCCATTTTGTTCCAGTCCTATCCATTCGAGTCCATTATATTCCAATCCATTCCAATCGATTCCATTCCATTCGATTCCATTCCACTCGATTCCACTCCATTGCATTCCAGTGCATTCCATTCTATTCCATTCAATTGCATTCCATTCCACTCCATTTGATTACATTCCATTAAATTCCATTCAATTCGAATCAATTACATTGCAATACATTACTTTCCTTTCCATTTTATTCCAGTCCATTCCACTCCGGTCCATTCCATTTGACTCCATCCATTCAATTCCATTACATACTATTGCATTCCATTCGATTCCATTCAATTCGAATAAATTCCATTTGAGACCATTCCTTTCGAGATCATTCTAATTGAGTCCATTCCATTTGAGTTCATCACATTTGAGTCTATTCCTTTCCTTTCCTTTCCATTCCATTTGATGCCATTCCATTCGATTCCATTTCATTCGAGTCCATTCCATTCGACTTCATTCCATTTCATTCCATTCCATTCCATTCCATTCCTTTCCATTCGAAGCCATTCCATTGGATTCTATTCCATTTGACTCCATTCTATTCCATTCCTTTCCATCTGATTCCATTCCATTCTTTTCCTTTCCTTTCCATTCCATTCGTTTTCATTCCATTCGAGTCCATTCCACTCCAGTCCTTTCCATTCGAGAAAATTCCAATCCAGTCCATTCCATTGAAGTCCATTCCATTACATTCGATATCTTTCCACTGCGCTTGCTTCCTTTCCATTCCATGCGATACCATTGCATTCTATTCTATTCCATTTGAGTCCATTCCATTCGAGACCATTCCATTCCACTGCATTCCATTCCATACACTTCCATTCCATACTATTCCTTTCCATTCCATTCTTTTCAATTCCATTCGTTTTCTTTGCATTCGAGTCCATTCCACTCCAGTACTTTCCAGTCATGTCTGTTAAATTCCAGTCCATTCCATTCGAGTCCTTTCCATTCCATTCCATTCGATATCTGTCCATTACACTCCATTCCATTCTATTCCTTTTGATTCCATTGAATTCAATTACGTTCGATTCCATTGTATTCAATTCCATTCCATTCGACTCCATTCCATTCGAGTCCATTTCATTCCATTCCATTACGTTCCGCATGATTCCAATCCGTTCCATTCCATTTTTTTCCATTCCATTCCATCCCAGTCCATTCCATTCTAGTCCATTTAATTCCATTCCATTCCATTCAATTCCACTCGTTTCCAGTTGGTTCGATTCAATTTTGTTGCAGTCCATTCCATAACTTTACATTCCATTCGATTCCATTCCACTCGATTCCATTCCACTCGATTCCATTCCACTCAATTCCATTCTACTCGAAACCACTCAGTTCCATTACATTGTATTCCATTCTATTCCATTCCATTGCATTTGATTACATTCCATTTGATTCCATTCCATTCGAATCAATTACATTGCAATCCATTACAATCAACTGAGTTCTATTCCAGTCCACTCCATTCCAGTCCCTTGCATTCGATTCAATTCCGTTCGATTCCATTCCATACTATTGCATTCCATTTGATTCCATTATATTGGAATAAATTCCATTCAATACCATTCATTTCGAGTACATTCTATTTGAGTTCATGCCATTCGAGTCCATTACATTTGGGTCTACTCCACTCCATTCCATTCCATTCCATTCTATTCCTTGCCCTTCCATTCCATTGTATTCCTTTTGAGTCCATTTCATTCGAGTCCATTCCATTCCATTACATTCCATACCATTTGATGCCATTCCATTCGATTCTATTCCAGTTGACTTCATTCCACTCCATTCGATTCCATCTGATTCCATTCCATTCTATTCCTTTTCATTCCATTCCATTCCATTCCATTGCATTCCATTCCATTCCATTCCATTCCATTCCAATTGTTTCCCTTCCCTTCCCTTCCATTCCATTTCATTCCATTTGTTTCCTTTCCATTTGAGTCCATTCCATTCCATTCCATTCCATTCCATTCCATTCCATATCTTTCCATTGCACTCCATTCCATTCTATTCTTTTTGATTCCATTCAATTCCGTTGTATTTGATTCCATTCCATTCAATTCCATTCCATTTGACTACATTCCAATCGAGTCCATTCCATTCCATTCCATTCTGTTCCACTCGATTCCAATCTATTCGATGCCATTTTTTCCAGGCCAATCCGTTCGAGTACATTACATTTCAGTCCATTCTATTCCATTCCATTTGAAGCGATTCAATTCCACTCGATCCCACTCCTTTCGATTCCATTGCATTCTATTCTATTCCAATCCATTGCATTCCGTTTGATTACATTCCGTTTGATTCCATTCAATTTGATTCCATTCCATTTGATTCATTTCCATAGTATTGCATTCAATTAGATTCCAGTGTTTTCGTATGAATTCCATTCGAGGCCATTCTCTTTGGAGTCCATTCTATTTGATTCCATTCCATTAGTGTACATTACATTTGGGTCCATTCCATGACATTCCATTCCATTCCATTCCATTCCATTCCATTCATTTGATGCCATTCTATTTGACTCCATTCCATTCGAGTCCATTCCATTCGAGTAAATCCTTTCTGTTCCATTCCATTTCATTCCATTCCATTCGAAGCCATTCCATTGGATTCTATTCCATTTGACTCCATTCCATTCCATCTGATTCCATTCCATTCTATTCCTTTGCATTCCATTCCATTCCCTTCCCTTCCATTCCATTCGTTTCCATTTCTTTCGTGTCCATACCACTCCTGTCCATTCCATTTGCATCCATTCCACTCCAGTCCATTCCATTCGAGTCCATTCCATTCCATTCCATGCCATTCGATATCTTTCTATTACACTCCATTTCATTCTATTCCTTTCAATTCCATTCCATTCGGTTCCATTCCATTCGACTCTATTCCGTTCTAATCCATTCCATTCCATTCCATTCCATTCCATTCCGTTCTGTATGATTCCAATGTGTTAGATTCCATTTTGTTCCAGTCCATTACATTCGAGTCCATTCCATTGCAGTCCATTCCATTCGATTCCATTGCACTTGATTCCATTCCGTTCCATTCCATTTCATTCCATTCTATTCCATTCTATTGCATTCCATTCTATTCCATTTGATTACATTCCATTCGATTCCATTCCATTTGAATCAATTACCTTTCAATCCATTGCATTCGATTCCGTTCTATTGCAGTCAACTCCGTTTGATTGCATTCCATTCGATTCCATTCCATACTATTTCATTCCATTCGATTCCATTCTATTCGACTAAATTCCATTTGAGACCATTCCTTTCGAGTCCCTTCTATCTGAATCCATTCCATTCGAGTCCATTACAGTTTTGTCCACTCCATTCTATTGCATTCCATTCCATTCCATTCCATTGCATTCCATTCCATTCCATTACATTCCATGCCATTACATTCCATGCCATTACATTTGATTCTATTCCATTCGAGTCCATTCCATTGAATTCCATTCCATTCCATTCCATTCTATGCCATTCCATTCGATTTTATTCCATTTTACTCCATCCCATTCCATTCAGTTCCATCCAATTCCATTCCATTCTATTCCTTTCCCTTCCACTCCATTCCATTCCTTTCATTTCCATTCCATTCTAGTCCATTCGTCTCTAGTCCATTCATTTGGGTCCATTAAATTGCACTCTATTCCATTCGAGTCCATTCCATTACATTCCATTCGATATCTTTCCATTACACTCCACACCTTTCTGTTACTTCAAATTCATTCAATTCCGTTCCATTCGATTCCATTTCATTCAGTTCCATTACATTCAAATCCTTTCCACTCGAGTCCATTCCATTCCATTCTGTTCCATTCAATTCCAATCCGTTTGATTCCATTTTGTTCCAGTAAATTCCATTCGAGTCCATTCCATTCAAGTCCATTCCATTCGATTCCATTCCATTTGATTCCATTGCACTCGATTCCACTCCATTCCATTCCATTGCATTCCATTCTATTCCATTCCATTGCCTTCCATTCCATTCCATTTGATTACATTCCATTTGATTACATTCCATTTGATTCCATTCCATTCGAATCAATTACTTTGCAATCCATTTCATACGAATTTGTTCTATTCCAGTCCATTCTATTCCATTCCATTCCATTTGATTTCATTCCATTCTATTCCAATCCATAGTACTGAATTAAATTCGATTCCATTCTATTAGAATAAATTTCATTTGAGACCATTCCTTTTGAGTCCATTCTATTTGAGTCCATTCCATTAGATTCCTTTACATTTGGGTCCACTCCATTCCATTCAATTCCATTCGATGCCATTCCATTCTATTCTATTAAATTTGAGTCCATTCCATTAAATTCCATTCCATTCCATTCGATGCCATTCCATTAAATTCTGTTTCATTCGACTCCATTCCATTCCATTCTGTTCCATCTGATTCCATTCCATTCTATTCCTTACCATTCCATACAATTCATTTCCACTCTTGTCCATTCCATTTGATTCCATTCGACTCCAGTCCATTCCATTCGTGTCCATTCAATTCCTGTCCATTCCTTTCGAGTCCAATGCTTTAGACTCCATTCCATTCGTTTCAATTCCATACTATTGCATTACTTTCGATTCCATTCTATTCGAATAAATTCCATTCGAGAACTTTCCTTTCAAGTCCATTCAATTTGAGTCCATTCTTTTCTAGTCCATGACATTTTTGTCCATTCCATTGCATTCCATTTCATTCCATTTCATTCTATTCCATTCTATTCCATTCCATTCCATTCTATGACACTCCATTTGACTCTATTCCACTCGACTCCATTCCATTCGAGTCCATTCCATTCCATACCATTCAATTCGATGGCATTCCATTTGATTCTACTACATTCGACACCATTCCATTCCATTATGTTCCATCATATTCCATTCCATTCTATTCGTTTCCATTCCATTCCATTGCATTCCATTCCACTCCTTTTCTTTCCATTCATTTCCATTCCATTCCATTGCATTCCATTCCACTCCATTTCATTCCATTCTTTTCCATTCCATTCGAGTCCATTCCCCTCCTGGCCATTCCATTCTAGTCCATTCCATTCCAGTTCATTCCAATCGAGTCCATTCCATTCCATTCCATTCCATTCCATTCCATTCCATTCCATTCCATTCGTTATCTTTCCATTACCCTCCATACCATTCTATTCCTTTCGATTCCATTCAATTCTATTCCATTTGATTCCATTGCATTTGATTCCATTCCATGCGACTCCATTCCATTCGAATCCATTTAATTCCATTCCGTTCCTTTTCATTCAGTTCTATTAAATTTCAATCCGTTTGATTCCATTTTTTCCAGTCCATTCATTTCGAGTCCATTCCATTACAGTCCATTCCATTCGAATCCATTCCATTCCATTCCATTCAATTGCATATCTTTAACTTACACTCCATTTCATTCTATTCCTTTCGATTTCATTTAATTCCATTCCATTGCTCTCCATTCCATTCGAATCCATTCCATTCCATCAGTTCCATTCAATTCCAATCCATTCGATTACATTTTGTTCTGGTCCATTCCATTCGAGTCCATTCCATTCCATTCGATGTCACTCCATTGGATTCTATTCCATTTGACTCCATTACATTCCACTCCATTCCATCCTATTCCATTCCATTCTGTTCCTTTCCATTCCATTCCATTCCATTCTATTCGTTTCCATTTCTTTCGAGTCCATTCCACTCCAGTCCATTCCATAAGAGTCCATTCAATTGTAGTGCATTCCATTCGAGTCCATTCCTTTCTATTCCTTTCGATTTCTTTCCATTTTACTCCATTCCATTCTACTCCTTCCGAATCCATTCAATTCCATTATATTTTATTCCATTCCATTCGATTCCATTCCATTCGAATCCATTCCATTCGATTCCATTCGATTCCATTCCATTCCATTCGATGTCACTCGATTGGATTCTATTCTATTCGACTCCATGACATTCCACTCCGTTCCATCTAATTCCATTCCATTCTATTCCATTCCATTCCATTCCATTGCTTTCCATTCCATTCCATTCCATTCGTTTCCTTTCCTTTTGAGTCCATTCCACTTCAGTCCATTCCATTCTAGTCCATTGCATTCCAGTCCGTTCCATTCGATTCCATTGCATTCCATTACATTTGATAACTTTCCATTACACTCCATTCCATTCTATTCCATTCGACTCCATTCAATTCCATTACATTTGATTCCATTCTACTCCATTCCATTCTAGTTAAATCCTTTTCATTCCATTCCATTCCATTTGATTGTGATCTGCACGATTCCATTTTGTTCCAGTCCATTCCATTCGAGTCCATTCCATTCCAGTCCATTCCATTAAATTCCTTTCCCTTCGATTCCACTCCATTCGATTCCATTCCACTCGATTCCACACCGTACCATTCCATTGCATTCCATTCTATTCTATTCCATTCCATTGCATTCCATTCCATTCCACTTGATTACATTCCATTATATTCCTTTCCATTCGAATCAGTTACATTGCCATTCATTACATTTGAGTCCGTTCTATTTCAGTCCATTCCATTCCGGTCCATTCCATTCGATTCCATTCCGTTCAGTTCCATTCCATACTATTGCATTCTATTCGATTCCATTGTATTCGAATAAATTCCATTTGAGAACATTCTTTTCGAGTCCTTTCTCTTTGAGTTCATTCCATTCGAGTCCATTGCATTTGAGTCCATTCCATTCCATTCCATTCCATTCCATTCCATTCCACTCCATTCCATTCCATTCAAGGCCATTTCATTCAATTCTATTCCATTCGAGTCCATTCCATTCGACTCCATTCCATTCCATTACATTCTATTCCGCTCCATTCTATTCCATTTAAGGCAATTCCATTCGATTATATTCCATTCGGGTCCATTCAATTGGAGTCCATTCCATTCCATTACATTCCTTTTGGTTCTATTTGATGCCATTCCATTCGATTCTCTTCCATTCGAATCCATTCCATTCCATTCCCTTAAATCCAACTTCATTCCATTTTAGTCCTTTCCATTCCATTCCATTCCATTCTTTTCCCATCCATTCCAGTCCATTCCACTCCAGTCCATTCTATTGGAGCCCATTCCATTCCAGTCCTTCCCATTTGAGTCCATTCCATTCAAATCCATTCCATTCGAATCCACTCCATCCCTTTCCTTTCTATTCGATATCTTTCCATTACACTCCATTCTATTCTGTGCCTTTCGATTCTATTCAATTCCGTTCCATTCAATTCCATTTCTTTCAATTCTTTCCTTTTGACTCCATTCCATTCGAGTCCATTCTATTCCATTGCATTCAATATCTCTAGATTACACTCCATTCCATTCTATACTTTCAAATCCATTAATTCCATTCCATTCGTTTCCTTTCCATTCGGTTCCATTCCATTCGACTCCCTGCCATTCGATTCCATTCCATTCCATTACAATCCATTCAATTCGAATCCAATCCTTTCGATTCCATCTTGTTCCAGTCCATTTTATTCGAGTCCATTCCATTCCAGTCCATTCCATTTTATTCCTTTCCATTCAATTCCATTCCACTCGATTCCACTCCCTTCCATTTTATTGCATTTCATTCTATTCCCTTCCATTTCATACCTTCCATTCCATTTTATTACATTAGATTTGAATCCATTCCGTTCAAATAAATTACATTGCAATCCATTACAGTCGAGTCCATTCTGTTCCAATATATTCCATTCCAGTCAATTCCATTTGGTTCCATTCCTTTCTATTCCTTTCTATACTATTGCCTTCCATTCGATTCCATTCTTTTTGAATAAACTCCATTCGAGACCATTCCTTTCGAGTCCATTCTATTTGAGTCCATTCAATTCTTGTCCATTGTATTTGGTTCCATTCCGTTCCATTCCATTTCATTCCTTTCCATTCTTTCCATACCATTCGATCTCATTTCATTCTGTTCTATTCCGATCGAGTCCATTCCATTTCTTTCCATTCCATTCGATTCTGTTCCATTCGTCTCCATTCCTTTCCATTCCATTTCATCCGATGCTGTTCCATTCTATTCCTTTCAATTCCATTCCCTCCATTCAATTCGTTTCGATTCCATTAGAGTCCATTCAACTCCAGTACATTACATTTGTCTCCATTCCATTCCAGTCCATTTCATTCGAGTCCATTCCATTCCACTTGATATCTTTCCAATACTCTCCATTCTATACTATTCTATTTGATTCAATTCAATTCCATTCTATTCAATCCCATTCCATTCGTTTCCATTCCATTCGACTCCATTCCATTCGCGTCCCTTCCATTCCATTCCATTCCATTCTGTTCGATGCCATTCCATTGGATTCTATTCCATTCGTCTCCATTCCATTCCATTCCGTTACGTATGATTTCATTCCTTTCTCCTCCTTTCTATTCCATTCCCTTCCATTCGTTTCGTTTCCATTCCATTCGAGTCCATTCCACTCCTTTCCATTGAATTCCAGTCCATTCTCTTCCAGTCCATTCCATTCGAGTCCATTCCATTCCTTTCCATTCGATATCATTCCATTACCCTCCATTCCATTCTGTTCTTTTCGATTCCATTCAATTCCATTCCATTCAATTCCATTCCGTTCGGTTCCACTCCATTCGAATCCATTCCATTCGCTTCATTTCCATTCCATTCCGTTCCGTTCGATTCCAGTTGGTTTTATTCCATTTTTTTCCAGTCCATTCCATTCGATTCCAATCCATTCGAATATATTCCATTCAATTCCATTGCACTCGATTCCACTCTGTTCCATTCCATTGCATTCCATTCTATTCCATTCCACTGTATTCCATTCCGTTCCATTTTATTACTTTCCATTTTATTCCATTTCATTCGAATAAATTACGTTTCAATTCATTATATTCGAATCCATTCTATTCCACTCCATTCTATTCCAGTCCTTTCCTTTCAATTCCATTCCAGTCAATTCCATTCCATACTATTGCATTTCATTTGATTCCATTCCATTCAAATAAATTCCATTCAGGACCACTCCTTTTGAGTCCATTCTATTTGAGTCCAGTCCATTCGAGTCCATTACATTTGCTCCCATTCCGTTCCATTTGCATTCCATTCCATTCAATGACACTCCATTCCTTTCAATTCCATTTGAGTTCATTCCGTTCGAGTCCATTACATTTGGGTCCATTCCATTCCACTCCATTCCATTCCATTCCATTTGCATTCCGTTCCATTCCATTCAATGACAGTCCATTCCGTTCAATTTCATTTGAGTCAATTTCATTCGAGTCCATCACATTTTGGTCCTTTCCATTCCATTCCAATCCATTCCAATCCATTTGCATTCCATTCCATTCCATTCAATGACAGTCAATTCCATTCAATTCCATTCGAGTCCATTCAATTCGAGTACATTCCATTCCCTTCCTTTCGATTAAATTTCATTTGATTCTATTCCAGTCAACTCCATTCCATTCCATTCCGTTCCATCCAATCCCTTTCCATTCTATTCCATTCCAATCCATTCAATTTCATTCCATACCATTCATTTCCATTCCATTTGAGTCCATTCCACTCCAGTCCATTCCATTCCAGTCAATTACATTCAAGTCCATTCCATTCAAGTCCATTCCATTCCATTTGCTATCTTTTCATTACACTCCATTCCATTCTATTTCTTTAAATTCCATTCAATTCCTTTTTATTCGATTCCATTCCATTCGATTCCATTCCATTCGACTACATTCCAATCGAGTCCATTGCATTCCGTTCCTTTCCATTCCGTTCCGTTCGATTCCAATCCATTCGATTCCTTTCTTTTGCATTCCATTCCTTTAGACTGCATTCCATTACAGTTCATTCCATTCGATTCCATTCCATTCGATTGCATTCCATTTAATTTGATGCCATTCAATTTGATTCACTTCCATTCGACTCCATTCAATTCAATTCCATTCCATCAGATTCCATTCCGATATATTCCTTTCAATTCCATTCCTTTCCATTCCATTCCATTCCATTCCACTCGTTTCCATTGCACTCAATTCTATTCCACTTCAGTCAATTCATTTGAATACATTCCATTAAAGTTCATTCCATTCGACTCCATTCCTTTCCATTCCTTTCCATCAGATTCCATTCCGTTTTCTTCATTTCTCTTCCATTCCTTTCCATTCGTTTCCATTCCATTCGAGTCCATACCACTCCAGTCCATTCCATTTGAGTCCATTCCATTCCAGTCCATTCTTTTAGAGTCCATTCCATTTCATTCCATTTGATATCGTTCCATAACACTCCATTCCATTCCATTCCTTTCGATTCCATTCAATTCCATTCCATTCGACTCTATTACATTCAATTCAATTCCATTTGATTCCATTCGATTCCATTCCATTCCCTTCCAGTCGACGACTTTCCATTCGATTCTATTCCATTTGATTCCATTCCTTTTTATTCCGATCCATCCAGTTCAATTCCATTCTATTCCTTTCCATTCCATTCCGTTTTTTTCCTTTCCAGTCGAGTCCATTCCACTGCATTCCATTCCATTCGAGTCCATTCCAATACAGTCTATTCCATTTTAGACCATTCCATTCCATTCCTTTGCATTCGATATCTTTCCATTACACTCCATTCCATTCTATTCATTTGTATTCCTTTCAATTCCATTCCATTCGTTTCCATTCCATTCGACTCCATTCCTTTCGTGTCCATTCCATTCCAACCCGTGCGATTTGATTCCTAGCCATACGATTGCATTTTGTTCCAGTCCATTCCATTCGAGTCCATTCCATTCTATTCCATTCCATTCCTTTCTATTAAATTCCAGTCTAGTCCATAACATTCGAGTCCATTCCTTTCCATACCATTCCATTCCATTCCATTCCATTCCATTTGATGCCATTGCATTCAATTCTATTCCATTCGACTCCATTCTCTTCCATTCCATTCCATCCGATTCCATTCCATTCCTTTCCTTTCCATTCGTTTCCATTTCATTTTAGTTGATTACACTGTAGTCCATTCCATTCGAGTCTATTCCTTTCCAGTACATTCTAGTCCATTCTATTCCATTCTATCCCATTGGATATCATTACATTACCCTGCCTTTCATTCTATTCCTTTCGATTCCATTCATTTCCATTCCATTCAGTTTCATTCCATTCAACTCCATTCCATACCATTCCACTCCATTCCATTCCATTCCTTTCAGTTTGGTTCCAATCCGTTCAATTCTGCTTTGTTCTAGTCCATTCCATTCGAGTACAATGCATTGCAGTCCATTCCATTCGATTCCATTCAAATCAATTCCATTCCACTTGATTGCACTCTGTTCCCTTCCATTGCATTCCATTCTATTCCATTCCACTGCAATCCATTCGATTCCATTTGATTACAATCCATTCGATTCCATTCCATTTGAATCAAATACTTTGCAATCCATTTCATTTGAGTCTTTTCTATTCCAATCCATTCCATTCCAGTCCATTCCATTCAATTCCATTACATACTATTGCTTTTCATTTGATTCCATTCTATTCGAATAAGTTCCATTTGAGACCATTTCTTTCGAGTCCATTCTGAGTCCATTCCATTCGAGTCCATTTCATTTGGGTCCATTCCATTCCATGCCATTCCATTTGATTCATTTCCATTAGAGTACATTCCATTCGAATCCATTCATTCCATTCCATTCCATTCCATGCAATTCCATTCAATTATATTACATTCGACTCCATTCCAATCCATTCTGTTCAATCCGATTCTATTCCAGTCTATTCCTTTCCATTTCATTCCATTCTGTTCCTTTCGATTCCATTTCATTCGAGTCCATTCCATTCCATTCCAAGCCATTCCATTCAATTCTATTCCACTCGCCTCCATTCCATTCGACTCAATTCCATTCCATTCCATTCGACTCCATTCCATTCCATTCCATTCCATTCCATTCCATTCCATTCCATTCTATTCGATGACATTCCATTGTATGCTATTCCCTACAACTCCATTCAATTCCATTTCGTTCCATCAGATTCCTTTCCATTATATTGCTTTCCTTTCCATTCCATTCCATTCTATTCAATTCCATTCCATTCCATTCGTTTCCATTACATTTGAGTCCATTCCATTCGATTCCATTCCATTCAAGTCCAATCCTTTTGAGTCCATTCCATTCCATTCCATTTGATATCTTTCCATTACACTCCATTCCATTCTATTCCTTTCGATTCCATTCAATTCCATTCCGTTCGATTCCATTCGATTCAATTCCATTCCATTCGACTCTATTCCTTTTGAGTCAATTCCATTCCATTCTATTCCATTCCTTTCGATTCCATTCCATTTGATTACATTTTGTTCCAGTCCATTCCTTTCGAGTCCATTCCATTTCAGTCCATTCCATTCGATTCCATTCCATTCGACTCCGTTCCATTTGATTCCATTCCACTAGATTCCACTCCATTCTGTTCCATTGCATTCCATTCTATTCCATTCCTTCGCATTGCATTCCATTCCATTTGATTACATTCCTTTCGCTTTCAAGGCATTCGAATCAGTTACATTTCTTTCCATTATATTGGAGTCCTTTCTATTGCAGTCCATTGCATTCCAGTCCATTCAATTCTGTTCCATTCCACTCGATTCCATTCCATACTGTTGCATTCCATTCGATTCCATTCTATGCAAATAAATTCCATTTCACACCATTCCTTTAGAGTCCATTCTTTCGGATTCCATTACATTCGAGTCCACTACATTTGGTTCCATTCCATTCCATTCGATGCCATTCCATTCTATTCTATTACATTCGATAACATTCCATTCCAGTCCATTCCTTTCCATTCCATTCCATTCCATTGCATTCCATTCGATGCCATTCCTTTCGATTCTATTCCATTCGTCTCCATTCCATTCAATTCCTTTCCATCCGATTCCATTCCATTCTATTCTATTCCATTCCATTCTTTTACTTTCCATTCGATTACATTTCGTTTGAGTCCAGTCCACTGCAGTCCATTCCATTCCAATTCCATTCCATTGCAGTCCATTCGAGTCCATTCTATTTCATTCCATTCCATTGGAGATCTTTACATTACACTCCGTTGCATTCTATTTCTTTCGAATCCATTCAATTCCATTCCATTCGGTTCCTTTCCTTTCGACTCCATTCCATTCCATTCCATTTCATTCCATTCGATTCAAAGACGTTCGATTCCATTTTGTTCCAGTCCATTCCATTGGAATCCATTCCATTCCATTATGTTCCATTCGATTCCAATTCATTCGATTCCATTTTGTTGCAGTCCATTCCATTCGAGTGCATTCCATTCCAGTTCACTAAATTCGATTCCAGTCCATTTGAGTCCATTCTATTCCATTCCATTACATTGGATATGTTTACTTTACACTCCCTTTCATTCTATTCCTTTTGATTGCATTCAATTACATTAATTCCCTTCCATTCCATTTGAGTCCATTCCATTCGAGTCCATTTTATTCCATTCCATTCCATGCCGTTTGATTCCAATAGGTTCGCTTCCATTTTGTTCCAGTCCATTCCATTCGAGCCCATTGCATTCGATTCCATTCCATTCGATTCCATTGCATTCGATTCTATTCCACTCGATTCCACTCTGTTCTATTCCTTTACATTCCATTCTATTCCATTCCATTGCATTCCATTCCATTCCATTTGAATATTTTCCATTCGATACCATTCCATTCAAATCAATTCCATTCCATTCCATCACATTCATGTCTGTTCTATTCCGGTCCATTCCATTCAGGTCTATTCCATTCAATGCAATTCCATTCCATTCCGTTCCATACTATTGAATTCCATTCGATTCCATTCTATTTGAATAAATTCCATTCGAGACAATTACTTTCGAGTCCATTCTATTTGTCCATTCAATTTGAGTCCATTACATTTGGGTACATTCCTTTCCACTCCATTTCATTACATTCCGTGCCATTCGATGCCATTCCATTCCATTCTATTCCATTCGACTCCATTCCATTCGAGTCAATTCCTGTCCTTTCCATTCCATTCGATGTCATTCCATTAGATTCTATTTAATTCGTCTCCATTATATTCCATTCCAATCTTTCCGATTCCATTCCATTCCATTAGTTGCAATTCCATTCCATTCCATTTCATTCCATTCGATGCCATTCCATTCAATTGTATTCCATTCGACTCCATTCCATTCCATTCATTTCCATCCGATTCCTTTCCATTCCATTCCATATCATTCCATTCCATGCCATGCCATTGCTTTCGATTTTATTCCAGTCGACTCCATTCCATTCTGTTCAGTTCCATCTGATTCCATTCCATTCTGTTCCTTTCCAATCCATTCCATTCCGTTTCATTCCATTGCATTCCATTCTTTTCCATTTCATTCGAGTCCATTACACCCCAGTGCATTCCAATCGAATCCATTCCATTCCAGTCCATTCATTTGGAGATCATTCCATTCCATTCAATATCTTTCCATTACGCTCCTTTCCATTCTATTCCTTTCGATTCAATTCAATTCAATTCCATTCAATTCAATTCCATTAGATTCCATTACATTCGATTCTATTCCATTCTATTCTATTCCACTCTATTACACTCCATTCCATTCTATTGCATTCCATTCTATTCCATTCAATTGCATTTCATTCATTTCGATTTGATTACATTCCATTCGATTGCATTCAATTCGAATCAATTACATTGCAATCCTTTACATTCGAGTATGTTCTATACCAGTGCATTGCAGTCTGGTCCATTCCATTCGATTCCATTCCATTCGATTCCATTGCATACTATTGCATTCCATTCCATACTATTGCATTCCATTCCATTCCATTCTATTCGAGTAAATTCCATTCAAGACCATTCTTTTGGAGTCCATTTTATTTGATTCCATTCCATTCGAGTCCATTACATTTGACTTCATTCCATTCCATTCCATTCCATTCCGTTTGATTCCATCTGTTCGATTCCATTTTTTTCCATTCCAATCCATTTGATTCTATTCAATTCCAGTCCATTCCATTCGATTCCATTCCATTGACTTCCATTCTATTCCGCTCCATTTCATTCCATTCCTTACCATTCCGTTGCATTCCATTCCATTCCGTTCCATTCCATTTGATTACATTCCATTCAATTCCAAGGCACTCAAATCAATTACTTTTCATTCGATTACATTTTACTCCGTTCTATTCCAGTCCATTCCATTCCAGTCCACTCCATTCGATTCTATTCCATTCAATTCCTTTAGAAACTATGGCATTCCTTTCGATTAAATTGTATTCGAATATATTCCATTCGAGACCATTCCTTTCGAGTCCATTCTATGTGAGTCCATTCCATTCAAGTTCATTACATTTGGGACCATTCCATTCCATTCCTTTCCATTCCTTTCCATTCCATTCGATGCCTTTCCATTTGATTCCATTTCATTAAGACCATTCCATTCGAATCCATTCAATTCCTTTCCATTCAATTCCATTCTTGGCCATTCCATTCGATCTGTTCTATTCGAATCCATTCCATTCCATTACAGTCCATCTGATTCCATTACATTCCATTCAATTCCTTTCCATTCCAATCCGTTCTATTCGTTTCAATTCCCTTCGATTCCATTCCACTCCAGTCCATTCCATTCGAAGCTATTCCATTTGAGTCCATTCCATTCCGTTCCATTCCATTTGATATCTTTCCATTACAGTCTGTTCCTTTCTATTCCTTTCACTTCCAATCCATTCAATTCCATTCCATTTGGTTCCATTCCAGTCGACTCCATTCCATGCGAGTCCATTCCTTTCCATTCCATTCCATTTCATTCCTTTCCTTTCGACTCCAATCCGTTCGATTCCATTTTGTTCCAGTCCATTCCATTCGAGACCATTCCAAACCAGACCAATCCATTCAATTCCATTCCGTTCAATTCCTTTCAAATCGATTCCATTTCACTCAATTCCACTGCGTTCCATTCCATTGCATTCCATTATATTCCATTCCATTGCGTGCCATTCAATTCCATTTCATTACATTCCATTCGATTCCGCTCCTTTCAAATCAATTGCATTGCAATCCATTACATTCAAGTCCGTTCTATTCCAGTCCATTCCACTCCAGTCCATTCCATTTGATTTCATTCCATTCGATTACTTTTCATACTATGGCATTCCATTCGATTCCATTCTATTTGAATAAACGCCATTGGGGACCATTCCTTTCGAATCCATTCTATTTGAGTACATTCCATTTGAGTCCATTACGTTTGGGTCCATTCCATTCCATTCCATTCCATTCCATTCCAATATATTCCATTCCATTTGTTGCTAGTCCGTTCGATTCTATTCCATTCGACACCATTCCATTCCTTTCCATTCCATCTGATTCCATTCCATTCTATTCCTTTAAATTCCATTCCATTCCATTCCACTCGACACCATTCCATTCGAGTCCATTCCATTCCATTCCATTCCACTCCATTCTGTTCCGTTCGACTCCAATCCATTCAATTCCATTTTGTTCCAGTTCATTCCATTCGATTCCATTCCATTCCAGTCCATTCCATTCAATTCCATTCCATTTGACTCCATTTCACTCGATTCCACTCCATTTCTTTCCACTTCATTCCATTCTATTCCATTCCTTTGCACTCCATTCCATTCCATTTGATTATATTTCATTTGATTCTATTACATTCAAATCAATTACATTGCAATCCATTACATCCGAGTCCTTGTTATTCCAGTCCATTCGATTCAGATCCATTCCATTCTATTCTATTCCATTCGATTTCATTTCATACTATGGCATTCCATTCGATTCCATTCGAATAAATTCCATTCGAGACCATTCCCTTCAAGTCCATTATATTTGAGTACACTCCATTCTAGTCCATTACATTTGTGTCCATTCCATTCAATTCCATTCCATTCCTTTCGATGCCATTCAATTCAATTCTATTCCACTCAAGTCCGTTCCATTTTACTCCATTCCATTCCATTCAATTGCATCCGATTCTATTCCATTCTATTCCTTTCCATTCCATTCCTTTCCATTCCATTTGAGTCCATTCCACTCCAGTCGATTCCATTTGAGTCCTTTCCCTTCCAGTCCATTCCATTAGAGTCCATTCCATTTAATTCCATTCCATTCGATATCTTTCCATTACAATCCATTCCCTTTTATTCCTTTCAATTCAATTCAATTCAATTCAATTCAATTCAATTCTATTCGATTCCAGTCCATTCCATTCCGTTGCATTCAATTACAATCCGTTCGATTCCATTTTGTTCCAGTCCATTCCCTTTGAGTACATTCCATTCCAGTTCATTCCATTCGATATCATTCCTTTCGATTCCCATCCATTCGATTCCATTCCGTTGGAGTCAATGCCATTCCATTGCATTCAATTCTATTCAATGCATTTCCATTCGATTCTATTCCATTCGACACCATTCCTTTTCTTTCCCATGCCATCTGATTCAATTCCATTCTATTCCTTTCCATTCCATTCCATTCGTTTCCATGCCATTCGAGTCCATTCCTATCCAGCCAATTCCATTCGAGTCCATTCCATTCTATTCCATTCCTTTCAGTATCTTCCATTACACTCCATTCCATTCTATTCCTTTTGATTCCATTCAATTCCATTCAATTTGATGCCAATCCATTCGATTACATTACATTCGACTCCATTCCATTCGTGACCATTCCATGTCATTCCATTCCATGCTGTTCCATTTGATTCCAATCTGATTGATTCCATTATGTTCCAGTCCACTCCATTCTAGTCCATTGCATTCCAGTCCATTCCAATTGATTCCATTGCATTCGATTCCTTTCCACTCGATTCCACTACATTCCATTCCATTGCATTCCATTCAATTCCATTCCATTGCTTTCCGTTCCATTGCATTTGATTATATTCCATTCAATTCCATTGCTTTCGAATCAATGACATTGCAGTCCATTCCATTCGAGTTCGTTCTATTCCAGTCCATTCCATTCTGGGCCATTCCATTCGATTCCATTTCTTTTAATTCCATTCCCTACTATTGCGTTTAATTCGATTCCATTCTATTTGAATAAATTCCTTTCGATACCATTCCTTTCGAGTCCATTCTATTTTAGTCCATTCCATTTGTTTCTTTTACATTTGGGTCCATTCCATTCCATTCCAATCCATTCCATTCCATTCTATTTCTTGCCATTCCATTCGATGCTGTTCCATTCAAGTCCATTCCATTTCATTCCATTCCATTCAATTTCATTGCTTTCTATTTGATGCCATTCCATTGGATTCTATTCCATTCCCCTCCATTCCAATCCATTCTGTTCCATCCGTTTCCTTTCCATTATATTGCTTTCCATTCCATTCCTTTCCATTCCATTCGAGTCCATTTCACTCTAGTCCATTCCATTCGTGTCCATTCCATTCAAGTCCAATCCTTTCGAGTCCATTCCATTCCATTCGTTATCATTCCATTACACTCCATTTCACTCTATTCCTTTTGATTCCATTCAATTCCATTCCATTCTATTCCATTCCATTCCTATCCATTCCATTCTACTTCATCCCTTTTGAGTCCATTCCTTTCTACTCCATTCCATTTGAGTCCATTCCATTCCATTCCACTCCTTTCAATTCCGAGCTGTTTGATTCCATTGTGTTCCAGTCCATTCCATTTGAGTCCATTCCATTCTAGTCCATTCCAATCGATTCCATTCAATTTGATTCCATTGCATTCGATTCCACTCCACTCGATTCCACTATGTTCCATTCCATTGCATTCCATTCTATTCCATTCCATTGCATTCCATTCCATTCTATTGCATTTGATTATATTCCATTCGATTCCATTGCTTTCGAGTCAATGACATTGCAGTCGATTCCATTCGAGTTCGTTCTATTCCAGTCCATTCCATTCTGGGCCTTTCCATTCAATTCCATTCCTTTCGATTCCATTCCCTACTATTGCATTTAATTAGATTTCATTCTAGTCGAATACATTCCTTTTGACACCATTCCTTTCGAGTCCATTCTATTTTAGTCCATTCCATTTGATTCCATTCCATTTGGTTCCATTCCATTCCATTCCATTCCATTCCATTCTATTCCTTACCATTCCATTTGATTCTGTTCCATTCGAGTCCATTCCATCCAGTCCATTTCATTCCATTCCATTCAATTTCATTGCTTTCTATTTGATGCCATTCCATTGGTTTCTATTCCATTCCACTGCATTCCATTCCATTCTGTTCCATCCGTTTCCATTCCATTATATTCCTTTTCATTCCATTCCTTTCCATTCCATTCGAGTCCATTTCACTCCAGTCCATTCCATTCGTGTCCATTCCATTCAAGTCCAATCCTTTTGAGTCCATTCCATTCGTTATCTTTCCATTACACTCCAACTCACTCTATTCCTTTTGATTCCACTCAATTCCATTCCATTCGATTCGATTCCATTCCTATCCATTCCATTCTACTTCATCCTTTTTGAGTCCATTCCTTTCTACTCCATTCCTTTTGAGTCCATTCCATTCCATTCAATTCCGCTCCTTTTGATTCTGATCGTTCGATTCCATTGTGTTCCAGTACATTCCATTCGAGTCTATTCCATTCCAGTCCATTCCAATCGATTCCATCCAATTTGATTCCATTGCATTCGATTCCATTCCACTCGATTCCACTACGTTCCATTCCATTGCATTCCATTCAATTCCATTCCATTGCATTCCATTCCATTGCATTTGATTATATTCCATTCGATTCCATTGCTTTCGAGTCAATGACATTGCAGTCCATTCCATTCGAGACCGTTCTATTCCTGTCCATTCCATTCTGGGCCTTTCCATTCGATTCCATTCGTTTCGATTCCATTCCCTACTATTGCATTTAATTAGATTTCATTCTAGTCGAATACATTCCTTTTGATACCATTCCTTTCGAGTCCATTCTATTTTAGTCCATTCCATTTGATTCCATTACATTTGGTTCCATTCCATTCCATTCCATTCCATTCCATTCCATTCCATTCTATTCCTTACCATTCCATTTGATTCTGTTCCATTCGAGTCCATTCCATCCATTCCATTTCATTCCATTCCATTCAATTTCATTGCTTTCTATTTGATGCCATTCCATTGGATTCTATTCCATTCCACTCCATTCCATTCCATTCTGTTCCATCCGTTTCCATTCCATTATATTCCTTTCCATTCCATTCGAGTCCATTTCACTCCAGTTCATTCCATTCGTGTCCATTCCATTCAAGTCCAATCCTTTTGAGTCCATTCCATTCCATTCCATTCGTTATCTTTCCATTACACTCCAATTCACTCTATTCCTTTTGATTCCACTCAATTCCATTCCATTCGATTCGATTCCATTCCTATCCATTCCATTCTACTTCATCCTTTTTGAGTCCATTCCTTTCTACTCCATTCCTTTTGAGTCCATTCCATTCCATTCAATTCCGCTCCTTTTGATTCTGATCCGTTCGATTCCATTGTGTTCCAGTACATTCCATTCGAGTCTATTCCATTCCAGTCCATTCCAATCGATTCCATTCAATTTGATTCCATTGCATTCGATTCCATTCCACTCAATTCCACTACGTTCCATTCCATTGCATTCCATTCAATTCCATTCCATTGCATTCCATTCCATTGCATTTGATTATATTGCATTTGATTCCATTGCTTTTGAATCAATGACATTGCAGTCCATTCCATTCGAGACCATTCTATTCCTGCCCATTCCATTCTGGGCCATTCCATTCGATTCCATTCCCTACTATTGCATTTAATTCGATTCCTTTCTATTCGAATAAATTCCTTTCGATACCCTTCCTTTCGAGTCCATTCTATTTTAGGTCATTCCATTTGATTCCATTACATTTGGTTCCATTCCATTCCATTCCACTCCATTGCATTCCATTCTATTCCTTGCCATTCCATTCGATTCTGTTCCATTCGAGTCCATTCCATTCCAGTCCATTTCATTCCATTCCATTCCATTGCATTCCATTCCATTCCATTGCTTTCTATTCGATGCAATTCCATTGGATTCTATTCCATTCCACTCCATTCTATTCCATTCTGTTCCATCCGTTTCCATTCCATTATATTCCTGTCCATTCCATTCCTTTCCTTTCCATTCGAGTCCCTTTCACACCAGTCCATTCCATTCATGTCCATTCCATTCCAGTCCAATCCTTTTGAGTCCATTCCATTCCATTCCATCCATTATCTTTCCATTAAACTCCATTTCATTCTATTCTTTTTGATTCCATTCAATTCCATTCCATTCGATTCCATTCCATTCGGATCCATTCCATTCTACTTCATCCCTTTCAAGTCCATTCCTTTCTACTCCATTCCATTTAAGTCCATTCCCTTCCATTGCATTCAATTCCGCTCCTTTCGATTCCGATCCGTTCAATTCCATTGTGTTCCAGTCCATTCCATTTGAGTCCTTTCCATTCCAGTCCATTCCATTCGATTCCTTTCCATCTGGTTCCATTCCATTTGATACCATTCCACTCGATTCCACTCAGTTCCATTCCATTGCATTCCATTCTATTCCATTCCACTGCATTCCATTCCATTACATTTGATTCCAATCCATTCAATTCAATTCCGTTTTAAATTATTACTTTGCAATCCATTACATACGAGTCTGCTCTATTCCAATCCATTCCATTCTGTTCCATTCCGTTCGATTCCATTCCATTCTATTCCATTCAATACTCCTGCACTCCATTCGATTCAATTCTATTCGAATGAATTCCATTCAAACCCGTTCCATTTATTAAATTCCATTTGAGTCCATTACATTTGGGTCCATTCGATGAAATGCCATTCCATTCCATTCAATTCAATGCCATTCCATTCGACTGTATTCCATGAGAATCCATTCCATTCGAGTCCATTCCATTCCATTACATTTCATTCTATTCCATTTGATGCCATTCCATTCGATTGTATTCCATTCGACACCATACCATTCGATTCTATTCCATTGGACTCCATTACTTTCCATTCCATTCCATCCGATTCCACTCCATTATATTCCTTTCCACTCCATTTCATTCCTTTCCATTCCATTTGAGTCCATTCTACTCCAGTCCATTCCATTTGAGTCCATTCCACTCCAGTCAATTCCATTCGAGTCCATTCCTTTCCATTCCCATCCATTCGAGTCCATTCCATTCCCTTCCATTCCATTCGATATCTTTCCATTACACTCCAATCCATTCAATTCCATTCCGTTCGTTTCCATTCCACCTGATTCCACTTCGTTCCATTCCGTTGCATTCCATTCTGTTACATTCCATTGCATTCCATTCAATTCCATTTTATTACATTTCATTCGATTCCATTCCATTCGAATCAATTCCATGGCAATCTATTACATTCGCGTCCATTCTTTTCCAGTCCATTGCATTCCATTCCTTTCTATTCCATTTGATTACATTCCATTCGATTCCATTCCATTAGAATCATCCATCACAATCCATTACACTCGAGTTCTTTCTATTCCAGTCCATTCCATTTCTGTCCATTCCATTCCATTCCATTCCATACTTTTGCTTTCCATTCGATTTTATTCTATTCAAATAAATTCCTTTCTAGACCATTCCTTTTGAGTCCATTCTATTTGAGTCAATTCCATTCCAGTCCATTACATTTGGGTCCATTCCATTCCCTTATATTTCATTCCACTCCATTCGATTGGATGCCATTCCATTCTACTCAATTCCATTTGTGTCCATTCCATTCAAGTCCATTCGAATCCATTCCCTTCCATTCGATGCCATTCCATTCGATTCTATTCCATTGCATTCCATTCCGTTCCATCTGATTCCATTCCAGTCTATTCCATTCCATTCCATTCCATTCCATTCCATTTCACTCGTTTCCATTCCATTCGAGTCCATTGCACTCCAGTCCAATCCGTGCTACTCCAATCCATTCCAGTCCATTCCATTGCATTCCATTCCATTCCTTTCCATTCCATTGAATATCTTTCCAATATATTCCATTCCATTCTAATCTTTTCGATCCCATTCAATTCCATTACATTCGGTTCCATTTCTTTCGACTCCATTCCATCCGAGTCCATTGCATTCCCTTCCATTCCATTCCAGTTTTGTTCCATTCCAATCCGATTGATTCCATTTTATGCCAGTCCACTCCATTCGAGTACATTCCATTCGAGTACATTCCATTCGATTCCATTCCATTCGATTCCTTTCCACTCGATTCCAGTACGTTCCATTCCATTGCATTCCATTCTATTCCATTCCATTGCATTCCATTCCATTCCATTTGATTACATTCCATTCGATTCCATTCCACTTGATTCCATTCCATACTATTGCATTCCTTTTGATTTCATTCTATACAAATAAATTAAATTCGAGACCATTCCATTTGAGTCCATTGTGTTTGAGTCCATACCATTTGAATCCATTACATTTGGGTCCATTCCATTCAATGCCATTCCATTCTATTCTATTCCATTCGAGTCCATTCCATTCGAGTCCAATCCATTCCATTCAATTCCATTGAATTCCATTCCATTCCATTTTTTGCCATTCCATTCGATTCAATTCCATTCTAAAACATTCCATTCCTTTCCGTTCCATCCTATTTCATTCCATTCTATTCCATTCCATTCCATTCGTTTCCATTCCTTTCGAGTCCATTCCTCTCCAGTCGATTCCATTCGAGTCCATTCTACTCTAGTCCATTCCATTCAAGTACATTCCATTCCAACCCATTCCATTCGAGTCCATTCTATTCCAGTCCAATCCATTTGATATCTTTCCATTACACTCCATTCCATTCTATTCCTTTCTATTCTATTCAATTCCATTACACTCGGTTCCATTCCATTCGATTCCATTCCATTTGATTCCATTAATCTCGAGTCGTTTACATTCCATTCCTTTCTGTGCGATTCCAATATCTTCTATTTCAATTTGTTCTGGTCTATTCCATTCGACTCCATTCCATTCTATTCTGTTCCATTCCATTTTATTCCATTCGATTCTATTCCACTCGATTCCACTCTATTCCACTCCATTGCATTCCATTCTATTCCATTCCATTTCATTCCATTTCATTCCATTTCATTCTGTTCCATTCAATTCAATTCCATTCTAATCAATTACATTGAAATCCATTATATTCGAGTCCGATCTAATCCAGTCCATTCCATTCCGGTCCATTTCATTTGATTCCTTTCCGTTTGATTCCTTTCCATACTATTGCATTCCATTCGATTCCATTCCGTTTGATTCCCTCCCATACTATTGCATTCCATTCGATTACATTGTATTCAAATAAATTCCATTCGAGACCATTTCTTCTGAGTTCATTCTATTTGAGTCCATTCCATTTGAGTCCATTACATTTTGTTGCATTCCATTCCAATCTATTCCATTCCATTCGATGCCATTCCATTCTTTTCTGTTCCATTCGTGTCCATTCTTTACAAGTCCATTCCATTCCTTTCCATTTCATTCATTTCCATTCCATTCCGTTCCATTCCATGCCATTCCATTCTAGTAAATTCCATTCCATTCCGTTCTATCCGATTCCATTAATTCCAAACAATTTGATGCCATTCCATTCGATTCTGTTCCATTTGATTCCATTCCATTCCATTCCATTCCGTCCGATTCCATTCCATTCTATTCCTTTACAATATGTTCCTTTCCATTCTATTCGTTTCCATTCCATTATAGTCCATTCCACTGCAGTCCAATCCGTTCGATTCCATTTGATTCGACTCCATTCCTTTCGAGACCATTCAGTTCGATTCCTTTGCATTACATTCCATTCCTTTCCATTTGATGAAATTCCATTTGATTCTATTCCATGTCACTCCATTCCATTCCATTCCGTTCCATCCAATTCCAGTCCATTCAATTCCATTCCATTCCAATCCATTCCATTCCATTCCATTGGTTTCCATTCCATTCAAGTCCATTCCACTCCGTTCCACTCCACTCGATTCCATTCCTTTCAACTCCATTGTGTTCGAGTTCTTTCCATTCCATTCCATCCCTTTCTGTTCCGTTTGATTCCAATCCATTCCATTCCATTTTGTTCCAGTCAATTCCATTCGAGTCCATGCCATTCGATTCCATTTTATTCAATTCCATTCCATTCGATTCCATTAGACTCGATTCCACTCCATTCCATTCCATTGCATTCCATTCTATTCCATTCCATTGCATTCCATTCCTATCCATTTGGTTATATTCCATTCAATTCCATTCCATTCGAATCAATTACTTTGCAATCCATTACATTCGAGTCTGTTCTATTCCATTCCATTCCATTCCAATCCATTCTATTCGATTCCATTCCATTCGATTCCATTCCATACTATTGCATTCCAATCCATTCCATTCGATTGGAATAAATTCCTTTCGAGACCATTCCTTTCGAGTCCATTCCATTTGATTCTGTTCCTTTTGAGTCCATTATATTTGGGTCCATTCTATTCCTTTCATTTCCATTCCATTCTATGCCGTTCCATTCAATTCTATTCCATTTGTGTCCATTCCATTCGAGACCATTCCGTTCCATTCCATTCCATTCCATTCGATGCCATTCCATTCGGCTCTATTCCATTCAACTCAATTCCATTCCATTCCATTCCATCAGATTCCATTCCATTGTATTCATTCCGTTCCATTCAATTCCATTCCATTCATTTCCATTCCATTTGAGTCCATTCCATTCCAGTCAATTCCTTTTGAGTCCATTACAAGTCATTCCAATTGACATCTTTCCATTATATTCCCTTCAATTCTATTCCTTTCAATTCCGTTCCATTCGATTCCATTGCATTCGACTCCATTCCATTCAAGTCCAGTCCATTCTGTTCCGTTACTTCCATTCTGTTCGATTCAAAATCGTTTGATTCCATTTTGTTCCAGTCCATTCCATTCGAGTCCATTCCATTCGAGTCCATTCCATTGAAGTCCATTCCATTCGATTCCATTCCATTTGATTCCATTCCATTCGATTCCATTCCACTTGATTCCACTCCGTTCCTTTCTATTGCATTCCATTCTATTCCATTCCTTTGCATTCCATTCCATTACATACTATTGCATTCCATTGGATTCCATTTTATTCGAATAAATACAATTCGAGACCATTCCTTTTGAGTTCATTATTGTTGAGTCCATTCCGTTCAAGTCCGTTTCATTTGGGTCCATGCCATTCCATTCCATACCATTCCATTCGATGCCATTCCATTCCATTCTTTTCCATTCGAGTCCATTGCGTTCCATTCCATTCCATTCCATTCCGTTCCATACCATTTGATGCCATTCCATTCGACTCTATTCCATTCGACTCCATTCCTTTCCATCGCATTCCATCCGATTCCATTCCATTCAAATCAATTACATTGCAATCCACTACATTCAAATCCGTTCCATTCCATTCCATTCCATTCCAGTTCATTTCATTCAATTTCATTCCATTCGATTCCATTCCATACTATTTATTCTATTTGATTCCATTCTATTCAAATAAATTCCATTCGAGACCCTTCCTTTCGAGTCCATTCTATTTGGGTCCATTCCATTTGAGTCCATTACATTTGGATCCATTCAATTCCTCTCCATTTCACTCCATTCCTTTCCATTCGATGCCATTCCATTCTATTCTATTCCATTCGAGTCCATTCCATTCCATTCCATTCCATTCGATGCCATTCCATTCAATTCTGTTTCTTTTGACTCCGTTCCATTCGACTCCTTTCCATTCCATTACTTTCTATTCCTTTCCTTTTCATTTCATTCCATTCCATTCCATTCCATTCCATTCCATTCGTTTCCATTCCATTCGAGTCTATTCCACTCCAGTCCATTACATTGGAGTCCATTACATTCCAGTCGATCCATTCGAGTCCATTCCATTCCATTCAATATCTTTCCATTACACCCCAATCCATTATTTTCTTTTCAATTCCATTCAATTGGATTCCATTCGTTTCCATTCCATTCAATTCCATTCCATTCGAATCCATTCCATTCGATTCCATTCCATTCCTTTCCATTGTATTTCATTCCATTCGTTTCCAATTCGTTCGATTCCATTTTGTTCCATTCCATTCTATTCCATTCCATTTGATTCTACTCCATTCCATTCCATTCCGCTCAATTCCACTCCGTTCCATTCAATTGCATTGCATTCCATTACATTCCATTTGTTTACATTCCATTCGAGTCCATTCCATTCGAATCAATTACATTGCAATCCATTACATTTGCGTCCGTTCTATTCCAGTCCATTCCATTCCATTTCATTCCATTTGATTCCATTCCATACTACTACATTGCTTTCTATTCCAGTCTATTCGAATATATTCCATTCGAAACCAATTCTTTCGAGTACATTCTATTTAAGTCCATTCTATTCGAGTCCAGTGCATTTGGGTCCATTACTTTCCATTCTGTTCAATTCCATTTCATTCCATTCCATTCCATTCCATTCCATTTGATTCTGTTCCATTCGAGTCCATTCCCTTCGAGTCCATTCTATTCCATTCCATTCCATTTGATGCCATTCCATTCATTTCTATTCCATTCGACTCCATTCCATTCCATTCCGTTCTATCCAATTCCATTCCATTCTATTCCTTTCCCTTCCATGCCATTTCATTCCATTCCATTCATTTCCATTCCATTCGAGTCCATTCCCCTCCAGTCCATTACATTCCACTCCATTCGTCTCCAGTCCATTCCATTCCAGTCAATTCCATTCCAGTCCTTTACATTCGAGATAATTCCATTCCATTCCATTCCATTCCTTTCCATTACACTCCATTTCTTTCTATTCCTTTCGATTCCATTCACTTCCATTCCATTCGATTCCATTCGATTCCATTCCATCCATCTCCATTCAATTTGACTCCATTTCTTTCCATCCTATTCCATTCCATTCCATTCGATTCCAAACCGTTAGATTCCATTTTGATCCAGTCCATTCCATTCGAGTCCATGGCATTCCGGTCCATTCCATTCGATTCCATTGCATTCAATTCCATTCCACTCGATTCCACTCCTTTCCATTCCATTGCATTCCATTCTATTCCATTTTATTGGATTCCATTTAATTCCAATTGATTATATTCCAATTTATTCCCTTCCATTTGAAAGAATTATATTGCAATCCATTATTTTCGAGTCCATTTTATTCCAGTCCACTCCATTCCGATGCATTCCTTTTGATTCCATTCCATTCGATTCCATTCCATACTACTGCATTCCATTTGATTCCATGCTATTCGAATATATTCCATTCGAGACAATTTCTTTCAAGTCCATTCTCTTTGAGTCCATTCCATTCGAGTCCATTACATTTGGATATATTCCATTCCATTCCATTCCATTCGATGCCTTTCCATTGAAGACCATTCCATTCGAGTCTAGTTCATTCAAATCCATTCCATTCCATTCAATGCCATTCAGTTCGATTCTATTCCATTCGTCTCCATTCCATTCCACTCCGTTCCAACCGATTCCACTCCATTCTCTTCCTTTACATTCCATTCCATTCCATTCTTTTCCTTTCCATTCGAGTCCATTCCACTACAGTCTATTCCATTCAAGTCCATTCCATTCGAATCCATTCCATTCAATTCCATTCCCTTCAATTCCATTCCACTCGATTCCACTCCATTCCATTCCAATGCGTTCCATTTCATTCCTTTCCATTCGTTTCCATTCCATTCGCGTCCATTCCACTCCTGTCCATTCCCTTTGAGTCCATTCAATTCCAGTCCATTCCATTTGAGTCCATTCTATTCTGTTCCATTCTAAATCTATCCATTACCCTCCCTCCCTTTCTATTCCTTTTGATGCCATTGAATTCCATTCTAATAGATTCCGTTCCATTCAATTCCGTTCCATTCGTGTCCCTTCCATTTGAGTCAAATTCATTCCATTCTGTTCCATTCAATTCGATTCCAATCCGTTCGTTTCCATTTTGTTCCAGTCCTTTCCAGTCGAGTACATTCCATTCCAGTCCATTCTAATTGATTCCATTCCATTCGATTCCATTCCACTCGATTCCACTCTGTTCCATTCCATTGTCTTCCATTCTATTCCATTCTATTGCATTCCATTCCATTCCATTTGAATTCATTCAATTTGATTCCATTCCATTCGAATTAATTACATTGCAATCCATTTCATTCGAGTACGTTCGATTCCAGTCCATTCCATTCTGGTCCATTCCATTCGATTTCATTCCATACTATTGCATTCCATTCGATTCCATTCTATTTGAATAAATTCCATTCGAGGCCATTCCTTTTTCTTCCATTCTATTTGAGTCCATTCCATTAGATTCCATTCCATTCCTTTCCATTCCATTCAGTATCTTTCCATTACACTCCATTCCATACTATTCATTTTGATTCCATTCAATTCCATTCCATTTGGTTCTTTTCCATTCGATTCCATTCCTTTCGACTCCATTCCATTCGAGACCTTTCCATTCCATTCCATTCCATTCCATTTCTTTCCATTCCAATATGTTTGATTCCATTTTGATCCAGTCCATTCCATTCGAGTCCATTCCATTCCAGTCCATTCCATTCCAATTATTTCCATTCCAATATGATTGATTCCACTTTGATCCAGTCCATTCCATTCGAGTCCATTCCTTTCCAGTCCATTCCATTGAATGCCATTCCATTCGATTCCATTCCATTCAATTCCATTCCACACGATTCCACTCCGTTCCATTCTATTGCGTCCCATTCTATTCCATTCCAGGGCATTCCATTCCATTCCATTTGATTATATTCCATTCAATTCCATTCAAGTCGAATAAATTACATTGCAACCTATTACATTCGAGTCCACTCTATTCCAGTTCATTCTATTCCAGTGCTTTCCATTCTATTCCATTACATTTGATGACATTCCATACTTTTGCATTCCATTCGATTCCATTCTATTCAAATAAATTCCATTCGAGACCATTCCTTTTGAGTCCATTCTATTTGAGTCCATTGCATTAGAGTCCATTATATTTGGGTCCATTCCATTTTATTCCATTCCATTCCCTTCCATTCCAGTCGAAGCCATTCCATTCGATTCTATGCCATTCGAGTCCATTTCATTCCAGTCCATTCTATTCGAGTCAATACCATTCCATTCCATTCCGTTTGATATCTTTCCATTACCCTAAATTCCCTTCTATTCCTTTTGACTCCATTCAATTCCAATCCATTCTATTCCATTCCATTTGATTCCATTCCACTCGATTCCAATCCATTTGTGTCCATTCCATTGCATTCCATTCCATTCCATTTGATTATATTCCATTCGATTACATTCCATTCGAAGCAAATACATTACAATCCATTACATTCGAGTCCGTTCTATTCCAGTCCATTCCATTCCGATCCATTCCTTTCGATTCCGTTCAATTCAATTCCATTGCATACTATTGCATTCCTTTCGATTCCATTCTATTTGAATAAATTCCAATCGCGACCAATCCCTTCAAATCCATTCTATTTGAATCCAGTCCATTCGAGTCCATTACATTTCGGTCCATTCTATTCCATTGCATTCCATTTGATGCCCTTCAATTTGATTCTATTCCATTCGATTCCATTACATTCGCATCCATTCCATTTCATTCCATTCCATTCCAATCCATTTGATGCCATCTAATTGGATTCCATTCCATTCGACTCCATTCAATTCTATTCCATTCCATCTGATTCCATTCCATTCTATTCCTTTCCATTCCATTTCATTCTATTGCATTCTATTCGTTTCCATTTCATTCGAAACCATTCCTCTCCAGTACATTCCATTCGAGACCATTCCATTCCAGTCCATTCCATTGGATTCCATTCCTTTCCCTTCCATTCTATTCCATTCCATTCCATTCAGTATATTTCCATTAAACTCCATACCATTCTATTCCTTTTGAAAACATTAAATTCCATTCCCTTTGATTCCATTCCATTTGATTCATTTAAATTCAATTTCATTTCATTCGATTCCTTTCCACTTGATTCCACTATGTTCCATTCCATTGCATTCCCGTCTATGCCATTCCATTGCATTCCGTTCCATTCCATTTTATTACAATCCATTCAATACCATTCCTTTTGATACAATTACATTACAATCCATTATATTCCAGTTCGTTCTATTCCAGTTCATTCAATTCGTTTCCATTCCATACTGTTGCATTCCATTTGATTACATTCTATCAGATTAAATTCAATTTGAGACCAATCTTTTCGAGTCCATTCTATTTTAGTCCATTCCATAAAATTGCATTCCATTCCATTTGATGCCATTCCATTCGATTCTATTCCATTCGACTCCATTCCGTTCCATCCAATTCCACTCCATTCTATTACTTTCCATTCCATTCCATAGCATTCCATTCCCTTTACATTCCTTTCGTTTCCATTCCATTCGAGTCCATTCCACTGCAGTCCATTCCATTCGAGTACATTCGATTCCAGTCCATTCTATTTGATTCTGTTCCATTGCAGTCCATGGAAAGGAATAGAATGTAATGGAATCGGATGAAACATAATGGAATGGAATGGGGTCGAATGGAATAGAATAGAATGGAATGGCATCGAATCGATCACAATGTCATCGAATGGAATGAAATGGAATGGACTCGAACGGAATGGACTCTAATGGAACAGAATCGAATGGAATGGCATCGAATGGAATCGAATGTAATAGAATGGAATGGAATGGTCCCAAAAGTAATGGATGCGATTGGAATGGACTAAAATAGAAGGGACTAGAAAAGAATGGTGTCAAATGGAATTTATTCGAATAGAATGGAATCGAATGGAATGCAATAGTATGGAATGGAATCGAATGGAATTGAATCGAATAGAATTGGCTGGAATGGAATGGACTGGAATAGAACGGACTCAAACATAATTGATTGCAATGTACTAGATTTGAATGCAATGGATTCGATCGGAATGTAATCAAATGGAATGGAATGGTATGCAATGGAATAGAATTCGAACGGAATGCAATGGAATGGAAGGGATTAGAATCGACTGGAATGGAATCGAATGGAAAGGAATCAAATGGAATGGAATCGAATGGAATGGACTGGAATGGAATGGACTCGAATGGAATTGATTGGAACATAATGGATTCGAACAGATTGGAATTCAACAGAATGGAATGGAATGGAATGGACGCGAATGGAATGGAGTCGAATGGAATGGAACCAAATGGAATGAAATGGAATGGAATTGTAAGGAATAGAATGGAATGGATTGTAATGGAAAGATATCAAATGGAATGGAATGGAATGTATTCAAATGGCATGGATGGGTTTGGAAAGGACTCGAATGGAATGGAAACTAATGGAATGGAATGGAAAGGAAAAGAATAAAATGGAATGGAATCGGATGGAACCGAATGGTATGAAATGAAGTCGAATGGAATAGAATCAAAAGGAATGTCATCGAATGGAATAGAATGGAGTGGAATGGAATGGACTCGATTGAAATGGACTCGATTGTAATAAAATAGAATGGAATTGCATCTAATGGAATGGAATGGAAGGTAGTTTAATGGAAAGATTTCGAATGGAATGGAATGGACTGGAACGGAATGTACTGGAATGGAAGGGACCTGAATTTAATGGACTGGAGTGGAATGGACTAGAATGGAATGGAAACGAATGGAATGGAATGGAATAGATAGATTCGGATGGAATGGAATGGAATGCAATGTAGTCGAACGGAATAGAATCAAATGAAATGGCATCGAGTAGAATTGAATGTAATCAAATAGAATGGAATCAAATGGAATAGAATAGAATGGATTGGCATCAACTGGAATGGAATGGAATGTATTGGAATGGAATTTAAATAAATGGACCCAAATGTAATGGGCTCGAATGGAATGGATTCAAATAGAATGGACTGGAAAGGAATGGTTTCGAATGGAATTTATTCGAATAGAATGGAATCAAAAGGAATGCTATAATATGAATTAAAATCGAATGGAATGGAATGGAAAGGAATAGAATGGAACCAAATGGAATGGACTCTAATGGAATGGACTCAAATGGAATGTAATCTAAAGGAATGATCCCGAATGGAATTTACTCCAATAGAATGAAATCGAATGCAGTGCAATAGTATGGTATGGAATAGATTGGAATTGAATGGAATGGAATGGAATGGAATGGAATAGAATGGAATGGAATGGAATAGAACGGACTCAAATGTAATGGAGTGGAATGTACTTGATTCGAATGGAATTATATCGAATGGAATGTAATAAAATGGAATGGAATGGAACACAAGAGAATGGAATAGAATGGAATGGAATGGAGTGGAATCAAGTAGAATGGAATCGAATGGAATGCAATCAAATGAAATGGACTGGAATGGAATGGACTTGAATGGAATTCCAGTCATGGAGTAAAATGGAATGGAACCGATTGGAATTGAATGGAACAGAAGGGAATGGAATGGAAGGGAATGGAATCGAATGGAATTGAGTTGAATGGAATGGAATCGAATTGAATGGAATGGAGTGGAATGGAATTGAATTGAATGGATACCAATGGAATGGAATGGAAGGGGAAGGAATGGAATGGAATGGAATGGAATGGGATGGAACAGAATGGAATGGAATGGATTCGAATGGAATAGAATCGAATGGAATGGCTTCGAATGGAAAGGAATGGAATGGAATGGAATGGACTCAAATGGAATGGACTCAAATAGAATGGACTCGAAAGGAATGGTCTCGAATTCAATTAATTTGAATAGAATGGAAACGAAAGGAATGCAGTAGTATGGAATAAAGTCGAATGGAAAGTTATCAAATGGAATGGACTGGAAAGGAATGGACTGGAATATAATGAAAACGAATGTAATGGATTGCAATGTGATTGATTGGAATGGAATGGAATTGAATGGTATGTAATCAAATGTAATGGAATGGAATGCAATGGAATGGAATAGAACAGACTGCAATGGAATGGAACACAGTGGAATCGAATGGAATGGAAACCAATGGAATGGACTGGAATGGAATGGAGTCGAATGGAATGGACTGGAACATAATGGAATCTAACGGAATATACTTCAAAAGAAGGGAAAGGAACAGAATGGAATGGGCTCTAAATGAATGGAGTGGAAAGGAATGGAATTGAATGGAATGGAACTGAATGGAATGGAAAGGAATAGAATGGAATATAATGTAATGGAATGTTATCGAATGGAATGGAATGGAATGGATTCGAATGGAATGGAATTGAATGGAATAGAATCGAATGGAATGATATCGAATGGAATGAAAAGGAATGGAATGGAATGGAATGGACCAAAATGTAATGGACTCAAATGGATTGGACAGAAATAGAATGGACTCGAAAGGAATGGTCTCGAATGGAATTTATTTGAATTGACTGGAATCGAATGGAATGCAATAGTATGGAATGGAATAGAGTGGTATGTAATTGAATGGAACGGACCGGAATGGAACAGACTGGAATAGAATGGACTCGAATGTAATGGATTGCTATGCAATAGATTCAAATAGAATGGAATTGAATGGAATATAATCAAATGAAATGGAATGGAATGCAATGGAATGGAATAGAATGGAATGCAATGCAATGGAAAGGAGTGGAATCGAGTGGAAAGGAATTGAATGACATGGAATCGAATGGGATGGAATAGAAAGGAATGTACTGGACGGAATGGAATAGTATGGAATGCAATAGAATGGAAAGGAGTGGAATCGAGTGGAAAGGAATTGAATGACATGGAATCGAATGGGATGGAATAGAAAGGAATGTACTGGATGGAATGGACTCGAATGGAATGGACTGGAACAAAATGGCATCGAAGGGATTGGAATTGAACAGAACGTAATGGAATTGCATGGAATGGACTCGAATGGAATGGAGTTGAACGGAATGGAACCAAAAGGAATGGAAACGAATGG
This sequence comes from Homo sapiens, assembly GCF_000001405.40. Lineage (NCBI taxonomy): Eukaryota > Metazoa > Chordata > Mammalia > Primates > Hominidae > Homo > Homo sapiens. Next base: position 38,823,882 of record NC_000010.11, read on the forward strand.
GATTGAACCGAATGTTATGGAATTGAATGGAATGGCACTTAATGGAATTGAAAGGAATAGAATGGAATGGAGGGTAATGGAAAGATATCAAACCGAATGGAACTGAATGGACTCGAACGGATTGGACTGGAATGCAATGGACTCGAATAGAAAGGCCTGTAGTGTAATGGATTAAATGGAATGGAAACAAAAGGAATGGAATGGAATTGAATATAAAGGAATCGAATGGAATGGAATTGGATGGAATTAAATGGAATGGAATGGAATCGAATCGAATCAAAAGGAATGGCATCAAATGGAATGGAATGGAATGGAATGGACTCGAATGGAATGGACTGTAATGGAATAGAATAGAATGGAATGGCAATGAGTGGAATGGATTGGAATGGCATGGAATGGAGTGGACTCAAATATAATGGACTCGAATGGAATAGACTCAAATAGAACGGAATCAAACATAATGGTCTCGAATGGAATTGAATCAAATAGAATGGAATCGAATGGAATGCAGTAGAATGGAATGGAATCCAGTGGAATAGAATCAAATTCAATGGACCGGAATGGAATGGACTGGAATAGAATGGACTGCAATATAATGGATTGCAATGGAATTGATATGAATGGAAAGGAATCAAATGGAATGGAATCAAATGGAATGTAATAAAATGGAATGGAATGGAATGCAATGGAATGCAATGGAAAGCAATAGAATGGAATGCAATGGAATGGACCAGAGTGGAATCCAGAGGAATGGAAACGAATGGAATGGAATCAAATGGAATGGACTGGAATGGAATGGACTGAAAGAAAATGGAATCGAACGGATTGGAATCGAATGGAGTGGGATGGAATGGAATGCATTGGAATGGACTCAAATGGAATGGAGTGGGATGGAATGGAATGCATTGGAATGGACTCAAATGGAATAGAGTCGAATGGAATGGAATTAAATGGAATGGAATCGATTTTAATGGAACTGGATGGAATCAAAAGGAATAGAATGGAATGGAGTGTAATGGAAAGATTTCGAATGGAATGGAATGGAATGGACACGAATGGAATGGGCTGGAATGGAATGGACTCGAATGGAATGGACTGGAGTGGAATGCACTCGAAGGGAATGGAGTCGAAAGGAATGGAATCGAATGTAATGTAATCGAACGGAATGGAATTGAATGGAATCGAAAGGAATAGAATCGATTGGAAGGTTATCGAATGGACTGGAATGCAATGAACTCGAATCTAATGGACTGGAAAAAAATGGAATAGAATGGATTGGAATTGAAGGGAACGGAATGGAATAGAATGGACCCAAATGTAATGGACTTGGATGGAATGGACCCAAACATGATGGACTCGAAAGGCATGCTCTCAAAAGGAATTTATTCGAATAGAAAGGAATCAAAAGCAATCCGATAGTATGGAATACAATCGAATGGAATGGAATCGAATGGAATGGACTGGAATGGAATGGACTCGATTGGAATGGACTGGAGAGGAATGGAGACAAATGGAATGGAAACGAATGGAATTGAATGGAATGGAATGGAAAGGAATAAAGTGGAATTGAATCAGATGGAAAGAAATGGAATGGAATAGAATAGAGTTGAATGGAATAGAGTTGAATCAAATGCTATCAAATGGAATGGAATGCAATGGACTCGAATTGAAGGAACATGAAAGGAATACAATCAAACGGAAAGCCATCAACTGGAATGGAATGAAATGGAATGGAATGGAATCAACTGGAATGGACTCGAACGGAATGGACTCAAACAGAATGGATTCGAAAGGAATGGTCTCAAATGGAATTTATAAGAATTCAATGGAATCGAATGGAATGCAATATTATGGAAAGGAAACAAATGGAATGGAATCTAATGGAATGGACTGGAATGGAATGGACTGGATTAGAACAGACTTGAATGTAATGGATTGCAATGTAATTGATTAGAATGGAATTGAATTGAATGGAATGGAATCAAATGGATTGGAATGGAATGACATGGAATGGAATATAACGGAATGCAATGGAGTGAAACGGAGTGGAATCGAGTGGAATGGAATCGAATGGAATAGAATCGAATGGAATGGAATAGAATGGAATGGAGTCGAATGGAATGGACCAGAACAAATTGAAATCGAACGGAAAGGAATGGAATGGAAAGGACTTGAAAGTAATGGAATCAAATGGAATGCAATCGAAGGGAATGGAACCAAATGTAATGGAATTGAATAGAATAGAAAGGAATAGAATGGAATGGAGTGTAATGGAAAGATATCAAATGGATTGGACTGGAATGGAATGGACTCGAATGGAATGGTTTGGAATGGAATGTACTCGAATGGAATGGACTGGAGTAGAATGGACTCGAATGGAATCGACTGGAGAGGACTGGCCTCGAAAGGAAAGGAAGCAAATGGAATGGAATGGAATGGAATGGAATGGAATGGAATAGAATGGAAGGGAATAGAATTGAATGGAATGGAATGGAATAGAATTGAAGGGAATAGGATGGAACAGAAAGGAATGGAATGGGTTGGAATGGAATTGAATCGAATGGAATGACATCAAATGGAATGGAATGGAATTCAATGGAATGGAATGGAATGGACTCGATTGGAATAGAATAGAATGGTATGGCATCGAATGGAATGCACCCAAATATAATGGATTCAAACGGTGTGGACTCCAACACAATGTACTTGAATGGAATGGTCTCGAATTTAATTTATTCTTATAGAATGAAATCGAATGAAATGCAATAGTATGGAATGGAATCGAGTGGAATGGAATAGAATGGAGTACACCGGAATGGAATGGACTGGAATAGAATGGACTCGAATGGAATGGGTTGAAATATAATTGATTCGAATGGAATGGAATCGATGGAATGTAATCAAATGGAATGGAATGGAATGCAATTGAATGGAATAGAATGGAATGCAATGGAATGGAACGTAGTGGAATTGACTGGAAAGGAATCTAATGGAATGGAATTGAATGGAGTGGTATCGAATGGAATGTACTCCAATGGAGTGGACTGGCACAAAATGGAATGAATCGGATTCAAATAGAACGGAACGGAATGGAATGGAATGGAATGCAATGGACTCAAATGGAATGGAGTCGAAAGGAATGGAACTGAATGTAATGGAATTGAATGGGATCAAAAGGAATAGAAAGGAATGGAATGTATTGGAAAGATATTGAATGGAATGCAATGGAATGGAATGGAATCCAATGGAATGGACTGGAATGGAGTGGACTAGCACAGATTGGACTGGATTGGAGTGGACTCGAATGGAATGGAAACGAGTGGAATGGAATGGAAAGGAATAGACTGGAATGTCATCGAATGGAATGGAATTGAATGGAAAGGAATGGACTCGAACAGAATGGACTCGAATGGAATAGGGTAGAATGGAATGGCATCAAATCGAATGGAGTGGAATGAAATGTAAGGGAATGGAATGGACCCAAATGTAATGGACTGGAATGGAATGGAATCAAATAGAATGGACTCAAAAGTAATGGTCTCAAATGGAATTTATTCGAATAGAATTGAATCGAATGGATAGCAAAAGTATGGAATGGAATCGAATGGAATGGACAGAAATGGAATGGACTGGAATAGAATGGACTCAAGTGTAATGGATTGCAATGTATGATTCTAAGGGAATGGAATCGTATGGAATGTAATCAAATGGAATAGAATGGAATGCAATCGACTGGAAAAGAATGGACGTGAGTGTAGTAGATTGTCATGTAATTGATTCAAATGGAATGGAATCGAATGAAATGTAATACAGTGGAATTGAATGGAATGCAACAGAATGTAACAGAATGGAATGAAATGGAATGGAATGAAGTGGAATCGGGTGGAATGGAATTGAATGAAATGGAATTGAATGGATTGGAGTGTAATGGAAAGATATCCAATGGAGTGGAAGGGAATGAAATGGACTCAAATGGATGGGAATGGAATGGAATGGACCCGAATGGAATTCACGGGAGTGGAAAAGACTCCAATGGAATGGACTGGAGTGGAATGGACTCAAATGGAATGGAAACGAAAGAAATGGAATGGAAAGGAATATAATGGAGTGGAATCGGATGGAACGGAATGGAAAGTAATGGAGTCCAATGGAATAGAATCGAAAGGAATGTCATCAAATGGAATAGAATGAAATGGAATGGAATGGAATGGACTCAAATTGAATGGATTCTCAAGAAATATAGTCAAATGGAATGGCATTGAATGGAATGGAATGGAATGGAATCGAATGGACCGAAATGTAACGGTCTCAAATGGAATTTAATCAAATAGAATAGACTCAAAAAGAATGGGTTCGATAGGAATTCATTCGAATAGAATAGAATCGAATGGAATGCAGTAGTATTGAATGGAATCGAATGGAATGGAATCAAATGGAATGGACCAGAATGGAATGGACTGGAATAGAGTGGACTCGAATGTAATGGATTGCAATGTAATAGATTAAAATGGAATGGAATTGAATGGAATGTAATTAAATGTAATGGAATGGAATGCAGTGGAATGGAACTGAGTGGAATCGAGTGGAATGGAATCGAATGGAATGGAATCAGATGGAAAGGAATCGAACAGAATGGACTGGAATGTAATGGACTCGAATGCAATGGACTGGAACACAATGGAATTGAACGGACTGGAATCAAAGGAGCGGAATGGAATGGAATGAAAGGGACTCGAAAGGATTGGACTGGAATGGAATGGACACCAACGGAATAGACTGGAGTGAAATGGACTCGAATGGATTGGAAAGGAATGGAATGGAAAGAATATAATGGAATGGAAACGGATGGAACAGAATGGAATGGAATGGAGTGGAATGAAATAGAATCCAATTGAATGGCATTGAATAGAAAGCAATGGAATGGAAAGGAATGGAATGAAATGGACTCGAATGGAATGGACTAGAATGGAACAGAATAGAATGGAATGTCAAGGAATAGAATGGAATGGAATGGATAGGATTAGAATGGATTGGACCCAAATGTAATGGAAACAAATGAAATGGACTAAAATAGAATGGACTTGAAAGGAATGTTAACGAAAGGAATTTATTCAAATAGAATGGAATCGAATTAAATGCAATAGTATGGAACGGAATCGAATGGAATGGAATCGAATGGAATGGCCCGGAATGGAATGGACTCGAATGGAATGGACTGCAATGTCATTGATTCGAAAGCAATGGAATCGAATGGAATGGACAGCCATGTCATTAATTCGAAAGCAATGGAATCGAATGGAATATAATCAAATGCAATGGAATGGAATGCAAGGGAATGGAATTGAATGTAATGCAATGGAATGGAACTTAGTGGAATCGAGTGGCATGGAATCGAAGGGAATGGAATCAATTGGAATGGACTGGAATGGAATGGACTCTAATGGAATGGACTGGAGCATAATGGAATCGAACGGATTGGAATTGAATGGAACGGCATGGAATGGAATGAAATGGAATGGTCACGAATGGAATGGAGTCGAATGGAATGTAATCAAATGGATTGACATCAAATATAATGGAATTGAATGGAATTGAAAGGAATAGAATGGAATGCAGTGTAATGGAAGATACCGAAAGGAATGGAATGGAATGGAATGGACTTGAATGGAATTGGCTGGATAGGAATGGACTCAAATGGCATGGAAAGGAATGGAATGGAATGGAAAGGAAAGGAATAGAATGGAATGGAATCAGATGGAAAGGAAAGGAATGGAATGGTGTTGAATGGAATAGAATCGAATGGAATTGCATCGAATGGAATTGAATGGAATGGAAAGGAATGAAATGGACTCCAAAGGAAGGGAATCGAATGGAAGGGAATCGAAAGGAATGATATCGAATGGAATGGACTGGAATGGAATGTACTTCAACGGAATGCACTGGAACAAAATGGAATCTAACGGATTGGAATTGAATGCAACGGAATGGCATGGAATGGAATGAAATAGACTTGAATAGAATTTAGTCAAATGGAATGGAATTGAATGGAATGGAATTGAATAGAATGAAATTGAAAGGAATCGAAAGGAATAAAAGGGAATGGATTATAAAGGAAAATTATCGAATGGAATGGAATTAAATGGAATGGACTGGAAGGGAAAGGACTCAAGTGGAATCGACTGGAGTGGAATGGACTCGAATGGAATGGAATGGAATGGAAAGGAATAGAATGGAATAGAATCGGATGCAACGGAATGGAATGGAATGGAGTCAAATGGAATTGAATCGAATGCAATGGCATTGAATGGAATGGAATGAATCAAATGGAATCGACTTGAAAGGAATACAATCAAATTGAATGGCATGGAATGGAATGGAATGGACACAAATGTAATGGACTCCAATGGAATGTACTCAAATATAATGGACTCGAAGGGAATGGTCTCGAATGGAATTTATTCAAATAGAATGGAATCGATTTGAATGTCATAGTATGGGATGAAATCGAATGGAATTCAGTCGAATGGAATGGATCTGAATGGAATGGACTGGAATAGAACGGACTCAAATGTAATGGATTGCAATGTAATTGATTTGTATGTAATAGAATTGAATGGAATATAATCAAATGGAATGGAAAGGAAAGCAATGGAATGGAATAGAATGGAATGAAGGGGAAAGAAATGGAGTGGAATCGAGTTGAATGGAGTTGAATGGAATGGAATCAAATGGAATGGAATTGAACGGAATGGACTGGAATGGAATGGGATCGAATGGATTGGACTGGAACAAAATGGAATCAAATGGATTGGAGTTGAATGGAACAGAATGGAGTGAAATGGAATGGAATAGAATGGACTCGAATGGAATGGCATCTACTGCAATGGAATTGAACGGAATGGAATGGAATTTAAAGGAATAGAATGGAATGGAAAGGAATGGAATGGTGTTGAATGGAATAGAATCAAATGGATTGGCATCGAATGGAATGGAATGTATTGGAATGGATTGGAATGGAATGGACCCAAATGTAATGGACTCGAATGGAATGTATTAAAATAGAATGGACTCGAAAGGAATGGTCCCGAATGGAATATATTCAAATAGGATGGACTTGAAAGGAATGGTCCCAAATGGAATTTATTCAAATAGAATGGAATCGAATGGAATTCCATAGTATGAAAAGTAATCGAATAGAATGAAATCGAATGGAATGGACCGGAGAGGAATGGACTGGAATAGAAAGGAGTTGAACGTAATGTATTGCAATGCAAATGATTTGAAAGAATTGGAATCGAATAGAATGTAATCAAATGGAATTGAATGGTACGCAATGGAACGGAATACAAAGGAATGCAATGGAATGGAACGGATTGGAATTGAGTGAAATGGAATCGAATCGAAAGGATTTGAGTGGAATGGAATCGAATGGAATGGTCTGGTTTGGAATGGACTCGAATGGAATGGACTGGAACAAAATGGAATCGAACGGATTGGAGTCGAATGGAAAGGAATGGAATGGAACGGAATGGAATGGAATGGAATGGAATGGAAAGGAATGGAGTCGAATGGAATGGAGTCGACTGGAATGGAACCGAATGGAATGGAATCGAATGGATTGGAAGTGAACGGAATCGAAAGGAATAGAATGGAACGGAGTGTAATGGAAATATATCAAATGGAATGGAACGTAATGGAATGGACTCGAATGGAATGGACTGGAATGGAATGGCCTCGAATGGAATAGACTGGAGTGGAATGGAATCGAAAGGAATTGAAACGAATAGAATGGAATGGAATGGAAAGGAATTCAATAGAATGGAATGGAATCGGAAGGAATTTAATGGAATGGAATGGATTCAAATAGAAGAGAATCGAACGGAATGGCAAAGAATGGAATTGAATGGAAAGGAATGGAATGGACTTTAATGGAATGGAATCAAATGGAATGGCATCGAGTTGAATGGAAAGGAACGGAATGGAATGGTCCCAAATGTAATGGACTCGAATGGAATGGACTCACATAGAATGGACTCGAAAGGAAGGGTCTCGAATAGAATATACACGAATAGAATGGAATCGAAAAGAATGCAATAGTTTCTAAAGGAATTGAATGGAATAGAATCGAATGGAATGGACTGAAGTAGAATGGAGTCGAATGTAATCGAATGAAAAATAATTGATTTGAGTGCCTTGGAATCGAATGGAAGGTAATCAAATGGAATGGAATGGAATGGAGTACAACGAAATGGAAAGGAATTGAATGCAAAGGAATGGTATAGAATGGAATACAATGGAATGGAACAGAGTGGAATTGAGTCAATGGAATCGAATGGAATGGAATCGAATGGAATGGACTGGTATTGAATAGAATCGAATGGATTGGCCTGGAAAAAAATGGAATCAAACAGATTGGAATCAAACGAAACACAATGGAATGGAATGGAATGGAAAGGAATGGAATGGAGCCAAATGTAATGGACTCGAATGGAATGGACTCAAATAGAATGGACTCGAAAGGAATGGTCTCAAATGGAATTTATTCTAATAGAATGGAATCGAATGGAATGCAATAGTATGGAATGGAATCGAATGGAATGGAATCAAATGGAATGGAACGGAATGGAATGGACTGGAATAGAATGGACTCGAATGTAATGGATTGCAATGTAATTGAAATGAATTAAATAGAATTGAATGGAATGTAATCAAATCAAAAGGAGTGGAATGCAATGAAATGGAATATAATGGAATGCAATAGAATGGAACAGAGTGTAATTGAGTGGAATGGAACAGAATCGAATAGAATCGAATGTAATGGAATCTAATGGAATTGAATTGAATGGAATGGAATTGAATGGAATCGAAAGGAATAGAATGGAAAGGAGTGTAATGGAAAGATATTGAATGGAATGGAATGGAATGGACTCCAAATGAATGGATTGGAATGGAATAGATTCGAATGGAATGCACCGGGGTGTAATGGACTCAAATGAAATGGAAATGAATGGAATGCAATGGAATGAAATGTCATGGAATGGAACGGAAAGGAATAGTATGGAATGGAATCAGATGGAACTGAATGGAATGGAATGGAGTCGACTGGAATAAAATCGAATGGAATGGCATCGAATGGAATGGAATGGAATGGAATTTAATGGCAACTAATGGAATGGAATGGAATCGGAAAGATTGGAATGAAATAGAATGGAGATGAATTGAATAGAATCTAATTTAATGACATTGAATGGAATGGAAAGGACTGGAATCGACTCAAATGGAATGGAGTTGAATTTAATAGAATGGAATGGAATGGCATCGAATGGCACGGAATGTAATGAAATGGAGTGGAAAGGAATGGACCCAAATGTAATGGACTCAAATTGAATGGACAAATAGAATGGACTCGAAAGTAACTGTCTTGAAAGGAATTTATTCGAATAGAATGGAATCTAATGGAATGCAATAGTATGGAATGGAATGGAATGGAATTGCATCGAATGGAATAGACCTGAATGGAATGGACTGGAATAGAACGGACACGAACGTGATGGACTGGAATGTAATCGAATCGAAAGGAATGGAATCGAATGGAAAATATTCAAATGGAATGGAATGGAATGCAATGGAATGGAATGTAAAGGAATGGAACAGAGTGGAATCGAGTGGAATAGAATCGAATGCAATGGAATCGAATCGAATGCAATGGACTCGAATGGAATGGACTGGAACAAAATGGAAGCAAACCTATTGGAATCGAACGGCATGGAATGGAATGGAATGGAATGGAATGGAATGAAATGGACTCGAATGGAATGGACTCAAATGGAATGGAACAGAATTAATGTAATTGAATGCAATCGAAAGGAATAGAATGAAAGGGAGTGTAAAGTAAAGATATCCAATGTAATGGAATGGAATAGAATGGACTCGAATTTACTGGGATCGAATTTAATGAACTGGAATGGAATTTACTCGAATGGAATGGACTGTAACAAAATGGAATCGAATGGATGGAATCGAACGGAACGTAATGGAATGGAATGGATTCCAATGGAATGCACTGGAACAAAATGGAATCGAATGGATTTGAATCGAATGGAAAAGAATAGAATGGAATGGAGTCGAATGGAATGGAAATGAATGGAATGGAATTGAATGGATTTGAAAGAAATAGAATGAAACGGAGGGTAATGTAAAGATGTCCAATGTAATGGAATGGAATAGAATGGACTCAAATGGGCTGCAATGGAATGGAGTTGAATAGAATGGACTGCAGTGGAGTGGACTCAAATGAAATGGAATCGAATGGAAAGTAAAGGAATGGAATGGAATAGAATAGAATGGAATGGAATTGGATGGAAAGGAATTGAATGGAATGGAGTCGAATGAAATGGAATCGAAAGGAATGGCATCGAATGGAATGGAATGGAACGGAATGGACTAATGGGATGGTCTCGAATGTAATAGAATAGAATGGAATGGCATGGAATAGAATGGAATGGAACCAAATGTAGTGGACTCGAATGGAATGGACTCAAATAGAATGGACTCTAAAGGAATGGTCTGAAATGGAATTTATTCGAATAGAATGGAATCGAATGGAACGCAACAGTATGGAATGCAATCGAGTGGAATGGAACAGAACTGAATGGACCGGAATGCAATGGATTGCAATAGAATGGACTCGAATGTAATGGATCGAAATGTAACTGATTCAAATGCCTTGAAAGCGAAAGGAATGTAATCAAATGGAATGGAATGGAATGTGAAGGAATGGAATAGAATGGAATGCAATTCAATGGAACGGAGTGGAATCGAGTGGAATGGAAACAAATGGAATGGAGTCGAATGGAATGGAATCGAATGGAATGGATTCAAATAGAATGGACTCGAATGGAATGGACTGTAACAAAATGTAATCAAACGGAATGTAATCGAACAGAATGGAATGGAATGGAATGGAACAGAATGGATTCAAAAGGAATGTAGTCGAATACACTGGAATTGAATTGAATGGAATCAAACGGAATGGAATTGAATGGAATCGAAAGGAATAGAATGGAATGGAGGGTAATGGAAAGATATCAAATGGAATAGAAAGGAATGGACTCGAAAGGAATGGACTGGAATGGAATGGACTCAAATGGAATGGAAACGAATGGAATGGAATAGAATGGAATGGAATGGAATGGAAAGGATTATAATGGAAAGGAATCTGATGGAACGAAATGAAATTGAATGGAGTTGTAGGGAATAGCATACAATGGAATGGCATCGAATGGAATGGAATGGAATGGACTCAAATGGAATGGAGGCAATTGGAATAGAATCGAATGGAATGGCATCGAATGGAATAGAATGGAATGGAATGGACTCGAATGAAATGGAAACGAATGCAATGGAATGGAATGAAATGGAAAGCAATAGAATGGAATGAATCGGATTGAACAGAATGGATTGGAATGGAGTCAAATGGAATATAATCGAATGGAATTGCATGGAAGGGAATGAATGGATTCGAATGGAATGTACTCGAATGGAAATGAATCGAATGAAATGGAATCGAATGGAATGGAAAGGAATGGAATGGAATGGAATGGAACCAAATGAAATGGACTCGAATGGAATGGACTCAAATAGAACAGACACGAAAGAAATGGTATCGAGTGGAATTTATTCGAATAGAATGGAATCAAATGCAAAGCAATAGTATGCATTGGAAATCAATGGAATGGACCGGAATGGAATGGATTGCAATAGAACGGACTCGAATGTAATGGGTTGCAATGTACTTGATTCGAATGCAATGGAATCGAATGGATTGTAATCAAATGGAATGGAATGCAATGCAATGGAATGGAATAGAATGGAATGCAATAGAAGGGAATGGAGGGGAATCAAGTGGAATGGAATAGAATTGAATGGAATTGAATGGAATGGACTGGAATGGATTGTACTCCAATGGAATGGACTGGAACAAAACGGAATATAACGGATTGGAATCGAACTGAAAGGAATGGAATGGAGTGGATTGGAATGGAATGGAGTGGAATGGAATGGAATGGAGTCGAATGGAATGGAACCGAATGGAATGGAAATGAATGGAATCGAAAGGAATAGAATGAAAGGCAGGGTAATGTAATGATATCCAATGGGATAGAATGGAATAGAATGGACTCGAATGGACCGGAAAGGAATGGACTCGAATGGAATGGACTGCCGTGGAATCGACTCAAAAGAAATGGAAACGACTGGAAAGGAAAGGAATGGAATGGAATAGAATAGAATGGAATGGAATCGGATGGAACAGAATGGAATGAAATGGAGTCGAATGGAATAGAATCGAGTGGAATGGCATCGAATGGAATCGAATGGAATGGAATGGCATGGAGTCGAATGGAAAAGAATCGAATGGAATGGCATCGAATGGAATGGAACGGAATGGAATGGAATGGAATGGGAAGGAATGGACTCGAATGCAATGGACTCAAATGGAATTTAATAGAATGGAATGGTATCGAATGGAATGGAATCGAATGGACACAAATGGAAAGGAAAGTAATATAATGGAACGCAATGGAATGGAATGGAATGAATGGACCCAAATATATTGGACTAGAATGGAACGCACTCAAATAGAATGGACTCGAAAGTAATGGTCTTGAATGAATGTATTCGATTAGAATGTAATCGAATGGAATGCAATAGTATGGAATGGAATCGAAAGTAATGGAATCGAAGGGAATGGACCGGAATGGAATGGACTGGAATAGAATGGACTCAACTGTAATGGATTGAACTGTAATCGATTAGAATGGAATGGAATTGAATGTAATGTAAAAAAATGTAATGGAATGCAAGGCAATGGAATGGAATAGAACGGAATGCAAGGCAATGGAATGGAATAGAATGGAATGCAATGGAATGGAACGGAGTGAAATCAAGTGAAATGGAATCGAATGGAATGGAATCGAATGGAATGGAATCGATTGTAATGGACTGGAATATAATGGACTCGAATGATTTGGACTAGAAAAAAATGGAATCGAACAGATTCGAAATGAACGGAACGTAATGGAATGGAATGGAATGGAATGGAAAGGACTCCAATGTAATGGAGTCGCATGGAATGGGATTGAATGGAATGGAATGGAATATAATGGAATTGAATGAAATTGAAAAGAATATAACGGAATGGAATGGAATGGAATGGAAAGAAATGGAATGGAATGGAATGGACTCAAATGGATCATACTGGAATGGAAAGAACTCGAATGGAATGGACTGGAGTTGAATGGACTCGAATGGAATGGAAACGAATGAATGGAATGGAAAGGAATAGAATGAAATGGAATGGAATAGAATGGAATGGAATCGGATGGAACGGAATGGAATGGAATGGAGTAGAAAGGAATAGAATTGAATAGAATGGCATCGAATGGAATGGAATGGAATGGACCCAAATGTAATAGCCTCGAATGGAATGGACACAAATAGAATGAACACGAAAGGAATGGTCTCAAATGGAATTCATTCAAATAGAATGGAATCGAATGGAATGCAATAGAATGGAATCAAAACGAATGCATTGGAGTCGAATAGAATGGACTGGACTGGAATGGACTGGAATGGAAAGGACTCGAAAATAATGGATTGCAATGTAATTTATTTGAATGGAATGCAATTGAATATACTGTAGTCAATTGGATTGGAAAGGAATGAAACGGAAATTAATAGAGTGGAATGCAATGGAATGGAACAGAGTGGAATCGAGTGGAATGGAAACAAATGCAATGGAATCAAATGGAAGGGATTCGAATGGAATGGACTGGAAAGGAATAGACTCGAATGGAATGGACTGGAACACAATGGAATCGAACGGATTGGAATCAAACAGAACAGAATGGAATGAAATGGAATGGATTCGACTGGAATGGAGTCAAATGGAATGGAACAGAATAGAATGGAATTGAATGGAATCGAATGCAATAGAACGGAATGGAGAGCAATGGAAAGATATTGAATGAAATGGAATGGAATGGACTTGAATGGAATGCACTGGAATGGAATGGACTCGAAAAGAATGGACTGGAGTGGAATAGACACCAGTGGAAGGGAAACGAATGTAATGTAATGTAATGGAATGCATTGGAATGGAATGACATTTCATAGAATGGACTGGAATCGGAAGAAATGGAATGGAATGGAATAGAGACAAATGGAATTGAATGGAATGGAATGGCATCGAATGGAATGGAATGGAAAGGAAGGGAATGGACTCGAATGGAATGGACTCAAATGGAATAAAATCGAATGGAAGTTCATGGAATGGAATGGAATATGATGTAATGGAAGGGCATGGAATGGAATGGAATGGAAAGGAATGGAGTGGAATGGACCCAAAAGTATTAGACACGAATGGAATGGACTCACATAGAATGGACTCGAATGGAATGGTTTTGAATGGAATTTATTCAAATAGAATGGAATCGAGTGGAATGAAATAGTATGGAATGGAATCGAATGGAATGAAATCGAACGCAATCAACCGGAATGGAATGGACTGGTATAGAATGGACACGAATGTAATGGATTGCAATGTAACTGATTCAAATGGAATGGAATCGTATGGAATGTAATCAAATGGAATAGATTGGAATGGAATGGATTGGAACAGAATGGAATACAATGGAATGGAACGGAGTCAAATTGAGTGGAAAGGAATCGAATGGAATGGAATCAAATGGAATGGAATCGAATGTAATGGACTGGAATGGAGTGGACTGGAATAAAATGGGATTGAACAGATAGGAATCGAGCAGAACAGAACGGAATGGAATGGAATGTCCTCGAATAAACTGGAATGGAATGGAAAGGAAGAAAATGGAATCAAACGAATTGGAATCGAGTGGAACGAAATGGAATGGAATGGAATGGACTTGAATGCAATGGGGTCAAATGGAATGGAATTGAATGGAATGGAATCAAAAAGAATGGAATTGAATGGAATCTAAAGGTATAAAATGGAATGGAGTTTAAAGGAAAGATATCGAATGGAATGAAAAGGAATGTACTTGAATGGAATGGACTGGAATGGAATGGACTCGAATGGAATGGACTGGAGAGGAAGGGTCTCGAATGGAATGGAAACGAATGGAATGGAATGAAAAGGAAAGGAATAGAATGGAATGGAATATGATGGAATGGAATGGAATGGAATGGAATGGAATGGAATGGACTCGAATGGAATGGACACTAATGGAATTGAATACAATGTAATGGCATCAAATGGAATGGAATGGAAGGGAGTGTAATGGAAAGATATCAAACGGGATTTAATGGAATGGAATGGATTCAAATGGAATGGACGGGATTGGAGTTTACTCAAATGGAATGGACTGGAGTGGAATGGACTCGAATGGAATGGACTGGATTGGAATTTACTCAAATGGAATGGACTGGTGTGGAATGGACTCGAATGTAATGGAAACGAATGGAATGGAATGGGATAGAATGGAGCCAAATGTAATGGACTCAAATGGAATGGACTCAAAGAGAATGAACTCAAAAGGAATGCTCTCAAATGGAATTTATTCGAATAGAATGTAATAGAATGGAATGCAACATTATGCAATGGAATCAAATGGAATCCAATATTATGGAATGGAATTCAATGGAATAGAGTCGAATGGAATGGACTGGAATAGAATGGTCTCGAATGAAATGGACTGCAATGTAATTGATTCAAATGGAATGGAATCGAATGTAAGGTAATCAAACTGATTGGAATGGAATGCAATGGAATGGAATTGAATGGAATGCAATGGAATGGAAAGAGCAGAATCGAGTGGAATGGAATCAAATGGAATGGAATCGATTGGAATGGACTGGAATGTAACGGACTCAAATGGATTGGACTGGAACAAAATGCAATCGAACAGATTGGAATCGAATGGAAAAGAATGGAATGGAATGAAACGGAATGGAATGGAGTGGAATGGTATCGAATGGTATGGAGTTGAAAGGTATGGAATCGAATTAAATGGAATGAAATAGAATGGAATTGAAAGGAATCAAAAAAAGAATGGAATTGAGTGTAAAGGAAAGAAATCGAATGGAATGGAAAGGAATGGATCAAACGGAATGTACTGGAATTGAACTGACGCTTATGTCATGGACTAGAGTGGAATGGACACGAATGGCATGGAAACGAATGGAATGAAAAGGAATGGAATGGAAAGGAATACAATGGAATGGAATCGGATGGAATGGAATGGAATGGAAACGAATGGAAGAGAATTCAATGGAATGGCATCGAATGGAATGGAAAGGAATGAACTGGAATGGACTCGAAAGGAATGGACTAGAATGGAATAGAATCAAATGGAATGGCATCGAATGGAATGGAATGGAATTTAATGGAATGCAATGGAATGGAATGGACCCAAATGTAATGGACACGAATGGAATGGACTCAAATAAAATGGAATCGAATGGAAGGGACTCGAATGGAATTTATTCGATTAGAATGGAATTGAATGGAATGCAATAGTATGGAATGGAATCGAATGCAATGGAATCGAATGGAGTAGACTGGAATGGAATGGACTCGAATAGAACGGACACGAATATAATGGATTACAATGTAGTTGTTACGAATGGATTGGAATCCAATGGAATGTTATCAAATGGAATGGAATGGAATGCAATGGAATGGAATGGAAAGGAATGGAATGCATTGGAATGGAATACAGTGGAATGCAATGGAAAGGAACGGAGTGGAATCAAGTGGAATGGAATCAAAGGGCATGGAATGGAATCGAATGGAATGGAATCCAATGGAATGGTCTGGAAGAAAATGGAATGATACGGACTGGGAACGAACGGAAGAGAATGGAATGGAATGGAATGGAGTGTAATGCAAAGACATCGAAAGGAATGCAATGGAAGGGACTCGAATGGAATGGAATGGAATGGAATGAAATGGACTCGATTGGAATGGACTGGAGTGGAATGGACTCGAATGGACTGGAGACGAATGGAATGCAAAGGAATGGAATGGAATGGAATGGAAAGGAATAGAAGGGAATGCAATCGGATGGAACGGAAAGGAATGAAATGCTGTCGAATGGAATACAATCGAATGGAATGGCATCGAAAGGAATGGAATGGAATGGAATGGACTCAAATAGAATGGACTCAAAATGAATGGTCTCAAATGTAATTTATTCGAATAGAATGGAATCGAAAGGAATGCAATAGTATGAAATGGAATCGAATGGAATGGAATTGAACGGAATGGAACGGAATGGAAAGGACTGGAATAGAACCGACACAAATGTAATGGATTGCAATGTAATTGATTCAAATGGAATGGAATCGAATGGAATATCATTGTATTGGATGGAAGGGAATGCAATGGAATGGAATAGAATGCAATGCAAAGGAAAGGAACGGAGTGGAATCAAGTGTACTGGAATTGAATGGAATGGACTAGAAAGGAATGGACTCAAATGGAATGGACTCAAATGGAATAGAATACAATGGAATGGCATCGAATATAATGGAATAGAAAGGATAAGAATGGAATGCAACCAAAAGTAATGGACTCGAAAGGAATGGACTCAAATAGAATACACTCGAATGGAATGGTCTCAAATGGAATTTATTCGAATAGAATGGAATCGAATGGAATGCAATAGTATGGAATGGAGTCGAATAGAATGGAATCGAATGAAGTGGATCGTAATGGAATGGACTGGAACAGAACAGACTCAAATGTAATGGATTGCAATATAATTGACTGGAATGGAATGGAATCGAAAGGAATGTAATCAAAAGTAACAGAATGGAATACAATGGAATGGAATAAAATGTAATGCAATGGAATGGAATGGAGTAGAATCGAGTGAAATGGAATCGAGTGGAATGGAATCGATTGGAATGTACTGGAATGGAGTGGACCGATATGGAATGGACCCGAATGGATAGGACTGGAACAAAATGGAATTAAACACACTGGAAAGGAATGGAACAGAATGGAATGGAATGAACTCGGGTGGCATGGAGTCAAAAGGAATGGAACCGAATGGAATGTAATTGAAAGGAATTGAAAGGAATAGAAGGGAATGAAGTGTAATGGAAAGTTATTGAATGGAATGCAAAGGAAATTAATGGAGTCGAAAGGAATGGACTGGAAAGGAATGAAATCGAATGTAATGGACTGGAGTGGAATGGAAATGAATGGAATGGAAACGAATGGAATGGAATGAAAATGAAGAGAATGGAATGGAATCGGATGGGATGGAATCGAATGAAATGGTGTCGAATAGAATAGAATCAAATGGAATGGCATCGGAAGGAATGGAATGGAATGGAATGGACTCAAATAGAATGGATTCAAAATGAATGGTCTTGAATGTAATTTATTCGAACAGAATGGAATTGAAAGGAATTCAATAGTATGGAATCGAATCGAATGGAATGGAACTGAACGGAATGGAATGCAATGGAAAGGACTGGAATAGAACGGACTCGAATGTAATGGATTGCAATGTAATTGATTCAAATGGAATGGAATCGAATGGAATATCATCGTATGGGATGGAATGGAATGCAATGGAATGGAATAGAAGGCAATGAAAAGGAAAGGAACGTAGTGGAATCGAGTGTAATGGAATCGAATGGAATGGAATCGAATGGAATGGAATCGAATGGAATGTATTGGAACAAAATGGAAATGAACCGACTTGAATTGAATGGAACGGAATGGAGTGTAATGGAATCGAATGCAATGGAATCGAATGGAATGGAATTGAATGGAATAGAAAGGAATAGAATGGAATTGAATGTAATGGAACAATATGGAATGAAATGAAATGGAAAGGAATGGACTCGAATGGAATGGACTGGAAAGGAATGGACTCGAATGGAATGGAATGTACTGGAGTGGATTTGAATGGAATGGATATGAATGGAATACACTGGAATGGAAAAGAATAGAATGGAATGGAATCAGATGGAATGGAATGGACTCAAATGGAATGGACTCAAATTGAATAGAATAGAATGGAATGGCTTCGAATGGAATGGAATGGAGGGGAGTGTAATGGAAAGATAGCGAAAGGAATTTCATGGAATGCAATGGACTCCAATGGAATGGACTGGATTGGAATTTAATGGAATGGAATTGACTGGAGTGGAATGGATTCGAATGGAATGGAATGGAATGGACTTGAATGAAATGGACTGTATTGGAATTTACTCGAATGGAATGGACTGGAGTGAAATGCACTTGAATGGAATGGAAACAAATGGAATGGAATGGAATGGAATGAAAAGGAATAGAATGGAATGGAATCAGATGGAACGGAATGGAATGTAATGGAGTCGAATGGAATAGAATCGAATGGAATTTCATTGAATGCAATGGAATGGACTCGAAAGGAATGGACTCGAATGGAATAGAATACAATGGAACAGCATCGAATATAATGGAATAGAATGGAATGGAATGGAAGGGACTCAAATGTAATGGACTCGAAAGGAATGGACTCAAATAGAATGCACTTGAATGGAATGGTCTCGAATGGAATTTATTCGAATAGAATGGAATCGAATGGAATGCAATAGTATGGAATGGAATCTAATAGAATGGAATCGAAAGAAATGGATCGGAATGGATTGGACTGGAATAGAACGGACTTGAATGTAATGGATTGCAATGTAATTGATTGGAATGGAATGGAATCGAATGGAATGTAATCAAACGTAATGGAATGGAATGCAATGGAATGGAATAAAATGGAATGCAATGGAATGGAATGGAGTGGAATCGAGTGGAATGGAATCGATTGGAATGGAATCAATTGGAATGGACTGGAATGGAATGGACTGTTATGGAATGGACTCAAATGGATAGGACTGGAACAAAATGGAAACGAACGCATTGGAATGGAATGGAATGGAATGGAATGAAGGAATGGAATGGAAAGAACTCTAGTGGAATGGAGTCAAAAGGAATGGAACCAAATGGAATTTAATTGAAAGGAATAGAAAGGAATAGTAAGGAATGAAGTGTAATGGAAAGTTGTCGAATGGAATGCAAAGGAATTTAATGGAGTCGAAGGGAATGGACTGGAATGGAATGGAATTGAATGGAACGGAGTGGAGTGGAATGGACTCGAATGAAATGGAAATGAATGGAATGGAATGGAATGGAATGGAATGGAATGGAATGGAAATGAATGGAATGGAATGGAATGGAATGAAAATGAATACAATGGCATGGAATCGGATGGAATGGAATGGAATGAAATGGACTCGAATGGAATAGAGTCGAATTTAATGGCATCGAAAGGAATTTAATGGAATGGAGTGGATTCGAATGGAATGGACTCGAGTGGAATAGAATAGAATGAAATGGCATCGAATGGAATGGAATGGAATGGAATGGAGTGGACCCAAATGTAATGGACTCAAATGGAATGGACTCAAATAGAATGGACACGAAAGGAATGATGTCGAACGGAATTTATTCGAATAGAATGGAATCGAATGCAGTGCAATAGTATGGAATGTAACCGAATGGAATGCAATCGAATGGAATGGAACAGAATGGAATGGACTTTAATAGAATAGACTCGAATGTAGTGGATTTCAAAGTAATTGACTTGAATGGAAAGGAAGCAAATGGAATGTAATCAAATGTAATACAATGGAATGAAATGGAATGGAATAGAATGGAATGCAATTGAACGAAACAGAGTAGAATGGAGTGGAATGGAATCGAATGGAATTGAATGGACTCGATTAGAATGGAGTAGAATGGAGTGGAATAGAACAGAATGGAAACGAATAGAATGGAATTGAATGGAATCGAAGGGAATAGAATTGAATGGAGTGTAATGGAAAGATATCTAAAGGAATGGAATGGAATGGAATAGCATGGAATTGTCTGGAATGGAAAGGACTCGAATGGAATGGACAGGTGTGGAATGGACTAGAATGGAATGGAAACAAACGGAGTTGTATGGAATGGAATGGAATGAAAAGGAATAGAATGGAATGGATTGTAATGGAATGATATCGAATGGAATGGAATGGGCTCGAATTCAATGGACTGGGATGGAATGGACTCGAATGGAATGGACTGGAGTGGAATGGACACGAATGGAATGGAAACGTATGGAATGGAATGGAATGGAATTGGATGGAAAGGAAAGGCAATGGAATGGAGTTGAATGGAATAGATTCGTATGGAATGACATCAAACGAAATGGAATATAACGCAATGGAATGGAATGGAATGGAATGGAAGGGACTCGAATGGAATGGACTCGAATGGAATAGCATCGATTGGAATGTCATCAAATGGAAGGGACCCAAATGTAATGGACTCGAATGGAATTGACTCAAATATAATGGACTCGAAAGAAATGGTCTCGATTGGAATATATTCGAAAAGAATGGAGTCGAATGGAATGCCATGGTATGGAATGGAATCTAATGGAATGGAATCGAATGGAATAGAACCGAATGGAATGCACTTTAATGGAATGGACTCGAATGGAAGGGAATGGAGTGGAATGGACTCGAATGCAATGGAAACGAATGGAAAGGAAAGGAATGGAAAGGAATAGAATGGAATGGAATTGGATGGAATGGTATGGAAAGGAATGGAATCGAATGGAATAAAATCGAATGGAATGGCATCAAATGGAATGGAATGGAATCGAATGGAATTGAATGGAATCGAATGGAATGGAGTCGAAAGGTATAGAATCAAATGGAATGGCACCGAATGGAATGGAATGGAATGGAATGTAACCAAATGTAATGGACTCGAATGGAATAGACTCAAATAGAATGGACTCAAAAGGAATGGTCTCGAATGGAATTTATTCGAATAGAATGGAATTGAATGGAACGCAACAGTATTGAATGTAATTAAATGAAATGGACCGGAATGGAATAGACTGGAACAGAACGGGCTCAAATGTAACGGAATGCAATGCAATTGATTTGAATTTAGTGGAATCAAACGCAATGAAATCAAATGGAATGGAATGGTTTGCAATGGCATGGAATAGAATGCAATGCAATGGAATGTAACGGAGTGGAATTAAATCGAATGGAATGGATTTGAAAGAATGGAATCAAATGGAATGGACTCGAATGCATTGGAATGGAACAAAATGGAATAGAATGGATTGGAAATGAACGGAATGGAACGGAATGGAATGGAGTGGAATAGACTCGATTGGAGTGGAGTCAAATGGAATTTAACCGAATGGAATGGAATGCAATTGAAAGGAATCAAAATGATTAGAATGGATTGGAGTTTGATGGAAAGATATGGAATGGAATGGAATGCTATGGACTCTAATGGAATGGACTGGAATGTAATACACATGAACGGAATGGACTGGAGTGGAATGGTCTTGAACGGAATGGAATGGAATGGAAAGGAATGGAATGGAATGGAAAGGAATGGAATGCAATGGAATGGAATGGAATGGAATTGGATGGAACGGAATGGAAAGGAATGGAGTTGAATGAAATATAATCCGATGGAATGATATGTAATGGAATTGCATGGAATGGAACGGACTCGAATGGAATGGACACGAATAGAATAGAATAGAATGGAATGGCATCGAATGGAATGGAATGGAATAGAATGGAGTGGACCCAAATGTAATGGACTCCAATGGAATGGACTCAAATAGAATGGAATCAAAAGGAATGGTCTCGAATGGAATTTATTAGAAAAGAATGGAATTGAATGGAATACAGTAGTATGGAATGGAATCGAATGGAACGGTATCGAATGGAAGGGACCACAATGGAATCGAATGGAATAGAATGGACTTGAATGTAATGGATTGCAATACAATAGAATCGAATGGAATGGAATCGAATGGAATGTAATCAAATGGAATTGAATGGAAAGCAATGGAATAGAATATAATGGAATTCAATGGAAAGGAATAGAATGGAATGCAATGGAATGGAACAGAGTGGAATCAAGTGGAATGGAATCGAATGGAATGGAATCGAATGGAATGGACTGGAGAGGAATGCAATTGAATGGAATGGAATTGAACAAAATGGAATTGAAATGATTGGAATCGAACAGAACGGAATGGAAGGGAATGGAATGGAATGGAAAGGAAAGGAATGGAATGGAAAGGAAAGGAATGGAATCAAAACAAATGGAGTCGAATGGAATGGAATCGAATGGAATGGAATCGAATAGAATGGAATTGAATGGAAATGAAAGGAATAGAACGGAATGGAGTGTGATGGAAATATTTCAAATGGATTGGAATGGAATGGACACAAATGGAAGAAGTGGAATGGAATGAACTCGAAGGAAGTGGGTGGGAGTGGAATGAACTAGAATGGATTGGAAACGAATGGAATGGAATGGAACGGAAAGGAATAGAGTGGAAGGGAATCGGATAGAATGGAACAGAATGGAATGGAGACAATGGAATAGAATCGAACGGAATGGCATCGAATGGAATGGAATGGAATGGACTCGAATGGAATGGACTCGAATGGAATAGAATCAAGTGGAATGTCATCGAATGCAATGGAATGTAATGGAATGGACTCGAAACGAGAGGCCTGGAATGGAATGGACTAGAATGGCATGCAAAAGAATCGAATGGAATGGAATGGAATTTAATGGAATGGAAAGTAATAGAATGGAACAGAATCGGATGGAACGGAATGGAATGGAATGGAGTCAAATGGAATAGAATCGAATGGAATGGCATCACGTGGAATGGAATGGAATGGAATGGAATGGACTCTAATTTAATGGAAACGAATGGAAAGGAATGGACTGGAATGGAATGGACTAGAATGGAATAGAATAGAAAGGAATGGCATTGAATGGAATGGAATGGATTGGAATGGAATGGACACAAGTGTAATTGACTCGAATGGAATGGACTCAAATAGAATGGAATCAAAAGGAATGGTCTAGAATGGAATTTATTTGAACAGAATGGAATCGAATGGAATGCAATAGTATGGAAGGGAATCAAATGGAATGGAATTGAATGGAATGGACTGGAATGGAATGGACTGGAATAGAATGGACTCGAAAGTAAAGTATTGCAATGTAATTGATATGAACGGAATGGAATCGAATGGAATGAAATCCAATGGAATGGAAAGGAATGCAATGGAACGCAATAGAATGGAATGCAATGGAATGGAACGAAGTGGAATTTAATGGAATGGAATCAAATGAAATGAAATCGAATAGAATGGACTCAAAAAGAATGGAATGGAATGGAATGGACTCGAGTGTAATGGACTGAAACAAAATGGAATCGAACGGATTGGAATTGAAAGGAACGGAATTGAATGGAATGGAAGAGAATGGACTTGAATGGAATGGAGTCGAATGGAATGGAACCGAATGGAATGGAATTGAAAGGAATCGAAAGGAATAGAATGGAATGGTGTGTCGTGGAAAGATATTGAATGGAATGGAAGGAATGGAAAGGACTCGAATGGAATGGACTGGAATGGAGTGGATTTGAATGGAATGGCCTGGAGTGGCAAGGACTCGAATGGAATGGAAACGATTGGAATGGAATTGAAAGGAATAGAATGGAATGGTATCGGATGGAACTGAATGGAATGGAATGGAGTCGAATGGAATAGAAATGAAGGAAAGGGCATGGAATGCAATGGAATGGAATGGCCTCGAATGAAATGGAATCGAATAGAATAGAATTAAATGGAATGACATAGAATGGAATAGAATGGAATGGAACCGAATGGAATGGAATGGACTCGAATGGTATGGAATCGAATGGAAAGGAAATGAATGAAATGGAATCGAAAGGAATAGAAAGCAATGGAGTGTCATGGAGAGATATCGAATGGAATGGAATGGAGTCGAATGGAATGGACTGGAAGGTAATGGAATCGAATGGAATGGACAGGAGTGGAATGGACTCGAATGGAATGGAAACAAATGGAAACAAATTGAATGGAAGGGAATGAATGGAAAGGAATAGAATGCAATGGAATCGGATGGAAAAGAATGGAATGGAAAGGAGTCGAATAGAATAGGATAAAATGGAATGACATCGAACGGAATGGAATGGAACAGAATGGAATTAAATGGACTCGAATGGAATTGGCTCGAATGGAATAGAATCAAATGGAATGGGATCGAATGGAATAGAATAGACCAAAATGTAATGGACACAAATGGAATAGACTCAAATAATATGGACTCGAAAGTAATGGTCTCGAATGGAATTTATTTGAATAGAGTTGAATCGAATGGAAGGCAATAGTATGGAAAGGAATAGAATTGAATGGAATGGAGTCGAATGGAATGGACTGGAATAGAACGGACTCAAATATAATGGACTGCAATGTAATTGATTCGAATGCAATGGAATCGAATGGAATGTAAGCAAATGGAATGGAATGGAATGCAAAACAATGGAAGAGAATGGAAAGCAATTCAATGGAACAGAGTGGAATCGCGTGGAATGGAATAGAATGGAAGGGAATTGAATGGAAGGCAATCGATTGGAATGGACTGGAAAGGAATAGACTGGAATGTAATGGAATCGAATTGAAAGGAATCGAATAGAATGCAATAGATTGGAATGGACTGGAATGGAATGGACTCGAATGGAATCTACTGGAACTAAATGGAATCGAACGGATTGGAATCGAGCAGAACGGAATGTTATGTAATGGAATGGAATGGACTCGAATGGAATGGAGTCGAATGGAATGGAACAGAATGGAATGGGATCGAATGGAAAGGAATTGAATGGAATCGAAGGGAATAGAATGGAGTGGAGTGTAATGGAAATATTTCAAATGAAATGGAATGGAAAGGACTCAAATGGAATGGACTGGAATGTAATGGACTCGAATGTAATGGACTGGAGAGCAATGGAAACTAAAGGAATGGAAACGAATGGAATGGAATGAAATGAAATGGAATAAAATGGAATGAAATCGGATGGAACAGAATGGAAAGGAATGGAGTTGAATGGAATAGAATCGAAAGGAATGGCATCAAAAGGAATGGAATGGAATGAAGTGGAATGGACTCGAATGGAATGGAGTAGAACGGTAGAGAATCAAATGTAATGGCATCGAAAGGAATAGAATGGAATGGAATCGACCCAAATATAATAGACTCGAAAGGAATCAACTCAAATAGAATGGACTCGAAAGGAATGGTCTCGAATGGATTTTATTCAAATAGAATGGAATCGAATGGAATGCAATAGTATGGAATGGAATCGAGTGGAATGGAATAGAATGGAATGGACCGGAATGGAAAGGCCTGGAATAGAACGGACTCGAATGTAATGGATTGCAATGTAATTGATTGGAATGGAATGGAATTGAATGGGATGTAATCAAATGGAATGGAATGGAATGCAATGGAATACAATAGAATGGAATGAAATGGAAAGGAACGCAGTGGAATAGAGTGGAATGGAATCGAAAGGAATGGAATCCAATGGAATGGTATCTAATGGAATGGACTGGAATGGTATGGACTCGAATGGAATGGACTGGAACAAAATGGAAACAAACGGATTGGAATTGAAAAGAACCGAATGTAATCGAATGGAATGGAATAGAGTCAAATGGAATGGAATCGAAATTATTGGAATTGAATGCAATGGAATTGAATGGAATCGAAAGTAATATAATACAATGGAGTGTAATGGAAAGGTATTGAATGTAATGGAATGGAGTAGAATTGATATAAATGAAATGGACTGGAATGCAGTGGAATGAACACGAATGGAATGCAAACGAATGGAATGGAATGGAATGGAATGGAAAGGAATAGACTGGAATGGAATAGGATGGAATGGAATGAAATGGAATGGAGTCGAATGGAACAGAATCGAATGGAATTGCATCGAATGGAATGGACTGGAATGGAATGGAAATGACTCGAATGAAATGGAAACAAGTGGAATGGAATGGAATGGAATAGAATGGAATGGAATCGGATGGAAAGGAATGGAAAGGAATGGAATGGAGTCGAATGGAATAGAATCGAATGGAATGGAATGGAATGGACTCGAATGGAATGGACCCGAATGAAACAAAATCGAATGGAATGGCATGGAATGGAATGGAATGTAACGGAATGGAATGGAATTGTATGGAATGGAATGGAATGGAATGGAATGGAATAGAATGGGATGCAATGGACAGGAACGGAGTGGAGTTGAGAGAAAGAAATCAAATGGAAATGAATCGAATGAAATGGATTTGAATGGAAAGGAGTGTAATGGGATGGACTCGAATGGAATGGACTGGAACAAAACGGAATCATCCGGATTGGAATAGACAGGCACTGAATGGAATGGAATGGACTCGAATGGAATGGAATCGAATGGAATGGATTTGAATTGAATGCAAAGGAATAGAATGGAATGGAGTCTAATGGAAAGATATCGAATGGAAAGGATTGGAATGGAATGGACTCGAATGGAATGGACAGGAATGGAGTGGACACGAATGAAATGTAGTGGAATGCAATGTACCCCAATGGAATGGAAAAGAATGGAATGGAATGGAATGGAATGGAAAGGAATAGAATGGAATGGAATTGGATGAAATGGAAGGGAAAGGAATGGAGTCGAATGGAATAGAATCTAATGGAAAGTTATTGAATGGAATGGAATGGAATCGAATGGAATGGAATCGAATGTAATAGAATCGAATGGAATGGAAGTGAACGGAATCGAATGGAATGGAATGTTATGGAGTGATATGGAAAGATATAGAATGGAATGGAATGGAGTCGAAAGGAATGGACTGTAATGGAATGGACGCGAATGAAATGTCATGGAATGGAATGTACCCCAATGGAATGGAAACGAATGGAATGGAAAGGAATAGAATGGAATGGAATTGGATGGAATGCAAGGGAATGGAATGGAGTTGAATGGAATAGAATCGACTGGAAAGTCATTGAATGGAATGCAATGGAATCGAATGGAATGGAATCCAATGTAATAGAATCAAATGGAATGGAATTGAATGGAATCGAATGGAATGGAATGGTACAGAGTTTTATGGAAATATATAGAATGGAATGGAATGGACTCGAATGCAATGGACTGGAATGGAATGGACTCGAATGGAATGTACTAGAATGGAAAGGACTCGAATGGAATGGAAACGAATGGAAAGGAACGGAAGGGAAAGGAATAGAACAGAATGTAAATGGATGGAATTGAATGGAAAGGAATGGAGTCTAATGGAATGGACCCTAATGGAATGTATTCGAATGGAAAGGACAGGAGTGGAATGGAATCGAAGGCAGTGCAAACGAATAGAATGAAATGGAATGGAATGGAATGGAAAGGAATGGAATTGAAAGGAATACATTGGAATGGAATCTGATGGAATGGAATTAAATGAAATGGAGTCTAATGGAAAAGAATCAAGTTTAATGACATCAAATTAAATGGAATGGAATCGAATGGAATGGAATTGAATGGAATGGAATTGAATGGAATGGACTCTAATGGAATGGACTCGAATGGAATGGACTGCAACAAAGTGGAATCTAAAAGATTAGAATGGAACGGAACGAAATGGAATGGAATGGAATGGAATGGACTCGATTGGAACGTAGTCGAATGGAATGGGATTGATTGGAATGGAATCGAACACAACGAAATTGAACGGCTTTGAAAGGAATAGAATGGAATGGAGTGTAATGTAAAGATACCGAATGGAATGGAATGGACTCGAATGTTATGGACTTGAATGGAATTGACTCGAATGGAAAGGACTGCAGTGGAATGGACTGGAATGGAAGGGAAACGACTGGAATGGAATGCAATGGAATGGATTGGAATGGAATAGAATAGAATGGAATTGGATGGAAAGGAATGGAATGGAATGGAGTCAACAGTAATGTAATCAAATGAAATGGAATGAAATGGACTCGAATTGAATGGACTCAAATGGAATTGAATGGAATGGAATGTCATTGAATGGTATGGATTGGAATGGAATTGAATGGAATGGAATCGAATGGAATGGACTGGAATGGAATGGAATGGAATAGGAAATATACGAATGTAATGAATTGAAACGTAATTGATTCAAATGGAATGGACTCAAAAGGAATGGTCTTTAATGGAATTTATTCGAAAAGAATGGAATCGAATGGAATGCAGTAGTACGGAATGGAATGGAATGGAATGGAATAGGAAATATATGAATGTAATGAATTGAAACGTAATTGATTCGAATGGAATGGACTCAAATGGAAAGTAATTAAATGGAACAGAATGGAATGCAATGGAATGGAATACAATGGAATGCAATGGAATGGAACAGAGTGGAATTGAGTGGAATGGAATGGAATGGAATGGAATAGAATGGAATTAAATGGAATGGACAGGAACAAAATGGAAACAAAAGGACTGGAATCGAATGGAATGGAATTGACTCCAATGAAATGGAATTGAATGGAATGGAACTGAATGGAATGGAATTGAATGGAGTGGAATTGAATGGAATTGAAAAGAATAGAATGGAGTGGAATGTATTGGAAATATATCGAATGGAATGGAATGGAACGGACTCGAATGGAATGGACTGGAATATACCGGGCACGAATTTAATGGATTGTAGTGGAATGGACACGAATGGAATGGAAATGAAAGGAATACAAGGGAATGGAATTGAAAGGAATGGAATTCAATAGGATGTAATGGAATGGAATGGAATGGAGAGGAAGGGAATAGAATCAAATGGAATGGCATCAAATGGAATGGAATTTAATGGAATGGACTCGAATGGAAATGACTGGAACAAAATGGAATGGAAAGGGCTGGAATTGAATGGAATGGAATGGAATGGAAAGGAAGGGAATACAATGGAATGGAGTAGAATGGAATGGAACCAAATGGAAAGGAATCAAATGGAATGGAATTGAATTGAATCAAATAGAATAGAATGGAATGGAGAGTAATGGAAAGATACCGAATGGAATGGAATGGAATGGAATGGAATGGAATGGAATGGAATGGAATGGACTCGAATGGAATGGACTTGAATGGAATGTACTCGAATGTAATGGACTGGACTGGAATGGACTCAAAGGGAATGGAAAAGAATGGAATGGAAGGGAATGGAATTGAAAGGAATAGAATGGAACAGAATTGGATGAAATGGAATGGAATGGAATTGAGACGAATGGAATAGAATTGAATGGAATGGCATCAAAAGAATGGAATTCAATGAAATGGAGTGGACTCGAATGGAATAGAACAGAATGGAATGGTATCGAATGGAATGGAACAGAATGGAATGGAATGGAATGGAATGGAATGGAATGGAAGGGAATGGAATGGATTGGACCCAAATATAATGGACTAGAATGGAGTGGACTCAAATAGAATGGACTCGGAAGGAATGGTCTCAAATGGAATTTATTCGAATAGAATGGAATCGAAAGGAATGGATTCAAATGGAATGGACCGGAATGGAATGGACTGGAATAGAACAGACTTGACTGTAAGGGATTGCAATGTAACTGATTTGAATGGAACTGATTCAAATGTAATATAATCAAATGGAATGGAATGGTATGAAATGGAAGGGTGAAGAATGGAATGCAATAAAATGGAAGGGAGTGGAATCGAGTGGAATGGAATGGAATTGAGTGGAACAGAATCAAATGGAATGGACTGAAATGGAACAAACTGGAATAGAATGGACTAGAATAAAATGGAATCGAACGGATTGGATTCAAATGGATCAGAAGGGAATGGAATGGAATGGAATCGAATGGCATGGAGTCGAATGGAATGGAACTGAAAGGAATGGAAACAAATGGAATGGAGTTGAATGGAATTGAAAGAAAAGGATGCTATGGAGTGTAATGGAGAGATATCGAATGGAATGGAATGGAAGGGACTCGAAGGGAACGGAGTTGAAAGGAATGGAATCGAATGGAATCGAATTGAATAGAATTGAAAGGCATAGAATAGAATGGAATGGAATGGAAAGATATCGAATGGAAGGGAATGGAAAGGAATGGATTCAAATGGAATGGATTTGAATGGAATGGACTTGAACGGAAAGGACTGGAATGGAAAGGACTGCAATGATATGCACTGGAGTGGAATAGACGGGAATGGAAGGGAAACGAATGGAATGGAATGGAAAGGAATAGAATGGATTGAAATTGGATTTAACGGAATGGAATGGAATGGATTTCAATGGAAGAGAGTCGAATGGAATGGCATCAAATGGAATGTAAATGAATGTAATGGAAGGGGGTGCGCTCAAATGGAATGGATGGGAATGGAATAGAATAGAATGGAATGGCATTGAAAGGAACGGAATGGAATGGAATGGAATGGAATGGAATGGAAAGGAATGGAGTGGAATGGAATGGAGTGGACTGAAATGTTATGTACTCAAATGGAATGGACTCAAATAGAATGCACTCGAAAAGGATTGGTCTTGAATGAAATTTATTCGAATAGAATGGATTCGAATGCAATGCAATACTATGGAATCAAATAGAATGGAATAGAATTGAAAGGAATGTAATCAAACGGAATGGAAGGGAATGCAATGGAATGGAATAGAATGGAATGCAATGGAATGGAAAGGAGCAGAATCGAGTGTAATGGAATCGAATAGAATGGAATCAAATGGAATGTAATCAATTGGAATGTACGCGAATGTAATGGATTCGAATGGATTATACTGGAAAATAATGGAGTCAAACAGATTGGAATCTAACGGAACAGAATGGAATGGAATGGAATGGAATGGAATAGAATGGAATTGAATGGATTCGAAAGAATAGAATGGAATGCTGTGTAATGAAAAGAAATAGAATGGAATGGACTTGAATGGAATGTACTGGAATTGAATGGACTCGAATGGAATGGACTGGAGTGGAATAGACTCAAATGGAATGGAAAAAATGGAGTGGAATGGAGTAGAATGTGGTGGAATGGAATGAAAAGGAATAGAATGGAATGGAGTCGGATGCAATGGAATTGAATGGAAACGAAATTAATAGAATGGAATGGAGTGTAATGGAAACACATCAAATGGAATGGAATGGAATGGACACGAAAGGAATGGACTGGAATGGAGTGGCCTCGAATGGAATGGAAACGAATGGAATGGAGTGGAATGGAATGGAATGGAATGGGATGGAGTGTAATGGAAACATATCGATTGGAATGGAATGGAATGGAATGGAATGGACTCGAGAGTAATGGACTGGAATGGAATGGCCTCGAATGGAATGGAAATGAATGGAATCAAATGGAATGGAATGGAATGGAATGGAATGGAATGGAATGGAATCAAATGGAGTGGAATTGAAAAGAATAGAATGGAATGGAATCGGCTGGAACGGAATGGAATGGATGGAGTCGAATGGATTACAATCGAATGCAATGGCAACAAGTGGAATTGAATGGACTCGAAGGGAATAGAATTGAATGGAGTGGCATAGAATGGAATGGAATTGAATGGACCCAAGTGTAATGGACTCTAAAGGAAAGGACTCAAATAGAATGGACTGAAAATAAATGGCCTCGAATGGAATTTATACAAAAAGAATGGAATCGAATGGAATGCAATAATATAGAATGGAAACGACGGGAATGGAATCAAATGGAATGCACCGGAATGGAATGGACTGGTATAGATCGGACTCAAATGTAATGGATTGAAATGTAATTGATTCAAATGAAATGGAATCGAATGGAATGTAATCAAATGGAATGGAATGGAATGCAATGCGATCGAATAGAATGGAATGCAATGGAATGGAACGAAGTGCAATCGAGTGGAATGGAATCAAATGAAATGGAATCGAATTAAATGGACTGGAATGGAATGTTGTGGAATGGAATGAACTGGAGTGGAATGGACTCAAATGGAATGGAAACGAATGGAATGGCATGGAATGGAGTGGAACAGAATGGAATGGAAAGGAATAGCATGGAATGGAATGGAATGGAATGGAATCAAATGTAACGGAAAGGAAGGCAATGGAATGGAATAGAATGGAATGCAATGGAATGGAACGGAGTGAAATCGAATGTAATGGAATCGAATGGAATGGAATCGAATGGAATGGAATCGATTGGAATGGACTGGAATGTAATGGACTCGAATGGTTTGCACAAAAAAAATGGAATCGAACAGATTGGAATCGAACGGAACGGAATGGAATGGAATGGAATGAAATGGAATGGACTCCAATGTAATGGAGTCGAATGGAATGGAATGGAATGGAATGGAATGGAATGGAATATAATGGAATTGAATGAAATTGAAAGGAATATAATGGAATGGAAGGGAATGGAAAGAAATGGAATGGAATGGAATGGAATGGACATGAATGGAATGTACTGTAATAGAATGTACTCGAATGGAATGGACTGGAGTCGAATGGACTCGAATGGAATGTAAAGGAATGGAATGTAAAGGAATGGAATGGAATGGAATGGAATGGAAAGGAATAGAATGGAATGCAATCGGATTGAATGGAATGCAATGGAATGGAGTTGAATGGAATAGAATCGAATGGAATGGCATCAAATGGAATGGAATGGAATGAACTGGAATGTAATGGAATGTAAACAAATGTAATGGAGTTGAATGGAATGGACTCAAATATAATGAACTCAAAAGGAATGTCTCGAAAGGAATTCATTCGAATCGAATGGAATCGAATGGAATGCAATAGAAGGGAATCGAATGGAATGGAGTGCAGTTGAATGGAATGGAACGGAATGGAATGGACTGGAATAGAAAGGACTCGAATGTAATGGATTGCAATGTAATTGATTCGAATGGAATGCAATCAAATGTAATGTAATCAAATGGATTGGAAAGGAATGCAATGGAATGGAATAGAACGGAATTCAATGGAATGTGACGGAGTAGAATCGAGTGGAATGGAATCTAATGCAATGGAATCAAATGGAATGGATTCGAATGGAATGGACTGGAATGGAATGGACTCAAATGTAATGGACTTGAATAAAATGGAATCAAATGGATTGGAATCAAACAGAACGGAATGTAATGTAATGTAATGGAATGGAATGGAATGGAATGGAATGGAATGGAATGGAATGGAGTGGAAGGACTCTAATGGAATGGAAACGAATGTAATGGAATGGAATTGAATGCATTGGAATGGAATGAAATAGCATAGAATGGAATGGAGTTGGATGGAATGGAATGGAATGGAATGGAGTCAAAAGGAATAGAATCGAATGGAATGGCATTGAATGGAACAGAATGGAATGGAATGGAATGGAAAGAACTCGAATGGAATGGACTCAAATGGAAAAAAATGGAATGGAATGGCATGGAATGGAATGGAATAGAATGGAATGGAGCGGAATGGACCCAAAAGTAATGGACCCGAAAGGAATGGACTCAAATAGAATGGACTCGAGGGTAATGGTCTCGAATGGAATTTATTCAAAAAGAATGGAATCGAAAGGATTGCAATAGTGTGGAATGGAATCGAATGTAATGGAATCGAATGCAATAGACTGGAATTCAATGTACTGGAATAGAATGGACTCGAATGTAATGGATTGCAATGTAATTGATTCAAATGGAAAGGAATCGAATGGAATGTGATCAAGTGGAATAGAAGGGAAAGCAATGGAATGGAACAGAATGGAATGCAATGGAATGGAACAGAGTGAAATCGAGTGGAATGGAATAGAATGGAAAGGAATCAAATGGAATGGAATCGAATGTAATGGACTGGAATGGAATGGACTGGTAGAAAATGGAATCGAATGGATTGGAATCGAGCAGGACCAAATGGAATGGAATGGAATGTCCTCGAATGGAATGGACTGCAATGGAATGTACTGGAAAAAAATGGAATCGAATGGATTGGAATCGAGTGGAATGGAAGGGAATGAAATGGAATGGACTCGAATGGAATAGAGTTGAACGGAATGGAATGGAATGGAATGGAATGGAATGGAATAGAATGGAATCAAAAGGAATAAAATGGAATGGAGTGTAAAGGAAAGATATCGAATGGAATGGAATGCAATGGACCCGAATGGAATGGACTCAGATGAAATGGACTGGAGAGGAATGGTCTCAAATGTAATGGAAACGAATGTACTGGAATGGAATGGAATGGAATGGAAGGGAAAGGAATAGAAGGGAATGGAATCAGATGGAAGGGGATGGAATGGAATGGATTCAAATGGAATGGACTTGAATGGAATAGAATAGAATGGAATGTCATCGAACGGAATGGAAATGAAGGGAGTGTAATGGAAAGATATCAAATGGAATTTAATGGAATGGAATGGACTCGAATGGAATGTACTTCATTGAAATTTACTCGAATAGAATGGACTGGAGTGGAATGGACACGAATGGAGTGGAATGGAGTGGAATGGAATGGAATGGAAAGGAATAGAATGGAATGGAATCACATGGGTCAGAATGGAATGGAAAGGAGTCGAAAGGAATAGAATTGAATAGAATGGGATTGAATGGAATGGAATGGAATGGACTCGAATGGTATGGACTCGAATGGAATAGAATACAATGGAATGACATCGAAAGGAATGGAATTGAATGGAATGGATTGGAATGGAATGGAATGGCATGGAACCAAATGTAATGGACTCGAAAGGAATGCAATCAAATAGAATGGTCTCGAAAGGAATTGTCTCAAATGGAATGTATTCGAATAGAATGGAATCGAATGGAATGCAGTAGTATGGAATAGAGCCGAATGGAATGGAATCGAATGAAATGGACCGGAATGGAATGGACTGGAATAGAATGGACAAGAATGTAATGGATGGCAATGGAATTGATTGGAATGGAATGGAATCAAAAGGAATGTAAACAAATGAAATGGAATGGAATGCAATGGAAAGCAATAAAGTGGAATGCAATGTAATGGAACGTAGTGGAATCGAGTGGAATGGAATCGAATGGAATGGAATCGATTGGAAAGGAGTGGAATGGAATGGACTCGAATGGATAGGACTGGAACAAAATGTAATCGAATGCATTGGAATGGAACGGAACGGAATGGAATGGAATGGAATGAACTCGAGTGAAATGGAGTCGAATGGAATGGAACTGAATGGAATGGAATTGAATGCAATTGAAAGGAACAGCATGGAATGGAGTGTAATGGAAAGGTATCGAATGGAATGGAATGGAATTTAGTGGAATCGAACGGAACGGACTGGAATGGAATGGAATCGAATGGAACGGACTGGAGTGGAATGTACCCGAATGGAATGGAAACAAATGGAATGGAATGGAAAGGAATAGAATGGAATGGAATCGGATGGAACAGAATGGAATGAAATGGACTCGAAGGGAATAGAATCTAATGGAATGACATTGAATGGAATTTAGAGGAATGGAATGGAATGGAATGGAATGGAAAGGACACGAATGGAGTGGACTCGAGTAGAATAGAATAGAATGGAATGTCATCGAATGGAATGGAATCGAATTTAATGGAATGGAATAGACCGAAATGTAATGGACTGCAATGGAATGGACTCAAATAGAATGGACTCGAAAGAATGGTCTCAAATGGAATTTATTCGAATAGAATGGAATCGAATGCAATGCAATAGTAAGGAATGGAATCGAATGGAATGCAATCGAACCGAATGGAACAGAATGGAATGGACTGGAATGGAATGGACTCGAACGTAATGGATTTCAAAGTAATTGATTCGAATGGAATATAATCAAATGGAATGGAAAGGAATGCAATGGAATGGAATAGAATGGAATGGAATGGAAAGTAATGGAATCGAGCAGAATGGAATCGAATGCAATTTAATTGAATGCAATGGAATCGAATGGAACGGACTGGAATGGAATGGACTCGAATGGAATGGACTGGAATAAATTGGAATGGAACGGCTTCGAATCAAATTGAACGCAATGGAATGGAATGGAATGGAATGGACACGAATGGACACGAATGGAATGGAGTCGAATGGAGTGGAATAGAACGGAATCAAATCGAATAGAATGGAATTCAATGGAATTGAAGGGAATAGAATGGAATGCAGTGTAATGAAAGATATCTTATGGAATGGAATGGAATGGACTCGCATGGAATTGTCTGGAATGGAATGGTATCGAATGGAATGTACTAGAGTGGAATGCACTAGAATGTAATGGAAACAAACGGAATGGTATGGAATGGAATGGAATAGTAAGGAATAGAATGGAATGGAATAGGATGCAATGGAATAGAATGGAATGGAGTCAAATGGAATAGAAACGAAAGGAATGGCATCAAATGGAAAGGAATGGAATGGAATGGAATGGAAAGGAATGGACTCGAATGGAATGGACTCGAATGGAATCGAATCAAATGGAATGTCATCAAAAGGAATGGAATGTAATGGACCCAAATGTAACGGACTCGAATGGAATGGACTCAAATAGAATGAACTCGAAAGAAATGGTTTCGAAAGGAATATAATCGAATAGAAAGGGATCGAATGGAATGCAATTTTATGGAATGGTATCTGATGGAATGGAATCGAAAGGAATGGAATGGAATGCAATGGACTGGAATAGTACGGACTCGAATGTAATGGATTGCAATAAAACTAATTCGAATGGAATGGAATCAGATAGAATGTAATTGAAAGGAATGGAATATAATGCAATGGAATGGAATAGAATGGAATGCAATGGAATGGAATAGAATGGAATGCAATGGAATGGAAGGGAGTGGAATCGAGTGGAATGGAATCGAATGGCAAGGAATCGAATGGAATGGACTCGAATGGAATGGACTCGAATGGAATAGACAGGAACAAAATGGAATAGAAAAGATTGGAATTCAACGGAATGGACTCGATGGGAATGGAGTCAAATGGAATGGAATGGAGTAGAATGGAATTGAAAGGAATGGAGTATAATGGAGAGATATCAAATGGAACGGAATGGAATGGACAAGAATGGAATGGACTGCAGTGGAATGGACTCGAATGGAATGGAAAGGAATGGAATGGAAAGGAAAGGAATGGAATGGAATGGAATAGAATGGAATGGAAAGGAGTCGAATGGAATGGAATCAATTGGAATGTCATCATATGGACTGGAATGGAATGCAATGGACTCGAATGGAATGGACTGGAATGGAATTGAATGGAGTGGAAAGGCATCGAATGGAATGGAATGCAATGGAATGGAATGGAATGGAATGGAATGGACCCAAATGTAATGGATTCGAATGGAATCAACTCAAATAGAATGGATTCAAAAGGAATGATCTCGAATGGAATTTATTCGAAAAGAATGGAATTGAATGGAAATCAATAGTATGGAATGGAATCAAATGGAATGGATTCGAATGGAATGGAACAGAATGGAATAGATTGGAATAGAATGGAGTAGAATGTAATGGATTGCATTGTAATTGATTCGAATGGAATGGAATCGATGGAAATTTTTCAAATGGAATTGATGGAATGCAATGGAATGGAATAGAAAGAAATGCAGTGTAATGGAACGGAGTGGAATTGAGTGGAATGGAATGGAGAAAAATGGAATCGAATGGAATGTAATCTAATGGAATTGAGTCAAATGGAATTGACTGGAAAAAAATGGAATCGAATGGATTGCAATCAAATGGAACGGAAAAGAATGGGATAGATTGCACTCTAATGGAATGGAGTCGAATGGAATGGAACCGAATGGAATGGAATTAAATAGAATGGAATTGAACGGAATCAAATGGAATAGAATGGAATGGAGTGAAATGGAGTGATATTGAATGGAATGGAACGGACTTGAATGAAATGGACTGGAATGGAATGGAACCTAATGGAATGGAATTCAATGGAATCAAAAGGAAAAGAACGGAATGGAGTGTAATGGAAAGATATCGAATGGAATGGAATGGAATTGAATGGAATGGAGTCGAATGGAATGGACTTTAATGGAATGGACTCAAATCGAATGGACTGAAGTGGAATGGGCTCGAATGGAATGGAAAGGAATAGAATGGAATGGAATTGGATGAATGGAATGGAATGGAGTCGAATGGAATAGAATCGAATGGAATGGCATCAAATGGAATGGAATGGAATGGAATGGAATGGACTCGAATGGAGTAGAATCAAATGGAATGGCACTGAATGGAACGGAATGGAATGGAATGGAATGGACCCAAATGTAATGGACTCGAATGGAATAAACACAAATAGAATGGACAAGAAAGGAATGGTCTTGAATGGAATTTATTCGAATAGAATGGAATTGAATGGAATGCAATAGTATGGAATGTAATTGAATGTAATGGACCGGAAAGGAATAGACCGGAATAGAACGGACTCGAATGTAATGGAATGCAATGCAACGCAACGGATTTGAATGGTATGGAATCGAATGGAATGAAATCAAATGGAAAGTAAGTGTATGCAATGGAATGGAACAGAATGCAATGCAATGGAATGGAACGGAGTGGAATCGAGTGGAATTGAATCGAATGGAATGAAATTGAATGGAATGGACTGAAATGGAATGGACTCGAATGGATTGGACTGGAACAAAATGGAATTGAAAGGATTGGAATCGAACAGAACAGAATGGAATGGAATGGAATGGACTCGATTGGAATGGAGTCAAACGGAATGAAACCGAACAGAATGAATCGAATTGAATGGACTTGAATGGAATCGAAATGAATAAAATGGATTGGAGTGTGATGGAAAGATATGCAATGGAATGGAATGTAATGGACTCGAAGTTAATGGACTGGAATGGAATGTAATTGAATGGAATGGACTGGAATGGAATGGTCTCGAAATGAATGGAAACGAAATGAATGCAATGGAATAGAATGGAATGGAATTGAATGGAAAGGAATTGGTTTGGAACTGAAAGGAATGGAATGGAGTCAAATGTAATATAATCCAACAGAATAATATTGAATGGAATGGAATGCAATGGAATGGAATGGAATAGAATGGAATGGAATGGACCCAAATGTAATGGACTCGAATGGAATGGACTCAAATAGAATGGACTCAAAGGGAATGGTCTCGAATGGAATTTATTTGAATAGACTGGAATAGAATGAAATGCAATAGTATGGAACGGAATCGAATGGAATGGAAGTGAATGGAAAGGACTGGAATGGAATGGACTGGAATAG
This sequence comes from Homo sapiens, assembly GCF_000001405.40. NCBI lineage: Eukaryota > Metazoa > Chordata > Mammalia > Primates > Hominidae > Homo > Homo sapiens. The sequence continues at coordinate 38,864,122 of NC_000010.11, forward strand.
AACAGACTCAAATGTAATGGACTGCAATATAATAGAATCGAACGGAAAGGAATCGAATGGAATGTAATCAAATGGAATTGAATGGAATGCAATGGAATGGAATATAATGGAATGAAATGGAATGGAATATAATGGAATGCAATGGAATGGAATGGAATGGAATGCATTGAAATGGAACAGAGTGGAATTGAGTGGAATGGAATCGAAAAGAATGGAATTGAATGGAATGGACTGGAATGGAATGTACTTGAATGGAATGGATTTGAACAAAATGGAATCGAAAGCATTGGAATGGAATGGAATGGAATGGAATGGAATGGAAAGGAATGTGATGGACTCGAAACTAATGGAGTTGAATGGAATGGAATCAAATGGAATGGAATTGAATAGAAAGGAATTGAATGGAAATGAAATGAATAGAACGGAAGGGAGTGTGATGGAAAGATTTCGAATGGATTGGAATGGAATGGACACGAGTGGAACGAAGTGAAATGGAATGGACTCGAAGGGAAAGGACTGGAGTGGAATGGACTCGAATTGATTGGAAATCAATTGCATGGAATGAAATGGAATGGAATGGAAAGGAATACAGTGGAAAGGAATCGGATGGAACAGAATGGAATGGAACGAAGACAAATGGAATAGAATCGAATGGAATGGCATCGAATGGAATGGAATGGAATGGACACGAATGGAATGGATGCAAATGGAATAGAATCGAATTGAATGGCATCGAATGGAATGGAATTTAATGGAATGAACTCGAATGGAATGGACTGGAATGGAATGGACTCGAATGGCATGGAAAAGAATGGAATGGAATGAAAAGGACTGGAATGGAAAGAATAGAATGGAATGGAATCAGATGGATCAGAATGGAATGGAATGCAGTCAAATGGAATGGAAAGGAATGGAATGGAATGGAAAGAAATAGAATGGAATGGAATCAGATGGATCAGAATGGAATGGAATGCAGTCAAATGGAATAGAATAGAATGGAATGGAATCGCATGTAATGGAATGGAATGGAATGGAATGGAATGGAATGGACTAGAATGGAATGGAAACGACTGGAATGGAATGGAATGGACTAGAATGGAATAGAATAGAAAGGAATGGCATCGAATTGAATGGAATGGATTGGAATGGAATGGACACAAATGTAATGGACTCAAATAGAATGGACTCAAATAGAATGTACTTGAAAGGAATGGTCTCGAATGGAAATTATTTGCACAGAATGGAATCGAATGGAATGCAGTGGTATGGAATGGAATTGAATGGAATTGAATCGAATGGAACGGAACATAATGGAATGGACTGGAATAGAACAGACTCAAAAGTAATGGATTGCAATGTAATTGATTTGAATGTAATGGAATTGAATGAAATGTAATCAAATGGAACAGAATGGAATGCAATGGAATGGAATACAATGGAATGCAATGGAATGGAACGAAGTGGAATTGAATGGAATGGAATCGAATGAAATGAAATCGAATGGAATAGAATCAAATGGAATGGACTGAAATGGAATGGACTCGAATGTAATGGACTGGAAAAAATGGATTAGAATGGATTGGAATTGAACCGAAAGGAATGGAATGGAATGGAATGGAAGAGCAAGGACTTGAATGGAATGGAGTCGAATGGATTGGAACCGAATGGAATGGAATTGAATGGAATCGATAGGAATAGAATGGAATGGTGTGTTGTGGACAGATATCAAATGGAAGGGAAGGAATGGAATGGACTCGAATGGAATGGACTGGAATGGAGTCGACTCAAATGGAATAGACTGGAGTGGCAACGACTGGAATGGAACAGAAACGAATGGAATGGAAAGAAAAGGAATAGCATGGAATGGTGTCGCATGGAAATGAATGGAAAAGAATGGAGTCGAATGGAATAGAATCGAAAGGATTGGCATCGAATGGAATGGCCTCGAATTGAATGGAATTGAAAGGAATAGAATTAAATGTAATGGCATCGAATGGAAGGGAATGGAACCAAATGGAATGGAATGGACTCGAATGGTATGGAATCAAATGGAAAGGAAATGAATGAAATGGAATTGAATGGAATCAAAAGGAATAGAATGCAATGGAGTGTCATGGAAAGATATTGAATGGAATGGAATGGACTGGATTCGAATGGAATGGACTGGAATGGAATGGACTCGAATGGAATGAACTGGAGTGGAATGGACTCAAATGGAATGGAAACGAACGGAATGGAATCAAATAGAATGGAAAGGAATAGAATGGAATGAATGGAAGTGGATGGAAAGGAATGGAATGGAATGGACTCGAATAGAACAGGAGCCAATGGAATGACATGGAATGGGAAGGAAAGGAATGGAATGGAATGGAATGGACTCGAATGGAATTGGGTCGAAAGGAATAGAATTGAATGGAATGGCATCGAATGGAATGGAATGGAATGGAATAGACCAAAATGTAATGGACAGAAATATAATGGACTCAAATAATATGGACTAGAATGCAATGGTCTCGAATGGAATTTATGCGAATAGAATTGAATCAAATGGAAAGCAATAGTATGGAATGGAATCGAATGGAATAGAATCGAATGGAAGGGACTGGAATGGAATGGACTGGAATAGAACTGACATGAATGTAATGGACTGCAATGTAATTTATTCGAATGCAATGGAATCAAATGGAATGTAATCAAATGGAATAGAATGGAATGCAATGGAATGGAAGAGAATGGAATGCAAAGGAATGGAATGGGGTGGAATCACGTGGACTGGAATACAATGGAAGGGAATCGAATGGAATACAATGGATTGGAATGGACTGGAATGGAATGGACCCCAATGGAATCGACTGGAATTAAATGGAATCAAACAGATTGGAATCAAACAGAACAGAATGTAATGGAATGGAATGGAATGGACTCAAATAGAATGGAGTCGAATGGTATGGAACCGAATGGAATGGGATCGAATGGAATGGAATTGAATGGAATCATAGGGAATAGAATGGAGTGGAGTGTAATGGAAATATATCGAATGGAATGGAATCGAATGGACACGAATGGAATGGACTGGAATGGAATGGACTCGGATGGAATGGACTGGAGAGGAATGGACCATAATGGAATGGAAGCGAATGGTATGGAATGGAATGGAATGGGATGGAATGGAATGGAATGGGATGGAATGGAATGGAATGAAATGGAATCGGATGGAACGGAATGGAATGGAATGGAGTCGAATGGAATAGAATCGAATGGAATGGTATGAAAAGGAATGGAATGGAATGGAATGGAATGGAACAGACTCAAATGGAATGGACTCGAATGGAAGAGAATCAAATGGAATGGCATCGAATGGAATGAAATGGAATGGAATGGACCCAAATATAATGGACTCGAAAGTAATGGTCTCAAATGGATTTTATACGAATAGAATGGAATCGAATGGAATGCAATAGTATGGAATGGAATCGAATGGAATGGATTGGAATGGAATGGACTGGAATAGAACGGACTCGAATGTAATGGATTTCAATATAATTGATCCAAATGGAATGGAAACGAATGGGATGTAATCAAATGGAATGTAAAAGAATGCAATGGAATGCAATAGAATGGAATGCAAAGGAATGGAATGGAGTGGAATAGACTGGAATGGAATGGAAAGGAATGGAATCCAATGGAATGGTACCTAATGGAATGGATTGTAATGGTATGGACTCGAACGGAATGGACTGGACCAAAACGGAAACGAATGGATTGGAATCGAACGGAATGGAGTGGAATCAAATGGAATGGAATGGCGTCAAAATGAATGGAACCGAATGGAAAGGAAACGAATAGAATGGAATTGAATGGAATCGAAAGGAATAGAATGCAATGGAGGGTAATGGAAAGATATCGAATGGAATGGAATGGAATGGAATGGAATGGAATGGAATGAAACGGCCTGGAATGGAATGGACTCGAATGGAACGGACTGGAGTGGAATGGATTCGAAAGGAGTGGAATGGAATGGAAGGGAAGGGAATGGAATGGAAAGGAATAGACGGGCATGGAATAAGAAGGAACGGAATGGAATGGAATGGAGTTGAATGGAATACAATCGAAAGGAATTGCATTGAATGGAATGGACTGGAATGGAATGGAGCTGACTCGAATGAAATGGAAACGAATGTAATGGAATGTAATGGAATGGAATGGAAAGGAATAGAATGGAAGGGAATCGGATGGAACAGAATGGAATGGAATGGAGTCGAATGGAATAGAATTGAATGAAATGGCATCGAACGGAATGGCATCGAATGGAATGCAATGGAATGGACTCGAATGGAACAGCATCGAATGGAATGGACTCGAATGGAATGGACTCGAATGGAACAGCATCGAATGGAATGACATCGAATGGAATGGAATGGAATGGAATGGAATGGAGTGGAATAGAATGGGATGCAACGGAAAGGAATGGAGTGGAGTTGAGTGGAAAGAAATCGAATGGAAACAAATAGAATGGAATGGATTCGAATGGAATGGAGTGGAATGGAATGGACTCGAATGAAATGGAATGGAACAAAATGGAATCGTACGGATTGGAATCGAATGCCATGGATTGGAATGGAATGGACTCTAATGGAATGGAGTCGAATGGAATGGAATCAAATGGAATGGAATTGAATGGAATACAAAGGAATAGAATGGAAAGGAGTGTAATGGAAATATATTGAATGGAAAGGAATGGAATGGAATGGACTCAAATGGAATAGACTGGATTTAAATGGATTCGAATGGAATGGAGTCCAGTGGAATGGACTCGAATGGAAAGAAAAAATGGAATGGAATGCAATGGAAAGGAATAGAATGGAATGGAATTGGATGGATCAGAATAAAAAGGAATGGAATCGAAAGGAATGGAATCGAATGGAAATTCATCGAATGGAATGGAATGGAATGGAATGGAATGGAATGGAATGGAATTGAATGGAATGGAATTGACTGTAATAGAGTCGAATGGAATGGAATTGAATGGAATCGAAAGGAGTGGAATGGAATGGAGTGTTATGGAAAGATATCAAATGGAATGAAATGGAATGGATTCGAAAGGAATGGACTGGAATGGATTGGACTCCAATGGAATGGACTGGAGAGGAATGGACTCGAATGGAATGGAAATGAAGGGAAAGGAAGAGAACGGAATGGAATCAGATGGAAAGGAACGGAAAGGAATGGAGTCAAATGGAATGAATTGTAATGGAATATATTTGAATGAATGGACTGGAGTGGAATGGAATTGAATGCAATGGAAACGAGTGGAATGGAATGGAATGGAATAGAATGGAATGGAATGGAATGGAATGGAAAGGAATGGAATTGAAAGGAATTTATTGGAATGGAATCTGATGGAACGGAATTGAATTGTATGGAGTCGAATGGAAGGGAACAAATTGAATGGCATCAAATTAAATGGAATGGAATCAAATGGAATGGAATCGAAAGGAATGGACTGGAATGGAATGGAATCGAATGGAGTGGACTGCAAAAGAAAGGAATCGAATGTAATGCAATGGAATGGAATGGAGTCAAATGGAATGGACTGCAAGAGAAAGGAATCGAACAGATTAGAATCGAATGGAACGGAATGGAGTGGAAAAGAATAGAATGGAATGGAATGCAATGGACTCAATTGGAATGTAGTCGAATGGAATGGAATCGAATAGAATGGAATCGAATAAAAAAGGAATTGAATGGAATTTAAAGGAATAGATTGGAATGGAGTGTAATGGAAAGATACCTAATGGAATGGACTTGAATGGAATTGACTGGAATGGAATGGACTGGAGTGGAATGGACACGAATGGAATGGATATGAATGAAACGGAATGCAATGGAATGGATTGGAATGGAATAGAATGGAAAGGGATTGGATGGAACGGAATGGAATGGAATAGATTTGACTGGAATAGAATCAAATGAAATTTCGTCAGATGGAAGGGAATGGAATGTACTCGAATTGAATGGACTCGAATGGAATTGAATGGAATGGACTGTCATTGAATGGAATGGAATGGAATGCAAAAGGAATGAAATGGAATGGAATGGACCGAAATGTGATGGACTCGAATGGAATGGACTTGAATGGAATTGAATGGAATGGACTGTTATTGAATGGAATGGAAAGAAATGCAAATGGAATGGAATGGAATGGAATGGAGCGGAATGGAATGGACCCAAATTTAATGGAGTCGAATGGAATGGACTCAAATTTAATGTACTCGAATGGAATGGACTCGAATGGAATTGAATGGAATGGACTGTCTTTGAATGGAATGGAATGCAAATGGAATGGAATGGAATGGAGTGGAATGGACCCAAATGTAATGGACTCAAATAGAATGGACTCGAAAGGAATGGTCCTGAATGGAATTTATTCAAATAGAATGGAATCGAATGGAATGCAATAGTATGGAATGGAATTGACTGGAATGGAATTGAAAGGAAAGGACTGGAATGAATGGGGTGGAATAGAATGGATTCGAATATAATGAATTGAAAAGTAATTGATTCAAATGGAATGGAATCAAACGGAAAGTAATAAAATGGAACGGAATGGAATACAATAGAATGGAATAGAATGGAATGCAATGGAATGGAATGAAGTGGAATCGCGTGGAATGGAATCGAATGGAATATAATCGCAAGGATTGGAATCAAACGGAATGAACTGGAACAAAATGGAATCAAAAGGACAGGAATCGAACAGAATGGAATGGAATGGAATTGACTAGAATGGAATGGATTCGAATGGAATGGAACCGAGCGGAATGGAATTGAATGGAGTGGAATTGAATGGAAACAAAAAGAAAAGAATGGAATGGAGTGTAATTTAAAGATATCAAATGGAAAGGAATGGAATGGACTCGAATGGAATGGACTGGAATAGAATGGACTGGAATACAATGGAATGGAGTGGAATGGACTCGAATGGAATGGAAGGGAATGGAATTGAAAGGAGTAGAAAGGAACTCAATCATGTGTAACGGAATGGAATGTAATGGAGACAAATGGAATAGAATCGAATGGAATGGCATCGAATGGAATGGAATTGAATGGAATGGATTCCAATGGAATGGAATAGAACAAAAATGGAATTGAACGGACTGGAATAGAATGGAATGGAATGGAAGGGACTCGAATGGAATGGAGTCAAATGCAATGGAACCGAATGGAATGGAATTGAATGGAATGGAATTGAATTGAATAGTATGGAATGGAATGGAATGGAAAGATATTGAGTGGAATGGAATGGAATTGAATGGACTCGGATGGAACGGACTGGAATGGAATGGAGATGAATGTAATGGACTGGAGTGGAATGGACTCGAATGGAATCGAAACGAATCGAATGGAGGGAATGGAATTGAAAGGAATAGAATTGAACAGAATCGGATGAAATGGAATAGAATGGAATGGAGACTAATGGAACAGAATCGAATGGAATGACATCGAATGGAATGGAATGAAATGAAATGGACACGATTGGAATAGAACAGAATGGAATGAGATCGAATGGCATGGAAAGGAATGGAAAGGAATGAAATGGAAAGGAATGAAATGGAAAGGAATGGAATGGAACCAATTATAATGGACTAGAATTGAATGGACTCAAATAGATTGGACTCCAAAGGAATGGTCTCGAATGGAATTTATTCGAATAGAATGGAATCGAATGGGAGGCAATAGTATGGAAAGGAATAGAAAGGAATGGAATCAAATGGAATTCACCAGAATGGAATGTATTGGAATAGAATGGACTCGACTGTAATGGATTGCAATGTAATTGATTTGAACGGAATGGATTCAAATATAATGTAATCAAATAGAATGGAATGGTATGAAATGGAAAGGAATAGAATGGAATGTAATAAAATTGAAGGGAGTGGAATTAAGTGGAATGGAATCGAATGGAAAGGAATCAAATGGAATGGACAGGAATGGAATGGACTCGAATAGAATGGACTGGAACAAAATGGAATCGAATGGATTGGATTCGATTGGAACGGATTGGAATGGAATGGAATGTAATCCAAAGGCATGGAGTCAAATGGAATGGAACCAAATGGAAAGGAAATGAATGAAATGGAATTGAATGGAATTGAAAGTATAGAATGGAATGGAGTGTAATCTAGAGATATCGAATGGAATTGAATGGAATGGACTCGAATGGAATGGAGTTGAAAGGAAAGAATCGAAAGAAATGGAATTGAATGGAATGGAATTGAATAGAATCGAAAGACAGAATAGAATGGAGTGTAACGGAAAGATATCGAATAGAAAGGAATGGAATGGAATGGATTTGAATGGAATGGATTTGAATGGAATGGACTCGAATGGAAATGACTGGAATGGAATGGACTACAATGGAATGGACTGGAGTGGAATGGACTGGAATGGAAGGGAGAAGAATGGAATGGAATGGAATGGAAAGGAATAGAATGGAATGAATTCGGATTTCATGGAATGGAATGGAATGGAATGGAATCGAATGGAAGAGAATCGAATAGAATGGCATCAAATAGAATGGAAAGGAATGGAATGGAATGGAATGGACTCCAAATTAATAGACTCGAATGGAATAGAATCAAATGGAATGGCCTTGAATGGAATGGAATGGAGTGGAATGGAATGTAATGGAATGGAATGGAGTCAAATGGAATAGAATCAAATGAAATGGCATCGAATGGAATGGAACGGAATGGAATGGAATGGAATGGAATGGAATGGAATGGACTCAAATGTAATGGACTCGAATGGAATGGACTCAAAGAGAAAGGATTCGAAAATAATGTTCTCGAATGGAATTTATTCGAATACAATGGAATCGAATGGAATGCAATAGTATGGAATGGAATCGAACGGAATGGAATCGAATGGAATAGACCAGAATGGAATGGACTGGAATAGAACGGACTCGAATGTAATGGATGGCAATGTAATTGATTCGAATGGAATGGAATATAATGGAATGTAATCAAATGGAATGGAATGCAAAGCAATGGAATGGAATAGAATGGAATGCAATGGAATGGTACGGTGTGGAATTGAGTGGAATGGAATCGAATTGAGTGGAATCGAAGGGAAAAGAATCGAATGGAATGGACTGGAATGGAATGGACTCGAATGGAATGGACTGCAACAAAATGGAATCATACGGATCGGAATCGAATGCAATGGAATGAAATGAAATGGAATTTACACGAATGGAATGGAGTTGAATGGAATGGAATAGAATGGAATGGAATGGAATGGATTCGTAAGGAATAGAATGCAACGGAGTGTAATGGAAAGTTATCAATTGGAATGGAATGCAATGGAATCGAATGCAATGGACTGGAATGGAATGGACTAGAATGGAATGGGCTGAAGTGGAATGGACTTGAATGGAAAGGAAACGAATGGAATGGAATGGAATGGAATGGAAAGGAATAGAATGGAATGGAATTTGGTGGAACGGAGTGGAATGTAATGGAGTCTAATGGAATAGAATACAATGGAGTGACATCAAATGAAAAGGAATGTTATGGAATGGACTCGATTGGAATGGATTCGAATTGAATGGAATCGAATGGAATGGAATGAAATATAATGGAATTGAATTGAATCGAAAGGAATAGAATGGAATGGAGTAAAATGTAAAGAAATTGAATGGAATGGAAAGGATTGGACTCGAATGGCATTTACTGGAATTGAATGGACTCTTATGGAATGGACTGGAGTGGAATGGACAAAAAAGTTATGGAAACTAATGGAATGGAATGGAGAGGAATAGAATGGAATGGAATAGGATGGAACGGAGTGGAATGTAATGGAGTTTAATGGAATAGAATCCAATGGAGTGACATTGAATGGAATGGAATGGACTCGAATGGAATGGACTGGAACAAAATGTAATAGAATGGATTGGAATTAAACGGAACTGAATGGAATGGACTCGAATGGAATGGAGTGAAATGGAATGGAACTTAATGGAATGGAATTGAATGGAATTGAAAAGAAGAGAATGGAATGGAGTGTAATTTAAAGATATGCAATGGAATGCAATGGAATGGAATGGAATGGAATGGAATGGCCTCGAATGGAATGGACTGTAATGGAATGGACTCGAAATGAATGGACTGGAAAAAATGGAATCGAATGGATTGAAATTGAAAGGAACTGAATGAAACGGAATGGAATGGAATTTAATGGACTCGAATGGAATGGAGTCGAATGGAATGGAATCAAATGCAATGGAAGCAAATGGAATGGAATTTAAAGGAATTGAAAGGAATAGAATGGAATGGAGTGTAATGGAAAGATGTCGAATGGAATGGAATGGAATGGAATGGAATGGAATGGACTAGAATAGAATGGAGTCGAATGGCATGGAACCGAATGGAATGGAATTGAATGGAATCGAAAGGAATAGAATGGAATGGAGTGTAATGGAAAGATAACCAATGGAATGGAATGGAATGGAATGGACTTGATGGGAAGGGAGAGGAATGGAATGGACTAGAATGGAATGGTCAGGAGGGGAATAGACTCGAATAGAATGGAAACGAATGGAATGAAATGCAGTGGAATGGAATGCAATGGAATGGAATGGAAACGAATGGAATGAAAAGGATTGGAATGTAATGCAATGGAATGGAATGGAATGGAAATGAATGGAATGAAAAGGATTGGAATGGAATGCAATGGAATGGAATGGAAAGGAATATAATGGAATGGAATATGATGCAACGTAATGGAATGGAATGGTGTGAAATGAAGTAGAATCAAATGGAATGCCATCAAATGGAATGGAATGGAATGGAATGGACTCGAATGGAATGGACTCGAATGGAATAGAGTCAAATGGAATGTCATAGAATGGAATGGAATGGAATGGAATGGAATGGAATGGAAGGGAATGCAATGGACCCAAATGTAATGGACTAGAAAGCAATGGAATCAAATTGAATGGAATCGAAAGTAGTGCAAGAGTACGGAATGGAAACGAATGGAATGGTGTCAAAAGGAATGGACTCGAATGGAATGGACAGGAATTGAATGGATTCACATGGATTGGACTGGAGTCGAACGGACTCAAATGGAATGGATACCAGTGGAATGGAATTGAATGGAATGGAAAGGAATAGAGTGGAATGGATTTGAATGGAATGGAAAGGAAAAGAACGGAATGGAATTAGATGGATCGGAATGGAATGGAATGCAGTCGAATGAAACAGAATTGAATGGAATGGCATCGAATGGAATGTAATGGAATTTTATGGAATGGACTAAAATTGAATAGAATAGAAGGGAATGGCAGTGAATGGAATGGAATTGAATGGAGTAGACCCAAATGTAAAGAAATCTAATGGAATGGACTCAAATAGAATGGACCCAAAAGGAATGGTCTCAAATGGAATTTATTTGAATAGAATGGAATCGAATGTAATGCAATAGTATGGTTTGGAATAGAATCGAATGGAATCGAATGGAATGGAACGGAATAGAATGGACTGGAATAGAGCAAAATCGAATGCAATGGATTGCAAAGTAATTGATTCGAATGGAATGGAATCAAAAGGAATGTAATCAAAGTGAATGGAATGGAATGCAATGGAATGGAATAGAATGGAATGCAATGGAATGGAACGGAGTGGAATCGAGTGGAATGGAATCGAATGGAATGGAATTGAATGGAATGTCCTGGAATGGAATGGACTCGAATGGAATTTACTGGAACAAAATGGAATCAAACGGATTGGAATCAAACAGAACAGAATGGAAAGGAATGGAATGGACTCGAGTGGAATGGTTTTGAATGTAATGTAACCGAATGGAATGGAATCGAATGGAATGGAATTGAATGAATTCGAAAGCAATAGAATGGTGTGGAGTGTAGTGGAAAGATATCGAATGGAATGGAATGGAATGGACTCTAATGGAATGGACTGCAACTTAATGGACTCAAATGAATGGGCTCGAGACGAATGGACTAGAATGGAATGGAAATGAATCGAATGGAATTGAGTGCAATGGAAAGGAATAGAATGGAATGGAATCAGAAGGAACTGAATGGAATGGAATGGAGACGAATGGAATAAAATCGAAATGAATGGCATAGAATGGAATGGAATGGAATTTAATGGAATGGACTCGAATGGAATAGAATCTCATGTAATGGCATGGAATGGAATGGAATGGAATGAACCCAAATGTAATGGACACTAATGGAATGGATTCATATAGAATGGATTCAAAAGGAATGGTCTCAAATGGAATATATTTGAATAGAATGGAATCAAAGGGAATGCAAAAGTATGGAATGGAATCGAATGGAATGGACCGAAATAGAATGGACTGGAATAGAATGGACACAAATGTAATGGATTGCAAAGAAATTGATTCGAATGCCTTCGAATAGAATGGAAGGCAATGAAATGGAATGGAATGGAATGCAAAGGAATGGAATAGAATGCAATGGAATGGAATGGAATGGAGTTGAATCGAGTGGAATGGTATCAAATAGAATGGAATGGAAATTAATGGAATGGACTCGAAAGGAATAGAATCTAATGTAATGGCATGGAATGGAATGGAATGGACCCAAATGTAATGGACCCTAATGGAATGGATTCATATAGAATGGACTCAAAAGGAATGGTCTCGAATGGAATATATTCGAATAGAATGGAATCAAAGGGAATGCAAAAGTATGGAATGGATTCGAATGGAATGGAATCGAATGGAATGTAATCAAATGGAATAGAATGGAATGCAATGGAATGGAACGGAATGGAATTGAGTGGAATGAAATCGAATGGAATGGAATCAAAAGTAATGGAATGCAATGGAATGGACTCAAATGTAATGGACTGGAACAAAATGGAATCTAACGGATTGGAATCATACGGAAGGGAAGGGAATGGAATGGAATGGAATGGAATGGATTCAAACGGAATGGTGTTGAATGGAATGGAACCGAATGGAATGGAATTGAATGGAATCAAAAGGAATAGAATGAAATTGAGTGTAATGGAAAGATATCGAATGGAATGGAATGGAATGGACTCGAATGGAATGGACTGGAGTGGAATGGACACGAATGGAATGGACCGGTGTGTTATGGACTCGAATGAAATGGAAACGAATGGAATGGAAGGGAATGGAATGGAATGCAAAGGAACAGAATGGAATGGAATCGGATGGAATGGAATGGAGTCGAATGGAAAAGAATCCAATGGAATGGCTTCGAATGGAATGGAATGAAATGGAATGGAACGGAAAGGATTCGACTCGAATGGAATGGACTCGAATGGAATAGAGTCGAATGGAATGGCATCGAATGAATGGAATGGAATGGAATGGCATGGAATGGAATGGAATGGACCCAAATGTAATGTACACAAATAGAATGGACTCCAAAAGGAATGGTCTCGAATGGAATTCTTTCGAAAAGACTGGAATCGAGTTGAATGCAATATTATGGAAATGAATCAAATGGAATGGAATCAAATGGAATGTAATCAAAAGGAATGGAACGGAATGCAATGGAGTGGAATAGAATAGAATGCAATGGAATGGAAAGGAGTGGGATCGAGTGGAATTGAATCGAATAAAATGGAATTGAATAGAAGGGAATCAATTGGAATGGACTGAAATGTAATGTACTCGAATGGATTGGCCTGGAAATAATTGGAATCGAACATATTGGAATTGAGTGGAATGGAATGGAGTGGAATGGAATGGACTCGATTGGAAGGTAGTCAAATGGAATGGAATTGAATGGAATGGAATCGAATACAATGGAAATGAATGGAATCAAAAAGAATAGAATGGAATGGAGTGTAATGGAAAGATATCGAATGGAATGGAATGGAATGGACAGGAAAGGAATGGACTCGAAAGGAACGGACTGGAGTGGAATGGACTCGAATGGAACGGACTGCAGTGGAATGGACTCGAATGAAAGGGAAACAAATGGAATGGAATGGAATGGAAGGGAAGGAAAAGGAAAAGAATGGAATGGAATCAGATGGAATGGAATGGAGTGGAATGAAGTCAAATGGAATAGAATCGAATGGAATGGCATCGAATGGTATGGAATGGAATGGACTCGAATGAAATGGACACAAATGGAATACAATGGAATGGAAGGGCAAGGAATAGAATGTAATGGAATGAAATGGAGTGGAATGGACACAAATGTAATGGACTTCAATGGAATGGACTCAAATAGAATGGACTCGAAATGAATGGTATTGAATGGAATTTATTCCAACAGAATGGAACCGAATGGAATGCAATAATATGGAACGGAATCGAATAGAAACGAATCTAGTGCAATGGACCAGAGTGGAGTGGACTGGAAGAGAATGCAGTCGAATGTAATAGATTGCAATATAATTGATTCGAATGGAATGGAATCAAATGTAATATACTCAAATGCAATGGAATGGAATACAATGGAATGCAATGTAATGGAACTGAGTGGAATTGAGTGGAATGGAATCGAGTGGAATGTAATCGAATGGAATGGAATCGAATGGAATGTTATGTTATGGAATGGACTGGAACAAAATTGTATCGAACCAACTGGAATGGATTGGAACGGAATGGAGCGGAATGGAATTAAATGGACCAGAATGGAATGGACTGTAATGGAATGGACTGGAACAAAATGGAATGGAACAGATTGAAATCACGCGGAATGGAATGGAATGGAATGGACTCGAATGGAAAGGAGTCAAATGGAATGGAATCGAATGGAATGGAATCGAATGGAATTGAATTCAATGGAATCGAAAGGAATAGAATGGAATGGAGTGTAATTGAAAGATATCGAATGGAATGAAATGGAAATGACTCGAATGGAATGGACTGGAATGTAATGGACATGATTGGAAAGGTACTGGAGTGGAATGGACTCGAATGCAAAGAAAACGAATGGAATTGAAAAGAATGGAACAGAAAGGAATAGAATGGAATGGAAGCGGATGGGATGGAATGCAGTGGAACAGAATGGTCTCAAATGGAATGGACTCGAATGGAATAGAATAGAATGGAATGGCATCGAATGGAATGGAAAGGAATGGAGCGTAATGGAAAGATATCAAATGGAATGGAATGGACTTCAATGGACTGGGCTGGATTAGAATTTTCTCGAATGGAATGGACTGGAGTGGAATGGACTGGAATGGAATGAAAATGAATGGAATGGAATGGAATGGAAAGGAAAGAATGGAATGGAATCAGATTGAAAGGAATGGAATGGAATGGAGTCAAATGGCATAGAATCCAATGGAATGGCTTCGAATGGAACGGAATGGAATGAAATGGAATGGAATGAAGTTGAATGGAATGGACTCAAATGAAATAGAATCGAATGGAATGGCATCGAATGGAATGGAATGGAAAGGAATGGAATAGACCCAAATGTAATGTATTCAAATGGAATGGACTCAATTAGAATGAACTTGAAAGGAATGGTCTCGAATGGAATTTATTCGAATTGAATGGAATCGAATGGAATGCAATAATATGGAATGGAATTGAATGGATGGAGTCAAATGGAATGGACCGGAATGGAAGGACTGGAAGAAAATGGACAGGAATGTAATGTATTGCAATGTAATTGATTCGAATGGAATGGAATCTAATGGAATGTAATCAAACGGGGAGGAAAGGAATGCAATGAAATGGAATAGAATGGAATGCACTGGAATGGAATGGAGTGGAATCGAGCGGAATGGAATCAAATGGAATGGAATAGAATGGAATGGAATCGATAGGAATGGATTGGAATATAATGGACTCGAATGGATTGGACTGGAAAAAAATGGAATCGGACAGATTGGAATCAAACAGAATGTAATGGAATTGAATGGAATGGACTCGAATGGAATGGAAAGGAATAGAATGGAATTGAAAGGGATTGAAAGGAATAGAATGGAATGGAGTGTAATGGACAGAAATCGAACCGAATGGAATGGAATGGACTCGAATGTAATGTACTAGAATTGAATTGACTCGAATGGAATGGATGGGAGTGGAATGGATGCGAATGGAAATGAAACGAATGGAATGGAATGGAATGGAATGGAATGGAATGGAATAGAATGGATTGGAATTGGATGGAACGCAATGGAATGTAATGGAGTCGAATGGAATGGACTCGAATGGAATGGAATGGCATTGAATGCAATTTAATGGAATGGAATGGACCCAATTGTAATGGACTGGAATGGAATGGACTCAAATAGAAGGGACTCAAAAGGAAGGGTCTCGAATGGAATTTATTCGATTAGAATGGAAAGGAATGGAATGCAATAGTATGGAATGGTATCGAATGGAATGGAATCGAATGGAGTGGACCGGAATGGAGTGGACTGTAATAGAATGGACAGGAATGTAATGGATTGCAATGTAATTGATTTTAATGGAATGGAATCGAATGGAATAGAAAGGAATGGAGTGGAATGGAAAGATAAAAAAGGAATGCAATTTAATGGAATGGACTCGAGTGGAATGGACTGGAATGGAATGCACTCGAATGGAATGGACTTGAATGGAATTGGCAGGAGTGGAATGGACTCGAATGGCATGGAAATTAATGGAATGGAATGGAATGGAAAAGTATAGAATGGAATGGAATGGGATGGAACGGAATGGAGTCGAATGGAATAGAATCGAGTGGAATGGCATCAAATGGAATGAAATGAAATGGAATGGAATGGACTCGAATGGAATGCACTTGAATGGAATATAATTGAATGGAATGGCATCGAATGTAATGGAATGGAATGTCATGGAATGGAAAGGACCCAAATGTATTGGAATCGAATGGAACCCAGCAATATGGAATGGAATCGAATGGAATGGAATCAAATGGAATGGACTGCAAAGGAATGGACTGGAATAGAACGGACACGAATGTAATGTATTGCAACGTGATTGATTCGAATGGTATGGAATCGAATGGAATGCAATCAAATGTAATGAAATGGAATGCAATGGAATGGAATAGAATGGAATGAAATGGAATGGAACACAGTGGAATCGAGTGGAATGTAATCGAATGGAATGGAATCAAATGGAATGTACTGGAATGGAATGGAATTGAATGGAATAAATTGGAACATAATGGAATCGAACGGATTGGAATTGAACGGAACGGAATGGAATGGAAAGGAATCGAATGGAATGGAGTCGAATGGAAAGGAATCAAATGGAATGGAATTGAATGGCATTGAATCGAATGAAATGGAGTTGAATGGAATGGAAAGAATAGAATGGAATGGAGCGTAATGGAAAGATATCAAATGAAATAGAATGGAATGGAATGGACTCGAATGGAATGGACTGGAATGCAATGAACTCGAATGAAATGGACAGTAGTGGAATGGACTCGAATGGAATGGAAACTAATGGAATGGATTTGAATAGAATGGAATGGAAAGGAATAGAATGGAATGGAATCAGATGGAAAGGAATTGAATGGAATGGAGTCAAATGGAATATAATCGAATGGAAAGGAATCAAATGGAATGGAATGGAATGGAATGCAATAGAACGGAATTGAATGTAATGGTTTCCAATGCTATTGATTTGAATGGAATGGAAACGAATGGAACGTACTCAAATGGAACGGAGTGGTATGCAATGGAATGGATTAGAACGGAATGCAGGGGAATTGAACGGAGTGGAATTGAGTGGAATGAAGTCGAATGGAATGGAATGGAATGGAAGGGAATCGAATGTAATGGACTGGAATGGAATGAACTCGAATGGTATGAACTGGAACATATTGGAATGGAAAGGATTAGAGTCGAACTGAAGGGAATGGAATTGAATGGATTGCAAGGGAATTGACTCAAATGGAATGGAGTCGAAAGGAATGGAACCGAATTGAATAAAATCGAATGTAATCAAATGGAAAGTAACGGAATGCAATGGAATGGAATAGAATGGAATGCAATGGAATGGAATGGAGTGGAATCAAGTGGAATTGAATTGAATGGAATGGAATCGAATGGAATGGAATAGAATGGAATGGAATCAAATAGATTGGAATTGAATGGAAATGAAAGGAATAGAATGGAATTGAGTGTAATTGAAAGATATCGAATGGAATGGAATGGAATGGACTCGAATGGAATGGACCCGAATGGAATAGACTGGAGTGGAATGGACTAGAAAGGAATGGAAACGAATGGAATGGAATGGAATGGAATGGAATGGAATAGAATGTAAAGGAATTGAAAAGAATGGAATGGAATGGAATAGAATGTAAAGGAATGGAAAGGAATGGAATGGAATGGAGTCGAATGCAATAGAATCGAATAGAATGGCATCGAATGGACTGGAAAGGAATGGTATGGAATGGAGAGAACTCGAATGAAATTGACTCAAATGGAATGGGCACAAATGGAATAGAATTGAATGGAATGTCACGGAATAGAATGGAATAGAATGGACAAAAAGGTAATGGACTCAAATGGAATGGACTCAAATAGAATGGACTCGAAAGGAATGGTCTCGAAAGAAACTTATTTCAATTGAATGAATTCTAACGGAAAGAAATAGTATGGAATGGAATCGAATGGAATGGCTTCGAATTGAATGGATCAGAATGGAATGGACTGGAATAGAATGGACTTGAATGCAATGGATTGCAATGTAATAGATTCAAAAGGAATGTAATCAAATGGAATGGAATGGAATGCAATGGAATGGAATAGAATGGATTGCAATGGAATGGAAAAGAGTGGAATCGAGTGGAATGGAATCAAATGGAATGGAATCGAATGGAATGGACTGGAATAAAATTGAATCGAATGGAACGGGATAGAATGGAATAGAATGGAATGGAATGGACTCGAATGGAATGGAGTCGAATGGAATGGAATCGAATGGATTGGAATCGAATGGAATGGAATTGAATTGAATCAAAAGGAATGGAATGGAAAGGAGTGTAATGGAAAGATATCAAATGATATGAAATGGAATTAAATGAAATGGACTTGAACAGAATGATCTGGAGTGGAATGGACTCTAATGGAATGGACTGGAATGGAATAGACTCGAATGGAATGGACTGGATTGGAATGGACATGAATGGAATGGAAACAAATAGAATGGAATGCAGTGGAATAGAATGGAACAGAATAGAATGGAATGGAATTGGATGGAACGGAATGGAATGGAATGGAGTCGAATGCAATAGAATCGAATGAAATGGCATCTAATGGAATGGACTGGAATTTAATGGAATGGAAGGGACTTTAAAGCAATGGATTCGAATGGAAGATAATCGAATGGAATGGCATCGAATGGAATGGAATGAAATGTCATGGAATGGAATTTACCCAAATGTAATGGACTAGAAACGAATGGACTCAAATAGAATGGACTCGAAAGGAATGGTCTGGAATGGAATTTATTCGAATAGAATGGAATTGAATGGAATGCAGTAGTATGGAATTGATTCAAATAGAATGGAATTGAAAGGAATGGACAGGAAAGGAATGGCATGGAATAGAATGGACACGAATGTAATGGATTGCAATGTGATTGATTCGAATGGAATGGAATCGAATTCAATGTAATCAAATGGAATGGAATGGAATGGAATGCAATGTAATGAAATAGAATGGAATCCGATGGAATGGAACGCAGTGGAATCGAGTGGAATGGAATCGAATGGAATGGACTGGAATAAAATGGAGTCGAATGGAATGGACTGGAACATAATGGAATCAAACGGATTGGAATTGAAAGGAAGGGAGTGGAATGGAATGGAATGGAATGGAATGGACTTGAATGGAGTGGAGTCGAATGGAATGAAATCGAATGAAAAGGATTTGAATGGAATCAAAAGGAAAAGAATGGAATGGATTGTGATGGAAAGATATCGAATGGAATGAAATGGAATGGAATGGACTCTAATGGAATGGACTGGAATGCAATCAACTCGAATGGAAAGGACTGGAGTGGAATGGACTTGACGGGAATGGAAACGAATGGAATGGAATGGAATGGAAAGGAATAGAATGGAATGGAATCGGATGGAATGGAATGGAATGGAATGGAATGGAGTCGTATGGAATATAATCGAATGGAATGGAATCAAATGGAATGGAATGACATTGAATGGAATGGGCTCAAATGGAATGGAATCGGATGGAATGGAATGGAATGGAATGGAGTCGTATGGAATATAATCGAATGGAATGGAATCAAATGGAATGGAATGAAATCGAATGGAATGGGCTCAAATGGAATGGACTCGAATGGAATGAATTAAATGGAATGGCCTGGAATTGAATGGAATGGAATGGAACCAAATATAATGGACTCGAACGGAATGGACTCAAATAGAATGTACTCAAAAGGAATGGTCTTGAATGAAATTTATTCAAATAGAATGGAATCAAATGGATTTGCAATAGTAAGGAATGGATTCAAATGGAATGGAATCGAATGGAATATACCGGAAAGGAATGGACTGGAATGGAATAGACTCGAATGGAATAGACTGGAGCAAATAGGAATCGAATGGATTAGAATCGAATGGAATGGAATGGACTCGAATTCAATGGAGTCTAATGGAATGGAATCGAATGGAATGGAATTGAATGGAAACGAAAGGAATAGAATGGAATGGAGTGTAATGGGAATATATGAAATGGAATGGAATGGAATGGAATCAAATGGAATGGACTGGAATGAAAAGGAATCTAATGGAAGGGACTGGAATGGAATGGACTCGAATGGAATGGAAACGAATAGAATGAAATGGAATGCAATGCAATGGAATGAAAGGTATAGTATGGAATGGAATCAAATGGAATGGAATGGAAGGGAATGGAGTCGAATGGAATATAATCGAATGGAATGGCATCGAATGAAATGGAATGGAATGGACCCAAATATAATGGAGTCGAATGGAATGGACACAAATAGAATGGATTTGAAAGGAATGGTCTCGAATGGAATTTATACAAATAGACGGGAATCGAATGGAATGCAATAGTATGGAATGGAATTGAATGGAATGGAAACAAATGGAATGGACTGGAATGGAATGGACTGGAATAGAACGGACTCGATTGTAACATATTGCAATGTAATTGATTCAAATGGAATCGAATGGAATGTAATCAAAAGGAATGGAATGGAATGCAATGGAATGGAATTGTATGGAATGCAATGGAATTTAATGGAGTGAAATCGATTGGAATGGAATTGAATGGAATGGAATAGAATGGAATGCAATCAAATGGAATGGAGTCAAATGGAATGAACTGGAACAAAATGGAATCAAATGGATTGCAATCAAAGGGAACGGAATGGAATGGAAACCAATGGAATGGAAAGGACTCGAATGGAATGGAGTCGAATAGAATGGAATTGAATGGAATAGAATCTAATGGAATTGAATCGAAGGAAATGGAATTGAAAGGAATCGAATGGTATAGAATAGAATGGGGTGTAATGGAAAGATATCAAATGGAATGGAATGGAATGAAATGGAATCGAATGGCATGGACTGGAATAGAATAAACTCGAAAGGAATGGAGTCAAAAGGAATGGAATCGAATGGAATGGAATTGAAAGGAATTAAAGGAATAGAATGGAATGGAGTGTAATGGAAAGATATCAAATGGAATGGAAAGGAAATGATTGGACTCGAATGGAATGGACTGGAATGGAATAGAATCTAATGGAATGTACTGGAGTGGAATGGACTCGAATGGAATGGACTGGAGTGTATTGGACTAGAATGGAATGGAAACGAAAGGAATGGAATGGAATGGAAAGGAATAGAATGGAATGGAATTGTATAGAACTGAAAGGAATGGAATGCAGTCGTATGGAATGGCATCAAATGGAAAGACTGGAATGGGATGGAATGGAATGGACTCGAATGGAATCGACTCAAATGGATTATAATAGAATGGAATGTCATTGAGTGGAATGGAATGGAATGGCATGGAAGGGAATGGAACCAAATGTAATGGACTCGAAAGGAATGGACTTAAATAAAAATGGACTCAAAAGGAATGGTTTCGAATGGAATTTATTCGAATAGAATGGAATCAAATGTAATGCAATAGTATGGAATGGAATCGACAGGATTAGAATAGAATGGAATGGACCGGAATGGAATGGACTGGTATAGAATGGACTCTCATGTAATGGATTGCAATGTAATTGATTCGAATGGAATGGAATCCAATGGACTGTAATCAAATGGAATGAAATGCAATGCAATGGAATGGAATAGAATGGAAAGCAATGGAATGGAACGGACTGCAATATTGTGGAATGGAATCGAATGGAATGGAATCGAATGGAATGGAATCGAATGGAATGGAAACGAATGAAATGGAATGGAATGGAATGGAAAGAAATAGGATGGAATGGAATCGGATGGATCTTAGTGGAATTTATTGGAGTCAAATGGAATAGAACCGAATGGAATGGCATCGAATGGAATGGAATGGAATGGAATCGAATGGAATGGAATCGAATGGAATAGAATAGAATAGAATGGCTTCGAATGGAATGGAATAGAATGAAACGGAATGGAATGGAATTTAATTGAATGGACAGAAATGTAATGGACTCGAATGGAATGGACTCAAATAGAATGGACTCGAAAGGAATGGTCTCGAATGGAATTTATTTGAATAGAATGGAATTGAATGGAATGCTATAGTATGGAATGGAATCGAATGGAATGCATACGAATGGAATGGACCGGAATATGATGGACTGGAATAGAATGGACTCGAATGTAATGGAATGCAATGTAATTGATTTGAATGGAATGGAATCGAATGGAATGCAATCAAAAGCAATGGAATGGAATGCAATGGAATGGAATTGAATGGAATGCAATGGCACGGAATGGAGTGGAACTGAGTGTAATGGAATCGAATGGAATATAATCTAAGGAATGGAATCAAATGGAATGGACTGGAATGGAATGCACTCGAATGGAATGGACTGGAATAAAATGAAATCGAACAGATTGGTATCAAATGGAACGGAATAGAATTGAATGGAATGGAACAGACTCGAATTGAATGGCGTCAAATGGAATGGAGTTGAATGGAATGTAATGGAATGGAATGGAATGGAATGGACTCGAATGGAAATGACTGGACTGGAATAGACTCGAATGGAATGTAAATGAATGGAATGGAATGGAATGGAACGAATACAGTGGAATGGAATCAGATGGAACAGAATGGAATGGAATGCAGTCGAATGGAATGTAATGGAATGGAATGGACTCAAATGGAATGGACTGGAATGGAATGGACTCGAATGGAAATGACTGGACTGGAATGGACTCGAATGGAATGGAAATGAATGGAATGGAATGGAATGGAACGAATACACTGGAATGGAATCGGATGGAAGAGAATGGAATGGACTGCTGTCGAATGGCATAGCGTCGAATGGAATGGCATCGAAAGGAATGGAATGGAATGGAATGGAATGGACTCGAATGCAATGGACTCGAATGGAATGGACTGGATTGGAATGGACTCAAATGGAATGGACTGTATTGGAATGGACTCGAATGGAATGGAATGGAATGGAATGGAATGGAAAGGAATAGAATGCAATGGAATCAGATGAAACGGAATGGAATGGAATCGGATGAAATGGAATAGAATGGCATGTAGTCGAATGGAATAGAATCAAATGGAATGGCATTGAATGGAATGGAATGGAATGGAATGGACTCGAATGGCATGAACTCGAATGGAATAGAACAGAATGTAATGGCATCAAATGGAATGGAAATGTATGTATTGGAATGGAAAGGATTGGAATGGTTCCAAATATAATGGACTCGAATGGAATGGACTCAAATAGAATGGACTCGAAAGGAATGGTCTCGAATGGAATTTATTCTAATAGAATGGAATCGAATGGAATGCAATAGTATGGAATGGAATCGAATGGAATGGAATCAAATGGAATGGAACGGAATGGAATGGACTGGAATAGAATGGACTCGAATTTAATGGATTGCAATTTATTTCATTTAAATGGAATGGAATCGATTGGAATGTAAAGAAATGGAATGGAATGGAATGGAATGCAATGGAATGGAATAAAATGGAAAGCAATGGAATGAAACGGGGTGGAATCGAGTGGAATGGAATGGAATGGAATGGAAACGAATAGAATGAACTGGAATGGAATGGACTGGAACAAAATGGAATCGAAAGGATTGGAATCGAACAGAAAGGAATGGAATGGAACTGAATGGAAAGGAATGGAGTCGAATGGAATGGAATCAAATGGAATGGAATCGAATGGAATGGAATTCAATGGAATGGAATGGAATGGAATGGAGTGTAATGGAAAGATATCAAATGGAATGGAATGGAATGGAACGTGATCGAATGGAATGGACTGGAATGGAATGGACTCGACTGTAAAGGAAACGAATGGAATGGAAAGGAATAGAATGGAATGGATTTGGATGGAACGGAATGGAGTGCAATGGAGTCGAAAGGAATAGAATTGAATGGAATTACATCGAATGGAATGGAATGCAATGGAATGGAAAAGAATGGAATGGACTGGAATGCAATGGACTCGGTTGGAATTTACTCGAATAGAATGGAATCAAAAGGTATGCAATAGTATGAAATGGGATCCAATGGAAGTGTATTGAATGGAATGGAATGGAATTGAATGGACTGGAATAGAACGGACGCGATAGTAATGAATGGAAATATAATTTATTCGAATGCCTTGGAATCGAATGAAATGTAATCAAATGGAAATGAAAGGAATGCAGTGGAATGGAATAGAATGGAATTCAATGGAATAGAACGGAGTGGAATCGAGTGTAAAGGAATTGAATCGAATGGAATCAAATCGAGTGGAATCGAACGGAATGGACTGGAAAGGAATGGAATCAAATGGATTCGACTGGAAGAAAATGTGATCGAATGCATTGGAATCAAATGGAACAGAATGGAATGGAATCGAATGGAATGGAATGGAATCGAATGGAATGGGGTCGAATGAAATGGAATGGAATGGAAAGGAATGAAATGGAATGGGTTGGAATGGAATGGAATAGAATGGAATAGAATGGAATGGAATTGGTTGGAAAGGAGTGGATTGGAATAGACTCGAATGGAATAGAATGGAATGGATAGGCATCTAACGGAATGTAATGGAATGGAATGGAGTCGAATAGAATGGACCCAAATGTAATGGACTCGAATGGAATGGACTCAAATAGAATGGACTCAAAAGGAATGGTCTCGAATGGAATTTATTCGAATATAATGGAATCGAATGGAATGCAATAGTATGTAATGGAATCGAATGGAATGCATTCAGATGGAATGGACCAGAATGGAATGGTCTGGAATACAATGGACTCGAAAGTATTTGGATTGCAATGTAATTGATTCGAAAGGAATGGAATAGAATGGAAAGTAATCAAATGGAATGGAATGGAATGCAAAGGAATTTATTGGAGTGGAATCAAGTGGAATGGAATCGATTGGAATTGAATCGAATGGAATGGACTGGAACAAAATGGAATCGAACAGATTGGAATTCAATGGCACTGAATCGATGGAATGGAATGGACTCGAATGGAAGGGAGTCGATTCGAATGGAACCAAATGGACTGGAATCAAAAGGAATGGAATGGAAT
This sequence comes from Homo sapiens, assembly GCF_000001405.40. Taxonomy (NCBI): domain Eukaryota; kingdom Metazoa; phylum Chordata; class Mammalia; order Primates; family Hominidae; genus Homo; species Homo sapiens. The sequence continues at coordinate 38,889,860 of NC_000010.11, forward strand.
AGAATGGATTGTAATGGAAGATATCGAATGGAATGGAATGGATTCAGATGGAATGGAGTCGAAAGGAGTGAAATTGAATGGAATGGAATTGAATAGAATCGAATGCAATAGAATGGAATGGAGTGTAATGGAAAATATCTAATGGAAAGGAATGGAAGGGAATGGACTCGAAAGTAATGGACTGGAATGGAATGGAAACGAATGGAATGGACTGGAGAGGAATGGACTCAAATGGAAAGGAATGAAAGGAATGGAATGGAATGGAATGTAAAGGAATGGAATTGAATGGAATCAGATGGAATGGAATGGAATGGAATGGAATGGAATGGAATGGAATGGACTCAAATGGAATAGAATCTAATGGAATGGTATCGAGTGGAATGCAATAGAATGGATTGGAAAGGAATCGAGTGGAATGGATTCGAATGGAACAGGATCAATGGAGTGGTATCGAATAGAATGGAATTTAACGGAATGGAATGGAAGGAAATATAATGGACTCTAATGGATTGGACTCAAATAGAATGGTATTGAAAAGAATGGTCTCGAATGGAATTTATTGGAATTGAATGGAATCAAATGGAATGCAATAGTATGTAATGGAATCGAATGGAATGCATTCAGATGGAATGGACCAGAAAGGAATGGTCTGGAATACAATGGACTCGAATGTATTTGGATTGCAATGTAATTGATTCGAAAGGAATGGAATAGAATGGAAAGTAATCAAATGGAATGGAATGGAATTCAAAGGAATTTATTGGAGTGGAATCGAATGGAATGGAATCGATTGGAATTGAATCGAATGGAATGGACTGGAACAAAATGGAATCGAACAGATTGGAATTCAATGGCACTGAATCAATGGAATGGAATGGACTCGAATGGAAGGGAGTCGATTCGAATGGAACCAAATGGACTGGATTCAAAAGGAATGGAATGGAATGGAATGGAATGGAATAGAATGGATTGTAATGGAAGATATCGAATGGAATGGAATGGATTCAGATGGAATGGAGTCGAAAGGAGTGAAATTGAATGGAATGGAATTGAATAGAATCGAATGCAATAGAATGGAATGGAGTGTAATGGAAAATATCTAATGGAAAGGAATGGAAGGGAATGGACTCGAAAGTAATGGACTGGAATGGAATGGAAACGAATGGAATGGACTGGAGAGGAATGGACTCAAATGGAATGGAATGAAAGGAATGGAATGGAATGGAATGTAAAGGAATGGAATTGAATGGAATCAGATGGAATGGAATGGAATGGAATGGAATGGAATGGAATGGAATGGACTCAAATGGAATAGAATCTAATGGAATGGTATCGAGTGGAATGCAATAGAATGGATTGGAAAGGAATCGAGTGGAATGGATTCGAATGGAACAGGATCAATGGAGTGGTATCGAATAGAATGGAATTTAACGGAATGGAATGGGAAGAAATATAATGGACTCTAATGGATTGGGCTCAAATAGAATGGTCTTGAAAAGAATGGAATCAAATGGAATGTAATAAAATGGAATGTAATGGAATGCAATGGAATGGAATAGAATGGAATGCAATGGAATGGAACAGAGGGGAATCGAGGGGAATGGATTCAAATGGAAAGGAATCGAATGGAATGGAATCAAATGCAATGGACTGGATTGGAATGGAATCGAATGGAATGGACTGAAATAAAGTGGAATCGAACAGATTGGAGTGGAATGGAATGGAATGGAATGGACTCGAATGGAATGGAGTCAAATGGAATGGAATCGAATGGTATGGAATTGAACGGAATGGAATTGAATGGAATCGAAAGGAATATAATGGAATGGTGTGTAATGGAAAGATATCGAATGGAATGGACTAGAAAGGAATGGACTGGACTGGAATGGACTGGAATGGAATAGACTAGAGTGGAATGGACTTGAATGGAATGGAAACGGATGGAATGGAATGGAATGGAATGGAACGGAAAGGAACAGAATAGAATCCAATTGGATGGAAAGGAATGGAATGGAATGTAGTCGAATGGAATAGAATCAAATGGAAAGGCATCAAATGGAATGGAATTGAATGGAATGGAATGAATTGGACTCGAATGGAATGGACTCGAATGGATTATAATCGAATTGAATAGCATCAAATGGAATGGAATAGAATAAAATAGAATCACATGGAACGGAATGGAGTGGAATGGAGTCGAATGGAATAGAATCAAATGGAATGGCATCGAATGGAATGGAGTGGAATGGAATGAAATGGACTCGAATGGAATGGACACGGATGGAATAGAATCGAATGGACTGGCATGGACTGCAATGGAATAGACAGGAATGGAATGGAATGGAATGTAATGGACCCAAATGTAATGGACTTGAATGGAATGGACTCAAATAGAATGCACTCGAAAGGAATGGTCTTGAATGGAATTTATTCGAATAGAATGGAATCGAATGGAATGCAATAGTATTTAATGGAATCGAATGTAATCTAATCAAAAGGAATGGAGCAGAATGGTATGGACTGGAATAGAATGGACTCGAATGTAACGGATTATAATGTAATTGATTCGAATGGAATGGAATCGAATGGAATGTAATAAAATGGAATGGAAGGGAATACAATGGAATGGAATAGAATAGAATGCAATGGAATGGAACGTAGTGGAATCGAGTGGAATGGAATCGAATGGAATGGACTGGAGTGGAATGGACTCAAATGGAATGGTCTGGAACAAAGTGGAATCGAATGGTTTGGAATCGAATGGAATGGATTAGAATGGAATGGAATGGAATGGACTCGAATGGAATTGAATTGAAAAGAGTCAAAAGGAATAGAATGTAATGGAGTGTAATGGAAAGACATCGAATGGAATGGAATTTAATGGAATGGACTTCAATGGAATGGAGTCTACTGAAATGGAATCGAATGGAATGGAATCGAATGGAATGGAATTGAATATAATTGAAAGGAATAGAAAGGAATGGAGTGTAATGGAAAGATATCTAATGGAAAGGAATGGAATGGAATGGACTCGAATGGAGTGGATTGGAATGGAATGGACTCGAATGGAGTGGAACTCTAAGGAATCGAACGGAATAGAATGGAATAGAGTGTAATTGCAAGATATCAAATGGAATAGAATGGACTCGAATGGAATGGAGTAGAATGGAATGGAATTGAATGGAATGGAATCAAATTGAATGGAATTGAGTAGAATCAAAAGGAATAGAAGGGAATGGAGTGTAAAGGAAAGATATCGAATGAAAAGTAATGGAATGGAATGGACTCGAATGGAATGGACTGGAGAGGAATGGACTCGAAAGCTATGGAAATGATTCAAATGGAATGGAGTGGAATGGAAAGGAATAGGATGGAATGGAATCGGATGGAATGGAATGGAATGGAAAGGAGTCGAGTGGATTAAAATCAAATGGAATGGCATCGGATGGAATGGAATGGAATGGAATAGACTGTGATGGAATGGACTTGAATTGAACACAATCGAATGGAATGGCATCAAATGGAATGGAATGGAATCAAATGGAATGGACTCAAATGGATTGGACTGGATCAAAACGCAATCGAACGGAATTGAATGGAATGGAATGGAATGGACTTGAATAGAATGGAATCGAATGGAATTTAACCGAATGGAATGAAATTGAATGGAATCGAAAGGGATAGAATGGAATGGAGTGTAATGGAAAGATATTGAATGGAATGGAATGGAATGGAATGGAATGGAATGGAACGGACTCGAATGGAACGGACTCGAATGAAATGGACTGGAGTGGAATGGACTTGAATGGAATGACATCGAATGGAATGGAATGGAACAGAATGGAATCGAATGGAATGGACTCGAATGGAATAGAATCGAATGGAATGGCATCGAATGGAATGGAATGGAATTGGATGGACCCAAATGTAATGGACTCGAATGTAACAGACTCAAATAGAATGGATTAAAAAGGAAGGGTCTCGAATGGAATTTATTCGAAAACGGTGGAATCGAATGGAATTCAATAGTATGGAATGGAATCGAATGGAATGGACCAGAGTGGAATGGACTGGAATAGAACAGACTAGAATGTAATGGATTGCAATCCAATTGATTTGAGTTGAATTGAATCAAATGGAATGTAATCATATGGAATGGAATGGTATGCAATGGAATGGAATAGAATGGAATGCAATGGAATGGAATGGAGTGGAATCGAGTGGAATGGAATCGAATGGAATGGACCATAATGGAATAGAATCGAATGTAATGGCATCGAATGGAATGGAAAGGAATGGAATGGAATGCAATGGAACAGATCCAAAAGTAATGGATACGAATGGAATGGACTCAAATAAAATGGACTCGAAAGGAATGGTCTCGAATGGAGTTTATTTGAATAGAATGGAATCCAAAGGAATGCAATAGCATCTAATGGAATCGAATGGATTTGAATCAAATGGAATGTACCGGAATGGAATGGACTGGAATAGAACAGACTCGAATGTAATGGATTGAATTGTAGTTGATTCGAATGCCATGGAATTTACTGGAATATAATCAAATTTAATGGAATGGAATGCAACGGAATGCAATAGAATGGCATGCAATGGAATGGAACGGAATGGAATCAAGTGGAATGGAATTAAATGGAATGTAATCTAATTGAATGGAATGGAATCGAAAGGAATGGAATTGAATGGAATGGACTGGAATGGAATGGACTCTAGTGGGATTGACTGGAACAAAATAGAATGTAACAGATTGGAATTGAACGGAATGGAATGGAATGGAAAGGAATGGACACGAATGGCATGGGGTCGAATGGAATGGAATCGAATGGAATGGACCAGAATGGAATGGAGAGGTATAGAATGGACTCGAATGTAATGGATTGTAAATATTTGATTCAAATGGATTGAAATTGAATGGAATGTAACGAAATGGAATGGAATGGAATGCAAAGGAATGGAGTAGAATGGAATGCAATGGAATGGAAGGGATTGGAATCGCATGGAATGGAATTGAATGGAATGAAATCGAATGGAATGTAGTCGTATGGAATGGACTGGAATCGAATGGAACAAAATGGCGTCGAACGAATTGGAATCGAATGGAATGGAATTAAATGGAAAATACTGGAATAGAAAAGACTCGCATGTAATGGAGAGCAATGTAATTGATTCAAACGGAATGGAACTGAATGGAACATAATCAAATGGAATGGAATGGAATGCACTGGAATGGAATAGAATGGAATGCAATGGAAAGGAACAGAGTGGAATCGAATGGAATTGAATCGATTGGAATGGAATCGAATGGAATGGAATCACATGGAATGGACTGGATTGGAATGGACACTAATGGAATGGAAACGCATGGAATGGAATGAAATCTAATGGAAAGGAGTAGATTGGAATGGAAACGGATGGAGCGGAATGGAATGGAATGGAGTAGAATGGAATAGAATCCATTGGAATGACATCGAATGGAATGGAGTGGAATCGTAAGGATTGGAATTGAATGGAATGGAGTGGACTCGAATGTAATGGACTCGAATGGAAGAGAATTGAATGGAATTGCGTCAAATTCAATGGAATGGAATGGAAGCAAAAGTAATGGACACAAAAGAAATGGACTCAAATAGAATGGACTCGAATGGAATGGTATTGAATGGAATTTATTCCAATAGAATGGAATCGAATGGAATGCAATAGTATGGAATGGAATCGAATGCAATGGATTCGAATGGAATGGATCGGAATGGAATGGAATGGAATACAACGAAGTCGAATGTAACGGAGTGCAATGTAATTGATTCGAATGCAATGGAATTAAATGGAATGTAATCAAATGAAATGGAATGGAATGCAATGGAATGGAACAGAATGCAATGCAATGGATTGGAACTGAGTGGAATCGAGTGGAATGGAATCGAATGGAATGGACTTGAACAAAATGGAATCAAAAGGATTGGATACAAACGGCACAGAATAGAATGAATGGAATGGAATGCACTCGAATGGAAAGGATTGGAATTCAATGGACTCGAATTGTATGAACTGGAGTGGGATGGAATCGAAAGGAATGGAAACGAATAGAATGGAATGGAATGGAATGGAAAGGAATTAAAAGGAATAGATTGGAATGGAATCGGATGGAATAGAATGGAGTCTACTGGAATAGAATTGAATGGAATGTAATCGATTGGAATGGACTTGAACAAAATGGAATCAAACGGATTGGATTCAAATGGCACAGAATAGAATGAATGGAATGGAATGCACTCGAATGGAAAGGATTGGAATGGAATGGACTCGAATTGTATGGACTGGAGTGGAATGGAATCGAATGGAATGGAAACGAATAGAATGGAATGGAATGGAATGGAATGGAGTGGAATGGAATGGAAAGGAATTAAAAGGAATAGATTGGAATGGAATCGGATGGAATGGAATGGAGTCAATTGGAATAGAATTGAATGGAATGGCATCAAATGGAATGGAATGGAATGTACTCGAAGGGAATGGTATCAAATGGCGTAGAATCAAATGGAATGGCAACGAATGGAATGGAATGGAATGGAATGGACCCAAATGTAATGGACATGAATGGAATGCACTCAAATAGAATGGACTCGAAAAGAATCAAATAGAATGGCCTCGAATGGAAAGGAATGGAATGGAATGAATCGGAAAGGAATAGAATGCAAAGGAATCGGATGGAATGGAATGGAAGGGAATTGAGTTGAATGGAATAGAATCAAATGCTATGGCGTCGAATGGTATGGAATGGAATGGAATGGAATGGAATGGAATGGAATGGAATGGACTCGAATGGAATGGACTGGAGTGGAATTGACTTGAATGGAATGGACTGGAATGAAACGGACTTGAATGGAATGGACTGAAGTGGAATGGACTGGAATGGAATGGACTCGAATGGAATGGACAGGAGTGGAATGGAGTCGAATGGAATGGAAAAAAATGGAATGGAATACAATGGAATGGAATATAAAGGAATAGAATGGAATGGAATCGGATGGAATGGAATGCAAGGGAATGAAGTCGAATGGAATAGAATCGAATGGAATGGCATCGAATGGAATTGTATATAAAGAACTCGAATGGATTTGACACGAATGGAATAGAGTCGAATGCAATCGCCTTGAATGGAATGGAATGGATTGGAATAGAATGGAATGGAATGGAATGGACACAAATGTATCGGACACGAATGGAATGGACTCAAATAGAATGGACTTGAAAGAAATGGTCTTGAATGGAATTTATACTAATAGAATGGAATCGAAAGGAATGGAGTCGAATGGAATGTAATCAAATGGAATGGACTGGAATTCAACGGATTCGATTGGAATGGAGTGGAACAAAATGAAATCAAATGGATTGGAATCGAACAGAATGGAATGCAACGGAAAGGAAAAGAATGGACGTCAATGGAATGGAGTCAAATGGAATGTAACCAAATGGAACGGAATTGAAAGGAAATGAAAGGAATAGAATAGAATGGAGTGTAATGGAAAGATATCGAATGGAATGGAAAGGAGTGGAATCGACTCGAATGGAATAGACTGGAACGAAATAGTCTCGAATGGAATAGACTGGAACGAAGTGGAATCTAATAGAATGAAATGGAGTGGAATGGAATCAAAAGGAATGGAAACGAATGGAATGGAATGGAATAGAATGGAAAGGGATAGAATGGAATGGAATTGAATGGAATGGAATTTAAAGGAATAGAATGTAAGGAATTGGATGGAGCGGAATGGAATTGAATGGATTTGAATAGAATAGAATCGAATGGAATGGCATTGAATGGAATGGAATGGAATGGACTCGAATGGAATGGACTCGAATGGAATTGAATAGAATGGAATGGCATCGAATGGAGTGGAATGGAAGGGAGTGCAATGGAAAGATATTGAATGGAATGGAATGGACTCGCATGGAATGGCCTGGAATGGAATGGACTCGAATGGAATGGACTGGAGTGGAATGAACTCGAATGGAAAGAAACGAACTGAATAGAACGGAATGGAATGGAAAGGAATAGAATGGAATTGAATCGGATGGAACAGAATGGAATGGAATGAAGTCGAATGGAATAGAATTGAATTGAATGACATCAAATGGAATGGAATGGAATAGAAAGGACTCGAATGGAGTGGACTCAAATGGAATAGAAACAAATGGAATGGTATCGAATGGAATGGAATGGAATGGAATGGATCCCAATGTAATGGACTCGAAAGGAATGGACTCAAATAGAATGGACTCGAAAGGAATGGTCTCGCATGGAATTTTTCAAATAGAATGGAATCGAATGGAATGCAATAGTATGGAATGGAATTGAATGGAATGGAATCGAATGGAATGGACCGGAATGGAATGGAGTGGAATAGAATGGACTCAAATGTAATGGATTGCAAAGTAATTGATTCGAATGGAATGGAATCGAATGGAATGTAACCGAATGGAATGGAATGGAGTGCTATTTAATGGAATAGAATGGAATGCAATGGAATGGAACAGAGTGGAATCGTGTGGAATGGAATCAAATGGAATAGCATCGAATGGAATGGACTGGAATGGAATGGACACGATTGGAATGGACTGGAACAAAATGGAATCGAACGGATTGGAATAGAATGGAACGGAATGGAATGGAATGGAATGGAATGGACTTGAATGGAGTGGAGTAAAATGGAATGGAATCGAAAGGAATGGAAAAAAATGGAATGGAATTGAATGGAATCGAAATGAATAGAATGGAATGGAATTTAATGGAAAGATATCGAAGGGAATGGAAAGGAATGGAATCGGATGGAATGGACTGGAATGGAATGGACTCGAATGGACTGGACTGGAGTGGAATGGACTCGAATGGAATGGAAAAGAATAGAATGGAATAGAATCGGATGGAATGGAATGGAATGGAGTCAAATGGAATAGAATTAATTGGAATGGCATCGAATGGAATGGAATTGAATTGAATCAAAATGAATAGAATGGAATGGAGTTCAATGGAAAGATATTGAATGGAATGGAAAGGAATGGACTTGGATGGAATGGACTGGAAAGAAATGGACTCGAATGGAATAGACTAGAGTGGAATGGACTTGAATGGAATGTAAACGAATGGAATGGAATGGAACAGAAAAGAATAGAATGGAATGGAATCGGGTGGAGTGGAATGGAATTGAGTCGAATGGAATAGAATCAATTAGAACGGCATCGAATGGAATGGAATGGAATGGAATGGAATGGAATGGAATGGAATGGAATTAAATTAAATGGACTCGAATGCAATGGCCTCGAATGGAATAGAATCGAATGGTATGGCATCGAATGGAATGGAATGGAATGGAATGGACCCACATGTCATAGACTCAAACAGAATGGACTCAAATACAATGGACTCGAAAGGAATGGTCTCGAATGGAACTTATTCGAATAGAACGGAATCAAATGGAATGCAATAGTATGGAATGGAATCGAATGGAATGGACCGGAATGGAGTGGAAAAGAATGGCCTTGAATGCCATGGATTGCAACGTAATTGATTCGAATGGAATGGAATCAAATGTAATGTAATCAACTGGAATGGAATGCAATGCAATGGAATGGAATGGAGTGAAATCGAGTGGAATGGAATCCAATGGAATGGAATCGAATGGATTGGAATCGATTGGAATGAGCTGGAATGGAATGGACACGAATGGAATGGACTGGAACAAAATGGAATCGAACAGATTGGAATCTAACGATACGGAATGGAATGGAAGGAATGGCCTCGAAAGGAATGGAGTGGAATGGAAGGGAATCAAATGGAATGGAATCAAATGGAATGGAAATGAATGGAATCAAAAGGAAAAGAAGTTAATGGAGTGTAAAGGAAAGATAACGAGTGCAATGGAATGGAATGGAATGGACTTGAATGGAATGGAATGCAATGGACTCGAATGGAATGGACTGGAGTGGAATGGACTCGAATGGAATGGAAATGAATGGAATGGAATGGAATGGAATGGAATGGAATGGAATGGAATGGAATGGAATGGAATGCAATGGAATGGAATAGAATGGAATGGAATCGTATGGCACTAAATGGAATGGAATGGAGTCTAATGAAGAGGAGTTGAATGGAATGGCATCGAATGGAGTGGAATTGAATGGATTTGAAAGGAATGAACTCGGATGGAATAGAATAGCATGGAATGGCAACGAATGGAATGGAAAAGTAGGGAGTGAATTACAAGATATCGAATGGAATGGAATGGAATGGAATTGACTCAAATGGAATGGACTGGAATGGAATGGACTCGAATGGAATGGACTGGAGTGGAATGGACTTGAATGTTATGGACTGGAGTGGAATGGACTTGAATGTTATGGACTGGAGTGGAATGGAAACGACTTGAACGCAATGGATTGGAATGGAAAGGAAAAGAATGGAATGGAATCGGAAGGAATGGAATGGAGTGAAATGGAGTCAAAAGGAATAGAAACAAATGCAATGCAATCGAATGGAATGAAATGCAATGGACTCGAATGGAATGGACTCGCATGGAATAGAATTGAATGGAATGGCATGGAATTGAATGGAATAGAATGGAATGCAATAAAATGGAACGGAGTGGAATCGAGTGGAATGGAATCGGAAGGAATGGAATGGAGTGAAATGGAGTCAAAAGGAATAGAAACGAATGCAATGCAATCGAATGGAATGAAATGCAATGGACTCGAATGGAATGGACTCGCATGGAATAGAATTGAATGGAATGGCATGGAATTGAATGGAATAGAATGGAATGCAATAAAATGGAACAGAGTGGAATCGAGTGGAATGGAATCGAACCAAATGGAATGTAATGGAATGGAAAGGAATGGAATGGAATGGACCCGAATGGAATGGAGTCAAATGGAATGGAATCCAATGGAATGTAATTAAATAGAATGGAATTGAATGCAATTGAAAAGAATAGATAGAATGGAGGGAAATGGAAATATATCGAATCTAATAGAATGGAATGGAATGGACGCGAATGGAATGGACTGGAATGGAATGGACTCGAATGGAATGGACTGGAGTGGAATGGTCTCGAATGGAATGGAAAGGAATGGAAGGGAATGTATTGGAAGGGAAAGTAATATAATGGAATGGAATCATATGGAACGGAATGGAATGGAATGGAGTCAAATGGAATAGAATTGAATGGAATGCAATCAAAGGAATGGAATGCAATGGACTCGAATGGAATGGACTCGAATGGAATAGAATAGAATGGAATGGCATGGAATGGAATGAAATAGAATGGTATGCAATAAAATGGAATGGAGTGGAATCGAGTGGAATTGAATCAAACCGAATGGAATGGAATGGATTGGAATGGACCCGAATGAAATGGTGTAGAATGGAATGGAATCGAAAGGAGTGGAATTGAATAGAATGGAATTGAATGTAATCGAAAGGAATAGAAAGAATGGAGGGTAATGGAAATATATCCAATGGAATAGAATGGAATGAAATGGACTGGAATGGAATGGAATAAAATGGAATGGACTGGAGTGGAATGGACTCGAATGGAATGGAAACGAATGGAAGGGAATGGAATGGAATGGAATCGGATGGAAAGGAATAGAATGGAATGGAATTGGATGGAACGGAATGGAATGGAATGGAGTTGAAAGTACTAGAATCGAATGGAATGGGATCAAATATAATGCAATGTAAGGGAATGGAATTCAATAGACTTGAATGGAATGGACTTGAATGGAAAAGAATGGAATGGAATGGCATCGAATGGAATGGGATGGAATGGAATGGAGGGTCCCAAATGTAATGGACTCAAATGGAATGGAGTCAAACAGAATGGAATCAAAAGGAATAGTCTCGAATAGAATTTATTCGAATAGACGAATCGAATGGAATGCAATAGTATGGAATGGAATCAAATGGGTGGACTGGAATGGAACGGATTGGAATAGAACTGACTCGAATGTAATGGACTGCAATGTAATTGATTCGAAAGGAATGGAATAGAATGCAATGTAATCAAATGGAATGGTAAGGAATGAAAAGGAATGGAATAGAATGGAATGCAATGGAATGGAAAAGAGTGTAATCGAGTGGAATGGAATTGAATGGAATGGAATCGAATTGAATGGAATCGATTGGAAAGGACTGGAATGGAATGGATTCGAATGGAATGGACTGGAACAAAATGGAATCGAAATAATTGGAATCGAACGGAAAGGAATGGAATGGAATGCAATGGAATGGACACGAGTGGAATGGAGTCAAATGGAATGGAATTGAATGGAATGGAATTGAATAGAATGGAATTGAACTGAATCGAAAGGAACAGAATGGAATGGAGTGTAACGGAAAGATAACGAATGGAATGGAGTGGAAAGGAATGGAATGGACTCGAATGGAATGGACAGGAAAGGAATGCACTCGAATGGAATGGACTGGTGTGTAATGCAATCAAATGGAATTGAAACAAATTGAATGCAATGGAATGGAACAGAAGGGAATAGAATGGAATTGAATCGGATGGAATGGAATTGAATGGAGTGGAGTCAAATAGAATAGAATTGAATGGAATGGCATCAAATGGAATGGAATGGGCTCGAAATGAGTGGATTCGAATATAATAGAATAGAATAGAATGGCATTGAATGGAATGGAATGGAATGGAATGGACTCAAAAGGACTGGACTCGAATGGTATAGAATGGAAAGGAATGGCATCGAATGGAATGGAATGGAATGAAATGGAATGGAATGGAATGAAATTGAATGGAATGCAATGGACCCAAATTTAATGGACTCGAATGGAATGGATTCAAATAGAATGGACTCGAAAGGTATGGTCTCGAATGGAATTTATTCGAATAGAATGGAATTGAATGGAAAGCAATAGTATGGAATGGAATCGATGGAATGGAAATGAATGGAATGGACCGGAATGGTATGGACTGGAATAGAACGTACTCGAATGTAATGGATTGCAATGTAATTGATTCGAATGGAAAGGAATCGAATGGAATGTAAGCAATTGGAATGGAATGGAATGAAATGGAATGGAGAAGAATGGAATGCAATGGAATGGAATGGAGTGGAATCGAGTGGAATGGAATCAAATGGAATGGAATTGAATGGAATGGAATTGAGTGGAATAGAATAGAATGGAATGGACTTGAGTGTAATGTAATTGAATGGACTCGAATGGAATAGAATCTAATGGAATGGAATGGAATGGAATGGAATGGAATGGAATGGAATGGAATCGAATGGACCCAAATGTAATGGACTCGTATGGAATGGACTCAAATAGAAATGGATTAGAAAGGAATGCTCATGCGTGGAATTTATTCAAATAGAATTTAATCAAATGGAATGTAATAGTATGTAATGGAATCGAATGGAATGGACAGGAATGGAATGGACTGGAATAGAACGGACTTGAATGTAATGGATTGCAATGTAATTGATTTGAATGTAATGGAATTGAAAGGAATGGAATCAAATGGAATGGAATGGAATGCAATGGAATATAATAGAATGCTATGTAATGGAATCGAATGGAATGTAATCAAATGGAATGAAATGGAATGGAATGCAATGGAATAGAATAGAATGCTAAGTAATAGAATGGAATGGAGTGGAATCGAGTGGAATGGATGGGAATGGAATGGACACAAATAAGAAAACTGGAACAAAATGGAATGGAACGGATTGGAATCGAACGGAACAGAATGTCTAGAATAGAATGGAATGCACTTGAATGAAATGGAGTCGAAATGAATGGAGTCGAAATGAATGGAATCGAATGGAATGGAATCGAATGGAATGGAATTGAATAGTATCGAAAAGAATAGAATGGAACGGAGCGTAATGGAAAGATATCGAATGGAATGGAAAGAAATGGACTCGAGTGGAATGGACTGGAATGGAATAGACTTGAATGCTATGGACTGGAGTGGAATGCAGTCAAATTGAATGCAAACAAATGGAATGGAATGGAATGGAAAGGAATAGAATGGAATGGAAATGGATGGAACACAGTGGATTGGAATGGATTCGAATTGAATAGAATTGAATGGAATGGCAATGAATGGAGTGGAATGAAATGGACTGGAATGAAATGGAATGGAATGGAATGAAATGGAATGGAATGAACTCTAATGGATTGTATTCCAATGGAAGAGAATCAAATGGCATGGCATCGAATGGAATGGAATGGAATGGAATGGAATGGAATGCAATGGACTCATATTTAATGGACACGAATGGAATGGACTCAAATAGATTGGACTCGAAAGGAATGGTCTCGACTGGAATTTATTCAAACAAAATGGAATTGAATGGAATGCAATAGTATGGAACGGAGTCAAATGGAATGGAATCGAATGGAATGGACCGGAATGGAAAGGAATGGAATAGAAAGGACTGAAATGTAATGGATTGCAATGTAATAGATTTGAATGGAATGGAATCGAATGGAATGTAATCAAATGGAATGGAATGGAATGCAATGGAATGGAATAGAATGGAATGCAAGAAAATGGAATGGACTGGAATCAAGTGGAATGGAATCGAATGGAATGGATTCCAATGGAATGAAATCAAACGGAGTGGACTGGAATGGAATGGATTCGAATGGAGAGGACTGGAACAAAATGGAAACGAATGGATTGCAATCGAATGGAATGGAATGGAGTGGAATGGAATAGAATCTAATGGAATGGCATTGAATGGACTGGAATGGAATAGATTCGAATGGAAAGGACTCCAACGGAACTGAATCATATGGAATGGCATCGAGTGGAATGGAATGGAATGGAATGGAATGAAATGGAACCAAATGTAATGGACTCGAATGGAATGGACTCAAATAGAATGGACTCTAAAGGAATGGTCTCGAATGGAATTTATTTGAATACATTGGAATCGAATGGAATGCAATAGAATGGAATGGATTGGAATCAAATCAAATCGAATCGAATGGACTGGAATGGAATGGACTGGAATAGAATGAATTCGAATGTAATGGATTGCAAAGTAAATGATTTGAATGGGATGGAATCGAATTGAATGTAATCAAAAGGAATGGAATGCAAGGCAATGGAATGGAATAAAATGGAATGCAATGGAATGGAATGGACTGGAATCGAGTGGAATGGAATGGAATCGAATGGAATGGACTAGAATGGAATGGACTCCAATGGAATGTACTGGAACAAAATGGAAACGAAAGGATTGCAATCGAATGGAATGGAATGGAATGGAATGGACCCAAATGTAATGGACTCGTATGGAATGGAATCAAGTAGAATGGATTCGAAAGGAATGGTCTCGAATGGAATTTATTCGAATAGAATTTAATCAAATGGAATGCAATAGTATGTAATGAAATCGAATGGCATGGAATCAAATGGAATGGACATGAATGGAATGGACTGAAATAGAAAGGACTTGAATGTAACGGATTGCAATGTAATTGATTTGAATGTAATGGAATCGAATGGAATGTAATCAAATGGAATGCAATGGAATGCAATGGAATGGAATAGAATGGAATGGAGTGGAATCGAGTGGAACAGACTGGAAAAAAATGGAATGGAACAGAGTGTAATGGAATGGAAAGGAATTTAATGGAAGGGAATGGAATGCACTTGAAAGGAAAGGAGTCAAAAGGAATGGAATCAAATGGAATGGAATCGAATGGAATGGAATTGAATGGAATTGAAAAGAATAGAATGGAACGGAGCGTAATGGAAAGATATCAAATGGAATGGACTCGAATGGAATGGACTGGAATGGAATACACTCGAATGGTATGGACTGGAGTGGAATGTAGTCAAATTGAATGGAAACGAATGGAATGGAAGGAATGGAAAGGAATAGAATGGAATGAAATCGGATGGAACACAATGGAATGGAATGGATTCGAATTGAATAGAATTGAATGGATTGGCAATGAACGGAGTGGAATGGAATGGAATGGAGAGGAATGGAATGGTATGGAATGGACTCTAATGGATTGTATTTCAATGGAAGAGAATCGAATGACATGGCATCGAATGGAATGGAATGGAATGGACTCAAATATAATGGACTCAAAGGAATGGTCTCGAATGGAATTTAT